>NC_000002.12:10000-313030 GCF_000001405.40 Homo sapiens | reverse complement strand
ACGCGTGGCAGCTGTGAGGCAGCCCCTTCTCTGCTGTCGAGGAACTGGACACTTCTCCTGTCCCTTCCCACAAGGTGGGTCTCTGCTCACGGCCCCTCCTTGGGGGCTATCCTGGGTGGGGGAGGTCATAAGCCTACCCGCTGCATGGGGAAAGCCTGAGAGCTGGGAGAGAAGTCAACAATAGTTAACAGCCTCTGTAACAACAGTCCAGCACCACAGTGTACAGTAAACTTAGAAATTCAACTCCAGTGAAATCTTCTTTACTTTATGGAAATCATAGACCACTTAATATGATTGAAATACATTCAAGATGGTTGTAGTCACTGGTTTCCCAAAAAGGATGTAGTTATCCAATATTTCATATGTATTCATAGTCGGAAACATGTCAGGCAACAGAAAGCAACTGGCCAAGTGCTGCATGCATGTCAGCATAGCAGAAAAATCAGGCCAACAAATCACTGTGACTCTTTGCTGCCAAACCACAGCTAAAGGTGTTCGTCAGCACCACAGGCCCCCTCTCAGTGGAGCTGAAGGCAGCAGAACACTTTGGGTGGGTAGAACTTTGATACAAATGTAAATAACTTTTACAATCTCTTTTGGGAAGCATACTTTCTTTTGTGGTTATAATACATCCAGGTCATTAACAGCCATGAGACTTCTATTACAATACATAAATGTAAGTGGAGAGGCCGAACAAACGCGTCCAGGCACAGAGTCCTGGGAACTCAGGAAAGCAAGTCACTCTGGAGGATGGGGGTCATGATTATTTAATTTAAAATATGTAGATGTTAAGTAGAGTCATCTAACTCCCTGTTCAGGTGGAGGTTTTAAATCGCAGGCCTGGGGCTCTAATGTTTGATCTGATGTGGACGGTGTTGACAGGTAACAGCAGATCAATTCTTAAGACTAACATTGACTATTTCTAATCCACTTTAAGGAAAACTTGCCATTCTCTCATCACCTTTACGAGGTGGGTAGTATTTCTGATGAGAACAAAATGCTTAATGAAATTGG
Source organism: Homo sapiens (assembly GCF_000001405.40). Taxonomy (NCBI): domain Eukaryota; kingdom Metazoa; phylum Chordata; class Mammalia; order Primates; family Hominidae; genus Homo; species Homo sapiens. Next base: position 312,016 of record NC_000002.12, on the reverse strand, counting down.
GAAGTAAGCAGTGCCTCAGCCCCAAGCCTCTGACATCATCACCTTTCCAAGGGAATCCATTCACTGTGTAAAACCCACAGAATTACACCACCTCCATTATTAGTGAGATTAATTAATGCCCTTTTCATTTTATTATTTTGATATTTTTATGAAACTGTTTAAGGAGACATGTTAGCCTCTAGAGGAGAAAAATCGTGTACATCAGAGGCGTGTTCTTGAATTAAACGGTCAATCTCATTCAACATGGATTTCCAATCAAATTCTGAGTCACAAGGAGAAATACTGATCTCTGGATAAGTTAGAATGTGCAGAAGAAATGCTTGGGCAAAATAGATGAGTTTTGTTCTGTTAAACTAGATATAAAAGATTCAGGACGTAGTGCTCGTGGTTGGGGTCGGGGACATGGCAAGACAGGAGCGGAAGAGAGAGACGGAGAAGACGCAGGGGAACTGCATCTGCCTCTGCTGCTCAGGAACAGCGTTGAGACCGGCGCAGGGACCATGGGTGGGAGAGTCCTGATGTACTCAATGTAAATACAAATTGTGTTTCTTTTACAGTGAAAACGTATTCTTCATGTTACTGGTGTTATTTACCAACATACAAAAGTAAATACTATATCATGCTGTGTTCTCTTAGGCATATCTCTGTGAAGGCCAGCCACCGACACAGCACAATAAGTAACTGTATACACTGGAAAAAATACTCAGGAGGGGAAGACATGCTACGTTAAGCAGAGCAATGGCTGACTGTAAAATCCCCAGATCGAAGTCTCATGGTCAGCAGAAAGAGTAGAACTTAATGCTAATTAAAGCTTCATTTAACAGGAAGGATAAGTTAACAAGTGGTCACCATAGCAACAGAAGGAGCTAAGGGTGTCTGCGTCCCCACACTGCACACCTGTGCATCACTTTATCTTCACAATCCATTGCACAGACCCTTACCTGACAGCACGTTGCCCTCTCTCAAATGGGTGGGATCATAGTGGAACAAAGCATTTTATAGATTATATTAAGAAGTAAACTCAGAAAATACTATGTTCATAGAAGACAGTTCAATGGACTGCCGATTTCAAACTCATGCACTTCACGGCCCATTGATGGTGGGCACCGTGGGGTGAATTTACTCCTGTTTGGCAGCCTTGGCTTCTCAGCTGCTCAAGCTCCGGAGCCCCATTCACAGCTTTCAGGGCTCACCTGTGGGGACTCTGGACTTCACCTTTCCTTCTGCAGCTTTTCTGGAAGGCCAGAAACACCACCTGGGCCCCTCCTCCATCTTTACCCGGCTGGTCCCCCAAAAGCATCGTTATCCACTCAGCTGTCCCAGCCTCCTTCTTTTATAAAATAGGCCTTTTTACCATCTTGTTTGCATAGTTACCTTTAAAAGCCAGCATAAAAAACAAAAGCCTTGATTCTGCTGCTTAGTAAAAGGTGCCATCTTAAGTAATTTAACTTCTCTGAGAGCATAAGAATAAATCAGTGAATATTTTTTTAAGCAGTGAAACGCTTTTTTTTTCCTAGGTATAATATTAGGCAGAAACCCAATATAAAAAGAAAAGCAGAGTTGTTGTAGATTCATCGAGGGTTGGCGACCTGGTTCCAATGAGCCATCTCCCTGTTCCGACAGGGGCTTCCTGGAGCTCCTGCAACCCCAGGCATTAGTTCCGGTGCAGTTCTAGGATCAGATCAATTCACTCGACAACAAGAGAAACAAATGGAGATTCCTACACAAAGACTTTCAAGCACAAAGAAATCCTGCTGCCTGTAAAGCGGAGCTGCCTCAGCCCTTGATGAACGACAGAAAATGTAAGAGTAGTTGTCATTTTCATAAGCAGTAACCCAGATTCATATTCATGGAAAAGATAAGAGTAAGTTGTCATTTTCACAGGCAGTAACCCAGATTCATACTTGCAGCAGCAGCGCTAAGTCACATGAATTGATTGAGCAGTCGGTGGGTTCACTGATGGGTTAAATTCGTGTATATTAGGGTTGAGTTTGGTAATATGTACCAGAAAACCAACTTGCAGTGGCTTGACCAAATCAATAATTATCTTTTGCATAAAATCAGCAGCCCACAATTAGGCAAGGCAGACTGAAACAGCAGCTCCACAATTCATTCAAGTCCCAACGTTTTTCTGCTTCATACACCCTGGGTTTAGCTTTTGTCTTAATGGTTTTAAAGTGGCTCTGATTTGTGTGATAAGAGATCGTGTGTGCAGCTGCCCAAAGACCACCCTCACAATTAGGCTTCGGTGAGTAAGGAGGCAAGGGCTACCTGCAGGCAGGTGTGCTGAACAGCTGTGTGACCACAGTCAGGCCCACATCCCCTGGGGCGCTCCTGTGGGCTAAACAGGTCCCCAAACCTTGCCGCCTGTTCTCACTGCTCCCTGGAGAGCCACCCCAGCACACTGTCTCCACACTGGAGATCACCCCTCCTGGCCATTCCCTCCCTCACCCCTTCTGGTCTGGAAGTGGGTGGGGCCCCTGGGTGTTACAACAGCTCTGTTTCCCTATAGCCTGTCCCTCCACTCTGTAGACGACGACATCACCAGCCCCTCCCCTGAGTATTCTGGCAACAAAGGAGCCAGCAGACAAACCGCTTCTCTTCCACAGACCACCTACTGCCAGACCTCAACGCCTCACAAAACTCTCACCCACCTACTGCTTTTAGCTCACATTCCAGGAATTCAGATGAAGTGAAGTGCTCTCATGGGGACCAGGCATGGTTATGCCAGTCCACTGCCCTGCAAGCCTCAAGGGAAGCCAACTGCCCTTCAGCAAGTCACACCTGCCTTGGTGGAGGCCTTGATTGGAAGTGCCACACGCTACATGTCCAGTCCTGAGCGGGAGAATCGGTGTAGGGACGTTCTGGGGATGCCAGCTGTGGCCAGATCAGGTCCAACTACAGAAGAATAATGAAGACTCCACCTGAGGGCTGGAAAAACAAAACCTCAAGTGTGAGGCAGCCAACCTGTTACCTCGAGGGACTGTTCCGCAGCACAGCGGGGCCATGGGAACAGCAGCAGACACCCCGACCTCCTCGCTACCTGTGTGTGTATTAACACGCCGGCCTCCTCGCTACCTGTGTGTGTATTAACACGCCGGCCTCCTCGCTCCCTGTGTGTGTATTAACACCCCGGCCTCCTCGCTCCCTGTGTGTGTATTAACACGCCGGCCTCCTCGCTACCTGTGTGTGTATTAACATCCCGGCCTCCTCGCTACCTGTGTGTGTATTAACGCCCCGGCCTCCTCGCTACCTGTGTGTGTATTAACACGCCGGCCTCCTCACTACCTGTGTGTGTATTAACACGCCGGCCTCCTCACTACCTGTGTGTGTATTAACACGCCGGCCTCCTCGCTACCTGTGTGTGTATTAACACCCCGGCCTCCTCGCTACCTGTGTGTGTATTAGACACCCCGGCCTCCTCACTACCTGTGTGTGTATTAACACGCCGGCCTCCTCACTACCTGTGTGTGTATTAACACCCCGGCCTCCTCACTACCTGTGTGTGTATTAACACCCCGGCCTCCTCACTACCTGTGTGTGTATTAACACCCCGGCCTCCTCACTACCTGTGTGTGTATTAACACCCCGGCCTCCTCACTACCTGTGTGTGTATTAACACGCCGGCCTCCTCGCTACCTGTGTGTGTATTAACACCCCGGCCTCCTCGCTACCTGTGTGTGTATTAGACACCCCGGCCTCCTCACTACCTGTGTGTGTATTAACACGCCGGCCTCCTCACTACCTGTGTGTGTATTAACACGCCGGCCTCCTCGCTACCTGTGTGTGTATTAACACCCCGGCCTCCTCACTACCTGTGTGTGTATTAACACGCCGGCCTCCTCACTCACCTGTGTGTGTATTAACACGCCGGCCTCCTCGCTACCTGTGTGTGTATTAACACCCCGGCCTCCTCGCTACCTGTGTGTGTATTAGACACCCCGGCCTCCTCACTACCTGTGTGTGTATTAACACGCCGGCCTCCTCACTACCTGTGTGTGTATTAACACCCCGGCCTCCTCACTACCTGTGTGTGTATTAACACGCCGGCCTCCTCGCTACCTGTGTGTGTATTAACACCCCGGCCTCCTCACTACCTGTGTGTGTATTAACACCCCGGCCTCCTCGCTACCTGTGTGTGTATTAACACCCCGGCCTCCTCACTACCTGTGTGTGTATTAACACCCCGGCCTCCTCACTACCTGTGTGTGTATTAACACGCCGGCCTCCTCACTACCTGTGTGTGTATTAACACGCCGGCCTCCTCGCTACCTGTGTGTGTATTAACACCCCGGCCTCCTCGCTACCTGTGTGTGTATTAACACCCCGGCCTCCTCGCTACCTGTGTGTGTATTAACACCCCGGCCTCCTCATTACCTGTGTGTGTATTAACACCCCGGCCTCCTCGCTACCTGTGTGTGTATTAACACCCCGGCCTCCTCATTACCTGTGTGTGTATTAACACCCCGGCCTCCTCACTACCTGTGTGTGTATTAACACCCCGACCTCCTTACTACCTGTGTGTGTATTAACACGCCGGCCTCCTCACTACCTGTGTGTGTATTAACACGCCGGCCTCCTCACTACCTGTGTGTGTATTAACACCCCGGCCTCCTCATTACCTGTGTGTGTATTAACACCCCGGCCTCCTCACTACCTGTGTGTGTATTAACACGCCGGCCTCCTCACTACCTGTGTGTGTATTAACACCCCGGCCTCCTCGCTACCTGTGTGTGTATTAACACCCCGGCCTCCTCACTACCTGTGTGTGTATTAACACCCCGGCCTCCTCATTACCTGTGTGTGTATTAACACCCCGGCCTCCTCACTACCTGTGTGTGTATTAACACGCCGGCCTCCTCACTACCTGTGTGTGTATTAACACGCCGGCCTCCTCGCTACCTGTGTGTGTATTAACGCCCCGGCCTCCTCGCTACCTGTGTGTGTATTAGACACCCGGGCCTCCTCGCTGCCTGTGTGTGTATTAACACCCCGGCCTCCTCGCTACCTGTGTGTGTATTAACGCCCCGGCCTCCTCGCTACCTGTGTGTGTATTAACGCCCCGGCCTCCTCGCTACCTGTGTGTGTATTAACGCCCCGGCCTCCTCGCTACCTGTGTGTGTATTAACGCCCCGGCCTCCTCGCTACCTGTGTGTGTATTAACGCCCCGGCCTCCTCACTACCTGTGTGTGTATTAACACGCCGGCCTCCTCACTACCTGTGTGTGTATTAACACCCCGGCCTCCTCGCTGCCTGTGTGTGTATTAACACCCCGGCCTCCTCGCTACCTGTGTGTGTATTAACACCCCGGCCTCCTCGCTACCTGTGTATTAACACGCCGGCCTCCTCACTACCTGTGTGTGTATTAATGCCCCGGCCTCCTCACTACCTGTGTGTGTATTAACACCCCGGCCTCCTCGCTACCTGTGTGTGTATTAACACCCCGGCCTCCTCGCTACCTGTGTGTGTATTAACACCCCGGCCTCCTCGCTGCCTGTGTGTGTATTAACACGCCGGCCTCCTCACTACCTGTGTGTGTATTAACACGCCGGCCTCCTCATTACCTGTGGGTGTATTAACACCCCGGCTTTCTCACCAACTGTGTGTGTATTAACACCCCGGCCTGCTCACTATTGTGTGTATTAACACCCCGGCCTCCTCGCTACCTGCGTGTATTAGACACATGTGCTTTATACATGTCTACTTTAAGCCACCTTTGAATTTCCTGTTACTTGTCACCAAAATCATTGCTAAATCTTTCCATTTCAACTTTCAGATCAACTATGGCCTGAGTATGATAGACTTATCCATGGTTTAAACAGAATATATTGTTTTCAACTTTGAAAATAAGAATATGGAAATCCAGATGCAGAAATGTGAGAAGAAAAGAGAGTAAACAGAGTGGAAGGTCAGGTGACCTTGCCTGTCATGAATATGAAGGTCAAGGTGTGTGAATTGTGAAATTTCCAAGAGAACCTCACTGAAGCAAAGAATGAAGAAAGAATTGCATTTGGCCCTGGGAGGGTGCAGGGGTGAATGGTGCAGGAGCTAAATCTTTATCATACCCAGAAATCAACAGCCACTATTTGAAATCATCTAAATTCGTGCTGCTAACCTTCAGTGTACACACGAATCACCTGGGGATCTTACTAAAAGCTAGTTTCTGATTCACTAAATCTGTGTGTGGTGGAAGTTGAGGGCAGAGAAGCTCCCGAGGGTGTCAAGCTGACTCTGAACCCGACTTTGAGGGTTAAGGTCCCAAATGGCATCGCCAGCACCAGGGACAGACACTAAAATTGTAGAAATCGTCTCAAGAAATGAACAGCCTCTAAGTCAGATGTTGAATGTGAAAGAAATCAGGGTGTGTACGTGTGTGTGCATTTGTGTGTGCACGTGTGTGCCTGTGTTTGTCTCTGTGCATGTATGTTTCTATGTGTGCACATGTGTGTATGTGTCTGTACATGTGTGTTTCTGTGTGTGTGCCTGTGTGTGTATTGGCTTAGATCTGTTCGAGACTTTTTATTTGATGAGATCGATATATGCCACCACTTTTGGAAAGGACAACGTATATACAAAGACAATGATTACTTATGTAATGTGAACGGAGTCTCTCTTCGACCCTCAAATGTTTTGTAGAAAGTAATGATGATGGTGAGGATTATAACAATGCGTGTTTCCTGAATAACAAAAAGGAGTTACAGTACACTTTTACCTATTTTTCCAAAGCGCTAGGTCAAGTTTAGCTAAAGTCTGCTTGGAATTAATGAGGCTTGGAAATGTAAAATCTCAGAGCAGTAAACATCTCTTTGTCCTAATGTTCTTATGTAGCCATTAAAACTTAAATATTAATACTAAAATAACTACTGTAAAATAAAGTAAAAATGTACGAGAATAATCAAAATAATTCTGAAACACCCACAAATGCTTTTGAAACTCCATTTCTACACAGTGACATAAAGAAAAAATTTAGATGTACCCAAGAAATAATGAATAGTGATTTTCCTTACGAAGTGCTGATTTCTTTAAAAATAAATAGACAACAGGTTCTTTAAATAACAAACATCCTTAGCACATGTGAGGTTCAATTCAACTTAAATTTCACCTACATTTCTCAGGGACACACATAAGTAATTATGAGCATGTCTTCAGGGTCAACTCTGGAGAAATGCTTTGTAAAGGGTCCAGCCAGTCGCTCAGGAGGGATTTCTCAGGGGCACCAAACACTGGGAAGCATCAGGATGATGAATCCTGTGTTTCATTTTACGTCCAAATGCTCTTGCCTCATGTGGCATAGACAATGGTATTGTATATAACAGTTTCTCAGAACTGACTGCATTTTAAAAGAAGGAGGAAATTATAATTACTAAACCCTTGCATATGGGACTATTTTTCATAAATCTGTTAATCATAAGGGTTCAAATAAAAGCCAAAAATGTAATGAGCTCTTTCCCTTCTTGTACATACAAGTTATACTAATATAGGAAATAAGCTGGGCCCAATGAAAGCTACAACTTTAGAGTTTTATAAATTTGTTTCCACTTTTGTCTATGACTCTGTGATTGCAATCTGCTGACAATAAGAACGGAACTTCTTCCTATGTTTTTATGCACATGAAACTCACCATTAGAAACATTCATTAAGGTTTGAATAAGGACAAATCACAAGCATTAAGAAGAGCTGTCAACCATTTTAAACAGCCATCAACTAATTTTGGCAAAAACAGTCCCTTGAGAACTGTTTATTTTTAATACTTCAACTAGAAATGGCTTTAACATGACACCCTTCAGTGCCAGGTGTCATTTCAGTCTGGACCTTCACTGGATTGGCCACATCTGCGTTAATGTCATGGTTATTGGTGGCATTGAGTAAGGGCCCTACCTAAAGAAATCAGTATCAAAGGTGCTGAATAGTGCAAGCCACATTTACTTTCTGCTATACAAATACTATTTTATAATATAAATGCAATATAAGATCAATTACTAAAATGTGCCAAGCAGTTAAAATATATCTTAATCTTAGTAAAGTTATATCAATTTAAAGATACAGGCTTTACAATAAAATGTCCCTTTTAAAGGTGGAATCTCTTCTCCAACTTAAATGTTCCCACTTTGGGGAAAGCAATAATCACTCACTGCCATCTGTCAACACCCCACTCATGCCAGATATTGTTCAAATCTCAATGTAATGATGCTAGAGCTGACCATTATTATTCGTAGTATGAAAATTTTCTAATGTCTATTTTTTAATGTGAAATAATGATTACATATAAAATAAAAGCAATATCCAGGCTCACCTTGGAGATTGTGCAGGCTCAGTTCCAGGTCATCCCAATAAAGAGATATAGCAATAACATAAGTCACCCAAATACTTTGGTTTCCCAATGCATACAAAAGTGATATTTACACTATAATGTGGTCTATTAAGTACACAATAGTATTATGTCTAAAAAAAGTATAAACATTAATTTTAAAATGTATTGCTAAAAATGCTAACAATGCCTTCAGTGAGTCATAATCTTTTTGCTGGTGGAGGTCTCCTCCACGTAGATGGCTGATGAATGATCCGGGTGGTTGGGGTGGTGGTGGCAATTTCTGAAAATAAGACAAGAATAAAGTCTGTTGCATAGATCGACTCTTTTTCTTTTTTCATAGACGATTTCTCGGTAGCATGTGATTCTGGTTGATATAATTTTACCCAGAGTAGAACTTATTTCAAAATTGGAGTCCATGCTCTCAAAACCCTGCCACTGCTTTATCAACTAAGGTTATAAAATACTCTAAATCCTTGGTGATCATTTCAACAATGTTCACAGCATCTTCACCAGAAGCACATTCTACCCCAAGAAACCAGGTTCTCTGCACATCCATAAGAAGCAACCGATCACCAGTTAAAGTTCTATCATGAGATTGAAGCAATTCAGTTCCATCTTCAGGCTCCACTTCTAATTCTAGTTCTCTTGCTATTTTCATAACATCTGGTTACTTCTTCCATTGAAGTCTTGAACCCCTCAAAATCACCCATGAAAGTTAGAACCAACTTCTTCCAAAGTCTTGTTCATGTTGATATTTTGACCTCCTCACATGAATCATAAATGTTCTGAATGGCATCTAGAATGGTGAATTCTTTCCAGAAGGTTTTCAATTTACTTTGCCCAGCTCCATCAGAGGAACAACTATCTATGGTAGACATGGCCTAGTAAAATATATTTCTTAAATAATAAGACTTGAAAGTCAAAATTGCTCCTTGATCCATGGACTGCAGAGTGGACGTTGTCTTAGTAGGCATGAAAAAAATGTCTGTCTTCTTGTACATCCCCATCAGAGCTCATGAGGGACCAGGTGCATTGTCAATGAGCATTAATAGTTTGAAAGGAATCTTTCTGTCTCAGCAGTAGATCTCAACAGTAGGCTGAAAATACTCACTAAACCATGCTGTAAGCAGAAGAGCTGTCATCAGGTGTGTCGTTTTATTTATAAAGCACAGGCAGAGCAGACTTAGCATCATTCTTACAGGCCCTGAGATTTTGGGAATGGTAAATCTTCACAGGCTTCAACTTAAAGTCACCAACTCTGTTAACCCCTAACAAGAGAGGCAATCTTTCCTTTAAGCTTTGAAGCCAGGCATTGACTTCTCCTCCCTAGCTATGAAAGTCCTAGATGGCATCTTCTTCCAATAGAAGATTGTTTTGTCCATATGAGAAATCTGTTGTTTAGCATCACTACCTTCATCAGTGATCTCAGCTGGATCCTCTGGAGAACTTGCTGCAGCTTCTCCATCAGCACTTGCTCCTTCACCTTGCACTTCTATGTTATAGAGATGGTTTCTTGCTTCTTTCCTTAAACCTCAGGAATAAACCTCTGCTAGTTCCACACCTTCCTTATGCAGCTTCTTCACCTCTCTCAGCCTTCACAGAAATGAAAAGAATTAGAGGCCTTGCTCTGGATGAGGCTTTGGCTGAAGGGAGTGTTGTGGCTGGTTTGATCTTCTGTCCAGGCCACTCAAACTTTCCCCATAGCAGTAATCCGGCTGTTTTGCTTTCTTGCCATTCATGTGTTCACTGGAGTAGCACTCTCAATCTCTTTCAAGAACTTTTCCTTGCACTCACAACTTAGCTAACTGGTGCAAGAAGCCCAGCTCTGAACCTATCTTGGCTTTTGACCTGCCTTCCTCACTAAGCTTAATCATTTCTAGCTTATGATTTAAAGTGACAGACATAAGACTCTTCCTTCCACCGAAATATTTAGAGGTCATTGCAGGGTTATCAATTGGCCTAATCTTAGGCTGGGTGTGGTAGCTCATGCCTGTAACCCCAGCACTTTGGGAGGCATAGGCGGGTGGATTGCTTGACGTCAGGAGTTCGAAACCAGCCTGGCCAACATAGTGAAACCCTGTCTCTACTAAAAATACAAAAATTGGTTGGGCAGGGTGGTACATGCCTGTAATCCCAGCTACTTGGGAGGCTGATGTAGGAGAATCACTTGAACCTGGGAGTTGGAGGTTGCAGTGAGCCAAGATTGTGCCACTGCACTCTATCCTGGATGACAGAGCAAGACTCAGTCAAAAAAAAAAAAAAAAAAAAAAAAAAAAAAGAAAAAGAAAAAGAAAAGAAAAATGACCTAATCTTAATCTTGCTGTGTTTGTGGGAATCAGGAGGCCTGAAGAGAGGGGAGAGAGACAAGGAAATGGTTATTCATTGGAGCAATCAGAACACACACAACATTTATCAGTTAAATTCGCAATCTTATATGGGCATAGTTCATTGTGCCCCAAAACAGTTACAATAGTAACATCAAAGATCACTGATCATAGATCACCATAACACACATAATAAAAATGAAAACGTTTGAAATATTGCAAGAATTCCCAAAATGTGACACAGAGATGTGAAGTGAGCACATGCTGTGGACAAATGGTGCTGATGGACTCACTGGATGCAGGGTGGCCACAAGCCCTTGATTTGTTAGAGGGACACTGTCTGTGAAGCACAATAAGGCAAGATGTGGGAAACGGTGAGCACCTGTCGTACGTCAGCACGGCAAGGAAGGTTAACTCCTAACGAGGGCATGTCATGTCCCACTCAGGAGCCCAGCGTCAATGTGCAGACAGCAGGAACCAGGAGATCCTCAGGCCACTGCACATCTTCTGAAAGGCTTTGAAAAGGATCAAAGGGCATAATAGCTGCCATATTATTGTGGTAATTCGTTCATAGATGGGGAAAAAAGGTAGATATAAAATGAATATTTTCTGAGCATCTAAGAGGATATGGGTGGTGACAATGCACACACTGATGGAGGTTTTATTTATTTATTTATGTCTTTCATGAGGTTGACTTTTTTTATTACACTTTAAGTTCTGGGGTACATGCGCACAACGTGCAGGTTTGTTACATAGGTGTACATGTGCCATGTTGGTTTCCTGCACCCATCAACTCATCATTTACATTAGGTATTTCTCCTAATGTTATCCCTCCCCCAGCCTCCCACCACCCCCGACAGGCCCCAGTGTGTGATGTTCTCCTCCCTCTGTCCATGTGTTCTCATTGTTCAACTCCCACTTATGAGCGAGAACATGCAGTGAGTGAGAACATGAGGTGTGTGGTTTTCTGTCCTTGTGATAGTTTGCTGAGAATGATGGTTTCCAGCTTCATCCATGTTCTTGCAAAGGACATGAACTCGTCCTTTTTTATGGCTGCATAATATTCCATGGTGTATATGTGCCACATTTTCTTTATGCAGTCTATTATTGATGGACATTTGGGTTGGTTTCAAGTCTTTGCTATTGTCAATAGTGTCACAATAAACATACATGTGCATGTGTCTTTATAGTAGCATGATTTATAATCATTTGGGTATATACCCAGTAATGGGATTGCTGGGTCAAATGGTATTTCTAGTTCCAGATCCTTGAGGAATCGCCACACTGTCTTCCATAATGGTTGAATAATTTACACTCCCACCAACAGTGTAAAAGCATTCCTATTTTTCCACATCCTCTCCAGCATCTGTTGCTTCCTGACTTTTTAATGATCACCATTCTAACTGGCATGAGATGGTATTTCATTGTGGTTTTGATTTGCATTTCCCTAATGACCAGTGATGATGAGCATTTTTTCATATGCCTGTTGGCTGCATAAATGTCTTCTTTTGAGAAGTGTCTGTTCATATACTTTGCCCACTTTTTGATGGGGTTGTTTTTTTCTTGTAAATTTGTTTAAGTTCTTTGTTGATTCTGGATATTAGCCCTTTGTCAGATGAATAGATTGCAAAAATTTTCTCCCATTCTGTAGGTTGCCTGTTCACTCTGCTGATAGTTTCTTTTGCTGTGCAGAAGCTCTTTAGTTTAACTAGATCCCATTTGTCTATTTTGGCTTTTGTTGCCATTGCTTTTGGTGTTTTAATCATGAAGTCTTTGCCCATGCCTATGAACTGAATGGTATTGCCTCGGTTTTCTTCTAAGGTTTTTATGGTTTTAGGTCTTACATTTAAGTCTTTAATCCATCTTGAGTTAATTTTTGTATAAGGTGTAAGGAAGGGGTCTAGTTTCAGCTTTCTACATATGGCTAGCTAGTTTCCCCAGCACCATTTATTAAATAGGGAATCCTTTTCCCTATTTAATAAATCCTTTTCCCATTGCTTGTTTTTGTCAGGTTTGTCAAAGATCAGATGGTTGTAGATGTGTGGTGTTATTTCTGAGGCCTCTGTTCTGTTCCATTGGTCTATATATCTGTTTTGGTACCAGTATCAAAACTATTGGTACCAGTACCATACTGTTTTGGTTACTGTAGCCTTGTAGTATAGTTTGAAGTCAGGTAACATGATGCCTCCAGCTTTGTTCTTTTTGCTTAGGATTGTCTTGCCCATGCGGGCTCCTTTTTGGTTCCATATGAAATTTAAATTAGTTTTTTCCTATTCTTTGAAGAAAGTCAATGGTAGCTTGGTGAGGATAGCACTGAATCTATAAATTACTTTGGGCAGTATGGCTATTTTCATGATATTGATTCTTTCTAACATAACATGAGCATGAAATATTCTTCCATTTGTTTGTGTCCTCTTTTTTTTGTTGTTGAGCAATGGTTTGTAGTTCTCCTTGAAGAGGTCCTTCACATCCCTTGTAAGTTGGATTCCTAGGTATTTTATTCTCTTTGTGCCAGTTGTGAATGGGAGTTCACTCATGATTCGGCTCTCTGTTTGTCTGTTATTGGTGTATAGGAATGCTTGTGATTTTTGCACATTGATTTTGTATCCTGAGACTGCTGAAGTTGCTATCAGCTTAAGGAGATTTTGGGCTGAGACTATGGGGTTTTCTAAATATACAATCATGTCAATGACAGAAGTTTTAAACCTGCGAGCTGGGGGAGGGACTGCGCCGCTGAAAGCCAGGCCTGTTGATGGTGTCAGCACAGCAGAAATACTGCCAATGCTCCCTCAAAACTGTAAAGAAAGGTGAATTTCCATTTGAACATATATAGAGAGAAATACATGAACTACATCTGATGTATTGTATTGATTTCTGTCCATTCAGCAGCACAGCCTGGGAGTCACTACTGATGGGGGCCCCAGATTCTGTGAAAGCAGAGATGACAACTAAATGGGACCCAAATTCCTGAGTGGTGGCATATGCATTGTGACACTCTGAATGAAGTTGTAATCGCTACTTCACCATGACAGGTTCTAAGACAACAAAAACACAAAATGTTACCACATAAACACAGTCCCCGAGACATAGGATTCTTAAAGGAAAACCAGGAATGTATTTGGTCAAAGTCAACTAAATTATGAACAGTATGAAAAAAAAACATAGCCAGCTGCTTAGTTTATAGAGAAAGTTTATATTTACTAATTTATTCAATACTTTAAAAAGACCTACACACTATAAAGAAAGGGAGAGCAGCCCCACTTTGCTCATGAGGAGATTAAAACCCCAGAGCCTCAGGGACTGGCTGTGGCCACAATGAGTGTCGGAGTAGGAATCAAAATCAGCTGCCCTGGCTGGTCTTCTCTGACTCAAAGCCTTTCCTTAACTCTTACACATGACTGGTGGGAGTGTAAACTGGTACAGCCACTAAAAAGCTAAAACTGAGAACAGAGCCTCCATATGATCCAACAATCCTCCTACTGAATATTTATCAAAGGGGAGGGAAATCACAATATGGAAGGGATGTTTGCACCCCGCGATTATTGCAGCACTATTCACAATAGCCACGATGCGGATTCAATCCAAGTTGACAGCAACAGCAGGTGAATACAGAGGAAATGTGGCTAAATACACACTGGAATACTACTCAGCCTTAAAAAGAAGAAAATCCTGTCATGTGCAACAACATGGATGAACCTGAAGGACATCGTGCTAAGTGAAATAAGACAGACACAAAAAGAAAAACACCGCATGGTCTCACTTATATGTGAAGCTAAAGAAGAGCTCACAGACGTGCTGAATACAACAGTGGTTATGGGAGTGGGGTGCTGGCAGAGGGAGCTTGGTTAACATGAACAAACCTACAATTACAAAGGAAGAAGTTCTGGTCTTCTCATAGGGTGAGTAATTGACTATATATTTTCAAGCAGCAGAAGAGAGGATTTTAAATGCTGTCAACACAAAGAAACGATAACTGAGATGATGGATATGCTTATTAGAGTGATTTGATTATTATACATGGTACACATGCACCAATATATCCCACTGTACCCCATAAATACAATTATTACATGTCAATTTAAAAAATCCATGGAAACAAAAAGTAGAATGGCTTTTGCCAGAGTTTTGGGGAAGAGAGAAATGATGAGCTAATGTTTAACGGGTCCAGAGATTCTGGTCAGGATGATGAAAAGTTCTGGAATTGAACAGTGGTGATGATGGTTGTACAAAATTGTGAATTTACCTAATGCCACAGGGCTGTACTCTTAAAATGGTTAAAATTGTGAGTTTTATGTTACATATGTTTTATCAGAATTAAAAACAAAAGAGTACCTGCATTCATTTTGAGACAAAACAGAAGTCTCCTCCTTCACTTTGAAGGTGTCAGCTACCAGCACATAAAGACAAAGAGAAAACCTCAGGGTCATGTTTAAACACATCTGATTTATACTGAGGACAAATTAAAGAAAGTAATTTATGTAATGAAGAGTAAACTTATGGAACTCATTGCCAAAAGAGGAGGTACAGACATAGAAATATTCAAAGACATCTACGAGAAATTGTTCAAACATTTATTGACAGCAGCCTAAGAGAACGTGGAGCACGATAAGGTTTGGAGTCACCCTGAGGTTCACATCACAGCACACAAAGAGCTTTTTGCCCCACTGCCACTGTGCCCTAGTGCATTTCTGAGGACTGGAATAGGGAGGTGGATGGACCTGCAGGTCCTCCCCATGGCACAAACGCTGCACCTTGCACACACCTGGGTCCCTGCCATGTCTAGCCCTAGCCTGTGCACAGTGAGGAGAGTACACCTGGTTATCAGGACAGAGTCACCTCTAAGACGCCCAGTGCCTAACTGCACAGTGAGGAGAGTACCTCTGGTTGTAAACACAAGGTCACCCCGAGATGCCCAGTGCTTTTACATGGTGAGGGCAGCACACCTGGTTGTCAGCACAAGGTCACCTCTGAAATGCACAGTGCTTGTACATGTGAGGGTATCACACCTGGTTGTCAGCACTGCATCACCTCTGAGATGCCCTCCCGTTCACGTGTGTAGCAATAAAAAAAGTCTGGCTTAACAACTGTCATTCTCAGCTCCCAGTCAAAGCAGAATAGGGTGTTGTGCTCATATTTAAAGCTTCATTTTGTATTGTATCTGTTTTTAGAAATTGTCTATTTCTTTGTCCACGTAGGCTAAAGTTACATCTTCAATAAGCCAAGTAATAGGAACTTACTTTGCTCACCGCAGTATGTGTGCCTGCTCCTAGAACTATGCTCAGGATGTGGCCGGCACATGGTCAGTTTTTGCTGAATGGAGGAAAGAATTAAATTTTGGAGCCTACACATGGTCCCAAGATCACGGCTATGTTTTCAATGGGACTTTTAAATGCTCTTACAGAAATGTTCATACTGGGAATGCCAATGTCAGGATGAAACAGGTGATTTCTAAAAAAGATGATTTTCTTAGGAAGCCAAGACTTTCTCTACTCTCCATCCTCATCTCCATGCCCCAGTTCTGAGCCTCCTCCTTTTTTCGCCTGCATCACTATAAATGTGGCTGCATCCATGCTGAGGTTTCAGTTCAAATACCTTGATACCTTGTCCTCAGAGATGATTCTACAACCACCTTATCAGACGTAGGTCCCCTTCGCCCTCACCATCTCATCTCTGTCTCAGCATTTGTCTCTCTTCCTTCTTCCCTCTTTCTTCCATGCTCTTTTTATAACTTCCTACTATTTCATATAGTTATCTGTTTGCTGGTGTTTACCTTCTGCAGCAAGTGAACCATGCAGGAGGGACTGTCACACCTGCAACACCTGGTGCAGTGCTGGACACGGGGGACACTTCGCATCTCTCTACTTAGTGACAGCATCTGACGGAAGGAGGGAGGGTCAGAAAGCCCCCTGCTCGCCTGTCTGCCCATGGGGGAGGGTGGGCAGAAGGAGGCAGGACTGGTCTGTCTGCCTACGGCCCCAAACCCTTTTGGTCCATCATCCATAGCTACCTCCATAAAACACAGATCTGATGATGTTGGTCCCTGCTCAAGGCTTGTCAATCATTTACCACTGCCTGCAGGATGAAGTTCAGAGTACTGAGAGTGGCATTGAGAACAGCCTCTTGTCCTCTTCTCTCTCCTACACTCTGTTGCAGAAGGGACCCTCACACATTCCAAGCGCACTGTGACCCGGCACCTTGGCTTCTTTACATGTGCATTCCCTGCCCCTTTCATCCATAAACCAGCCTCAAGGGAGTGGCCCCACACCCTACACTCCGTCCAGACTCCAGGAGCACACGACACACGGGACACACTACACCAAACAATGCAGGTTTCTTGTGGACAGAATTTCTCCCCTCTGTCCCTGAGCACCCGAGGACTCAAGCAATGGCTATGGGATGTGTGAGCAAATCAAAAGTTCTCAGCACAAATTCTCCCTTCCTTCCTGGAGGTGCAGACTGTTTCTGTTTGACGTCCATTTCCAAGCATGTCCAACCCATGGCCCATGGGTCACATGCAGCCCAGGACAGCTTTGAATGTGCCCAACAGGAATTTGCAAACTTTCTTAAAACATGATATTTCTTTGGTGATTTTTTTTATAGCTTATCAGCTATTGTTAGTGTTAGTGTATTTTACATGTGGCTCAAGATAATTTTTCTTCTTTCTTCTTCCAGTGTGGCCCAGGGAAGCCAAACGGTTGGGCACCCCTGCCTCCCGTTTCTCCCGGGGCCAGTAACTGGTCTGCCTTACACTGGTGCTGCCTGTCTGCTGTGGTCTCAGCGTCTGTGTCTCTCCAAAGTGCTTGTGCCGAAACCTGATCCCAAGAGTGATGGTGTCAGGAGGTGGGGCCTTTGGGAGGTGATGGGGTCCTGAGGATGGAGCCTCATGAATGTGATTATTGTCCTTAGAAAAGGGACCCCAGAGAGTCCCCTTGCACCCTCCACCACGTGAGGACTCAGTGAGAAAGTGCCATCTATGAGGAAGGCGGGCCTCGTGTGAGGACTCAGTGAGAAAGCGCCATCTATGAGGAAGGCGGGCCTTGTGTGAGGACTCAGTGAGAAAGCGCCATCTATGAGGAAGGCGGGCCCCACGTGAGGACTCAGTGAGAAAGCGCCATCTGTGAGGAAGGTGGGCCTCGTGTGAGGACTCAGTGAGAAAGCGCCATCTATGAGGAAGGCGGGCCTCACGTGAGGACTCAGTGAGAAAGCGCCATCTATGAGGAAGGCGGGCCCCACGTGAGGACTCAGTGAGAAAGTGCCATCTGTGAGGAAGGTGGGCCTCGTGTGAGGACTCAGTGAGAAAGCGCCATCTATGAGGAAGGCGGGCCTTGTGTGAGGACTCAGTGAGAAAGCGCCATCTATGAGGAAGGCGGGCCCCACGTGAGGACTCAGTGAGAAAGCGCCATCTGTGAGGAAGGTGGGCCTCGTGTGAGGACTCAGTGAGAAAGCGCCATCTATGAGGAAGGCGGGCCTCACGTGAGGACTCAGTGAGAAAGCGCCATCTATGAGGAAGGCGGGCCTCGTGTGAGGACTCAGTGAGAAAGCGCCATCTGTGAGGAAGGTGGGCCTCGTGTGAGGACTCAGTGAGAAAGCGCCATCTATGAGGAAGGCGGGCCTCGTGTGAGGACTCAGTGAGAAAGCGCCATCTATGAGGAAGGGGGGCCTTGTGTGAGGACTCAGTGAGAAAGCGCCATCTATGAGGAAGGCGGGCCCCACGTGAGGACTCAGTGAGAAAGCGCCATCTGTGAGGAAGGTGGGCCCCTGTGAGGACTCAAGAGAGAAAGCGCCATCTACGAGGAAGGGGAGCTTCATCAAACACCCAGCCTGCCTTGATATTGGACTGCCAGCCTCCAGAACTGTGAGGAATATGTTCCTGTTGTTTATAAACTACCTGTGTATGATATATTGTTCTAGGAGCACACATGGACTAAGACAGTGTCTCAAGCACTCTTTGCCTAATGGACTGCATTATAATAGTGGCAAAAATATCAGAGACAGCAGTCTTGAAATGTCCCCACGGTTTTAAGGAAGGGTCAGGTGAGCAAAATATAGACTGTTCTTATGAATTCATAGCCCTAGTATATCCTAGCCAACCACACTTATATACCATCCTAACAGCACAGGCACTGGGCCTGGGGCAGCAGCAGGGGCCCTCACCCACAGGTCTGAATCCTACTCCACTGGACTGAGCCCTCACCCACTGTTCTGAGTGCTGGTCACATGGAAACTTACTAATTCAGGATATTTCAGTCCACTTCTAACTATAGATTTTCTATGCAGCTGTGAACAAGTCACCAAATTCTGATGCCCCAGACATTCTCTAGGATTGGATAATGCTCTCTTTCATGCCATATTGTAAGGGATAAAATACAGGAAAAAAGAGGCCATTATGACAGCAGACACTCTGAAAGGCAGTAATAGCAATAATTGGTCAGTTAAAAGAAATTTAAACTATACTAAAAAGTTAACATACTTTATCTTATTTAATGTTTATAAAACCTCTGAGGTTGTACGTACTCCTGTCATTTCCGACATGAAAAAACTGGGCTCAAAGAAGTTGTCTTGCCCAGGTTCACACAGATGTGAGCAGGAATCAGAACCTGAGCCCATTTCTGTGGCTTTGAAGCCCACGTCCTTTGCAGTCCGCTATGCTGCATTCTTGAAAGAAAGTGGAGTTCAGGTGAGGTGACTCTCCATCTGTTCCTCCCACCCTCTTCCTACAGCCCAGTCTTCCCAGCAGATCCAAGAGGTTCTGGGGCCTCCTCCTTGGAAGTTTGCATATGCAGTTCCCTCTATCCAGGAGGCATCCCCATCACTGTGCTTAGCTTATCCTAGAAACAAACAACAACCCACTTTGGTAGGTGGTGCCTTTATGACACTTTGGATGTCTCTGTGATGAACCTAGATCATTGTGTGTGTCACTTCTGATCAGGATATCTGATTTCCTGCAGAAAACAGATGGAATGCAGATATATTGGTGTTGTTACTCAGCATCTATGACTATATTTTGTTGAAATATTGTCATGGATAATATTTTTCTGATATGTTGATGATTGGTGTGTTCTTTCAAATTTATTCTTACTACTTCCATCAAAAGATGTCAGATTGGTGCCTCCAAATGGCAAGTAAGCATCACAGTGGTTTCAGAATTTATAACTAAAATCCAGTTTGAAGGAACAACGTAAAGTCCATACTTCCTTTAAGCCTTTCCCCATGAAAAGTCCTCTTTATCTTGGCCTGGAACAATAAATTTTTTAAAAAAGTAAATCAGCCATGCTATCTTATCCCAACCCTTTAAATACAACTTTCACCTAATTTCTCTCCTGAACATGCATAGCCGTGTGCATCTGCAGATGCAAAAGCAGTGTTGAAGAATGGGAAGGGGTGGATGACCATGTTTTTGGAATCATCTTCTTCCTCCCTAGAAGGGGAGAAGTGTTACATAGAATGCTGTACTTCATTGATCTAGAATAAGCTGCAGATATCATGCATACATTATCACTTGTAAGAGTCTATATTTATTACATTTATACTAGGAAAATTAATCCTGTTAGAAAGCTTGTCTTCCTAAATGCTTTAAACACTGTCTAGTACGTGCCTAGCACACTAATAGCATTTTGATAGCTTAAAAAAGCAGAATTGGTAAATATTAAACAGTAAGCAATATTTGTTTATAGTACATGATGTTATCCTTTATGAAAGGTGATTTTTTTCTACAATACAAACTTCGTTAGATTGTTAAATGATTGCCATAATGATTGAAAAATATAACAATTCATTTTAAAGCATGTGGTTAACACAGGTATTTTAGAAGTCTTTGAGGGCAGCTAATATTCATCTAAAATTAAATACGTACCCTCTGGATGAAGAAAAAAAATGATTGCAGTCAAAACATCAGAACTTTAACCTGTTTATGAATTGAAAAAATCAACTCACCCATCTCAGGACCTATATATAGTACTGTTAGGGTAGATTAAATACAGGTTTTTTTCCTCTGCTCGGTTTTCTTCCTATGATCCAACACAGTTTTCTCAAAAAGATAACCAAACTAAATCAAATCTAGAAAAAAATTTTTCCAGTAATTCTAGAATATAGTTTGTTGCTAATTGTATCTCTTTTCTTTTTGGCTTCCTGCTTGAAAAGCACGGGTTTGAAGGGGTCCACTTACATATTTTTTTTCAAACGTGGGTCGAAAACACAGCAGCTGGAGGATGCGAAACGCACACAGAGGGAGGGCAACTTTCCGTATTTGCGTGTTCCACAGGCCCCACTGTGAGACGTGAATGTGCCTGGATTTCGGTATCTGCTGGAACCAGTCCCACGCTATACCAAGGGATGACTGCACACCTATTTCTGATGACTGGAGAACTCCAAGGGGTTCGTCTTGACAATACCATTAACTTAAAAATTCAATAAAGATTAACAAATCGGTGGTACACTCTAAGTTTGTTAGTCTGTAAAAATTGTTTCTATAATATAAAATGAGCAGCACCTAGATAATTTTGGCAGAGAACTTTGTAAAAATAAATGAACACATAAATTGTCTGACTCTTAATTGTAAGATCTCATTAATCCAAAGACCAACCAAGCATCAGCTCTGTTGCTGTTGATTATCCACCAAACCTCTACTAACCTGGGCGGAAGTCTTGGCCCACACTTGGATGGTAGAAAGGGCTCATTCAAGGAATCCATTTGTCCCATTAAAAACTGCAAAAGAAAAGACATAATATTAATTACTAGCAAGGCTTCCTCGGTAGGTAGAATTTGTGTGTGTTGGGGGAAATAGATCCTACTAGCATTTTATAGAAGAAATTTAGCTTTTGATTTTATAAAATACTATTCTAATAGGTCTATGTAAATTTAAAATAATACGTGAAATGTGTTTTCTTCTTTTTACCATACAAAGATTTTTTTGAAAAACTGTCTTACACCAAGCTATTTTACAACAGTAAAATCTTCTCATGGTTCTATTTTTCTGGGAACTGCGGTGTCCACCAGCTGCGAGGTGGGCCCGGCAAGCAGGACCGGGAGCAGGGCCGGGGAGGGCCGGTTCCATCGCCAGGCGTCGCTCTTGCCCGTGGAACTCAAGTGTCTTCTTGGACATGGGAAGGGGAAAGAGAGAAACGAAAAATGCCTCCTTTTATGTGCCTAAGGTCTGTTTGACATAAAATTTTACTTTTTCCTGAGTGTATTTTAGCAGAAATGTTCACATTTCAGTCATGTAGCTTGCAAAAAGAAAAAGAAAAGCCTCGCTGTGAAATCAAACCATCTGTTTTTCAAGGGAGCGGAGAGAACGCAGATCCCAAGGGTGTGGGGCGGGGTCCGGAACCGGCACATTTCATATCTTCTCTCTCCACGCTGCCTCCCCGCCCAGCTCTGCCGGACACTTTCTCCTCCTGAGGAGACAGACCCCGTGCAGGAAGAGAGAAAGGACGCGGGGACGGGCGCAGACGGGGCCTCTCCGGGAGCTGGGGGATCGGGGCGCGGAGCCTTCCGCCCGCACCGCCCGCGCTCACGTGCGCCTGGGCCAGCACCTTCCCGCCGCGGTCCTGCGACTGCCCCGATCATGGTGCAGGCCTTTAATTCTCGCCCACTCCGCCTCTCTGATTGCACTCAGAACACCTTTCCCAAACAGATCGCGGACTTGGAAGACGTCCAGCTCTTGCCCAGAAAGCACCAATCGAATGGGAAAGTGCGCAACTGATTGATAATACATTTTACAAGAATAAAATAAAAGAGGCAAATTGCTGAACTTTCACAGATGTGCCGGGCTTCGGCCAAAGAGCCAAACTTTCTTAAAGACGAGTCCGGGAGGCAAGTGCCCTCCTGCGGGCGTTCCCTGCCGGGGCGCGAGGGACCCGCGGGCCGAGGGTCCAGCGCAGAGGAGCGCGCAGATGGCGCGGTCCTTGCCGGGGAGGGACCTTCGCTCGTCCTCTCGCAGGGGGTCTGGGGAGGGGGTGCAGGTCCTGCCCCTCCTCGGGTGGTCAGCTGTGCGCACCTCGGGGGCCGTGGAGAGTCCTCACCCGCCCATCTCCTGCCTCCTGGCCGCCCCGCCTCGGGGACCAGGGCTTGGGGACCCGAACCTGGGGACTGGGCTCGGGCGGGGCAGACCCCTCGAGGTCCGGAGAGCGGATCCCTCCAAAACGGATGGACTCTAATTGACTTATTAAATGTCGAAGCAATCAGGCAGCTCCCTTTTTAATAGCCCAAGATCTACATTTAGACAAAAACAGAACCGAGTTCCTGGTAAAGGCGTTTCTTCTCATCCTGTCACAAGTGACAGGAACGGAGGGAAACAGACTGGGGGAGGGGCGGGGGGAGGAGAACAGGGGGAAGAGGAGGAGACGGGGAGTGGGGGAAGGTGGGGCAGGAGAGGAGGAGACGGGAGATGGGGAAGGTGGGGAGGGAAGGGGCGCGGGAGACGGGGCGCGGGCGAGGGGGAGACGCGGTGGAGATGCGGGTGGGGGGACCGGGCGGGGGCGGGGGCGGAGTTGAGGGGGAGCGGGAGACGGGGGGAGGCGAGAGCGAGGTGAGGCGGGGGGACTGACGAAGATCCGCATGGGGGTACTAACACTTCAGCGGCTTCTAATTAAAGCCCCGCTCGGAGCCCTTGGGGACCCGCCTGACGTCGGCGGGCGCGGGGATAAGAAGCTCCCCGAGGTCTGAGGCGGGACTCGGAGCCGGCGCACCCCAGGTCGGCCGTGGGTCCAGCGCTCGGAGCGGCCGAGTCCCCGCGTCCCGTGCGCTCCGCCCGCCGGGCATGGAGTAGTGGCGCAGCTCGGGGCGCGGGGACAGACGTGCGCACAGACGGCGACGACTCCGGCGGCTCCAGGTAACCGGCCCGGCCACGACGCGCAGGTGGCTCCCGGGTGGCGCCGGGCAGGTGCGGGAGGGCGCCATGGCCGGGAGGTGGAGGGGCTTCCAGCACGTGGCGCGGCCGGGGCCAGCGCGAGGGTCCGCACCCGGCCTCCTCCGTGGGCTTCGGGGACTCGGCGCTCGCCGGCGACCACCGCGCAAAGGCGACGCTGGAAACTTGAGCGCGGCCGCCGGGCCCGGCGCGCGGCGCCGCCTTCTTGGAGAGCGGTAGGCGCGGGAGCGCGGCCCCTCCGAGGTCCGCCCGCGGCCGGGGAGCTGCCTGGCACCCGCGGCTTCCAAAGGGGAAAGAAAGTTGCGCCCGCGCCAGGCGCAGCGCGCTCGGCGGACGCGGCCTTTCGGGCGAAAGTTAGGAGGGGCCGGGCTGGCGGGCGGGCGGGTTCCGGGGGCTCCTTTCCGCACCAGCGGCGGTCGCTCCCCGTGGGCGGGACCTCGGGCGTGATCGTCGAGGAGACCGCGGCTCCCTCACCTGCCGGCTTGTTCCTCGGGGTCCGCGGAGGTGAGGGGCCGGGTCCAGCGCCAGCGGCTCCTCCCGCCTCCCCTCCCCTCCCCCGCCCCGCGCTCCGTCCCCCTCCCCCGCTGACTTTCTCTCCGGCCCCCCGCGCCCCTTCTCTCGCAGCGAGCCCAGCTCTCGGCGCGTGTCGGAGTCTCCCAGCCCCGCGGCCCCGAGCGCACGATGCGCGGACCCGGGCACCCCCTCCTCCTGGGGCTGCTGCTGGTGCTGGGGGCGGCGGGGCGCGGCCGGGGGGGCGCGGAGCCCCGGGAGCCGGCGGACGGACAGGCGCTGCTGCGGCTGGTGGTGGAACTCGTCCAGGAGCTGCGGAAGCACCACTCGGCGGAGCACAAGGGCCTGCAGCTCCTCGGGCGGGACTGCGCCCTGGGCCGCGCGGAGGCGGCGGGGCTGGGGCCTTCGCCGGAGCAGCGAGTGGGTGAGTGGGGCCGAGCGCGCCCGAGGGCCGGGGCTGCTGGGAAATAGAATTGTCTTTGAGAAACACGTTTCAAAAAGAGACATCAATTTTGACCACTGAACAGCAGGATTCCTTTTTTTTTTTTTTTTTTTTTTAAGAAAAAGAAAATAGCAGCAATAGGTCCGCGCATGAGGCCTGGCGGAGAAGCGCCTGGTCTCCTTCTGGCGCGCGTGAGCTGCGGCGCGGGTCGGTGGTTTCCACACTAAACTGTCAACCGTCACTTTGGAAATGGAAGCATTTCCAGCAAAGCTTTCCCAACTGAAAAGGAAGCATCCAGGCTCCTTCATGGCCCTGCCCAGAGTGGTGGCCCACGGGGAATTTCCCAGGAAAGCATGAAAGCGTCTAATGCTTTTGTGACACAATCAGGTCAAACATGATAAGGTCAGTTTTATCCCGGCTGCGTCAAGTTAGGAGTGAATGAAGACTCACTAGGGGGTCAGCTGTGGATGCGAATGCTCCTCTTCAGAGGGCGTGACTTCACACACAGTCGGGGCTCAGCCAGGAGCCCTGAACGGGGGAGTGAAGATGGAGAGGGCTGTAAATACGCAAAAACAAAGCTGAACTCAAGAAGAACGCCCTTGCAGGGTTCTCCCCACCCACTGTGTGCGGAGAACCCTGGTGGAAGAAGTTTGCTTGGCAGAGTCTTTCCCTGGGATTCTTACCCTACAAACCAGGTTCATGCATATTCCCACTAATTTACACCTCACTGAAACGTGGTCTTTTAATCCTTACTCTAAATATGTATCTAGATAAAGTAATGTTCTGTAACCCATTTTTTTGTTTGAAGGGTCAGGTTTTCTCTAAAAACTTTGAAATGTTGTGGGATTTGATTCCCAAGGTCCTTAAAACTAAAGTGCCTAAAAGTGACTTATTCACTGGAAGTTAAATGTTTAAAAGAAAAAAAAAACAGTTTTCTTACCTCTGTAACTTCGTGGTCTCTGTCTGCATCCCACGGGGTAGACAGCCGACATAATCCTGGAGCTTCAGGAGCAGTTACTGTTATTTCAAGGAAAATAAATGTCCCTGATATTGAGTCTTCTTCACTGTCGTGTGTTGCAATCCAGGGCCCCAGTCTTTTTTATTTTGTGCAAAGCAACTTGGCTAATATGGAGCTCCAATTTTCTTCAACATTCACTTAAGATCACATTTTTAAAAAATGCGTCCTTCAGGTAATATAATACTTTCTTTTCCCTGAAACAGAAATTGTTCCTCGAGATCTGAGGATGAAGGACAAGTTTCTAAAACACCTTACAGGTAAGTTTTCTCCTCGTTCCTCACGTCTCCCAGAGCTCCTTTTCACCTGTGAGTCTTCATGATCTGTTTCTTCTTCCGTGTTCCAGGCCCTCTTTATTTTAGTCCAAAGTGCAGCAAACACTTCCATAGACTTTATCACAACACCAGAGACTGCACCATTCCTGCATGTAAGTAACAGCATTGGATTTTTATAAAATGCAAGAGCAGTGCAGGCAGCGGTTCCCCTCTTTCCATTTCCTCATATAGGCCCCTGCCTTCTTAGCTCAAATTTGCCTATTCCTTCCTCACTATGGAGTTAGGGGCCAAGATCGCCAGACCATTGCAGAAGATAACTAACTTCTGCATCAGCTAACGCCAAACTGGAAATTATTTACAGTCATTGGAATAATAGGCTCTTGGGATGGGCTGAACTCCGATTCTCCTCCTGTTAATTCTCCTCCAATGCCCATGTTTGTGTGTACTCTACTATGGCAGTCAGATGTTAAGAATGAGTTGCTAAACTGACTCCAAGAATAAGATTGACCTGGATCATCTCCACTGCTCTTACCAGAGACTTTTTCTTCCCATTGGTAATTATAACCTCATCACCCAGGAATTTCATTGTGATTTCAAAACTGTTTCTCTGGCTGGCTCCATCACTCCTTCAGAAATGCAGAGCTGCCCTTATCAACATAGCTCTCAGCAGTAGCTTTCTCTCCTGTTTCTTTTCAGTCTTCCTAACCTGCTTTTGGCTATTTATTCATAACAAAACATTTTATTTCTCCAAAAGTAGCTCCTTGTTCTCTTCACTGAAGCCTTATTAGCTACAGTGATAGGGCCCTAACCCATTTTTTTTAATTCGGACTCCAACTTTGATTTTATTTAAGGCTCACAGGAGAAAAGTCATGCAGAAACACTAGGCATCCTGCTAACTGCTGTCATCAGGGCTCTCCAGCTGGACCAGGCAGCGTTCCGGACTTGCTGTCCTGCCTTCCCTCTCCAAAAACAAACAAACGAAAAGCCAATGTACACGAAGTATAAGTGCTTTTCTTTGTTTAGGCAGCAAAATTACTTCAAATAATAATAACCATCATTTATAGAGCTGCTTCTGTGTGCCGGGTGCATGCCAATGAACCTTGGCCCACTGAAGTAGCGTCACCAGCGCGTTTTGGACAAGGCTAAGGCACATGCACTTTTAGCATTCACATCACCGCACAAAGATGCATGGAACGCAGCCTCGGCCCCTCTGACCATACCTTTAGCAACATCATCCTCACGCCAAGGCCAGCAGCACACACTTCCTGAAGAGTTTTTATATTCTTGGTGCTGGGCCCCACCCTTCCATGTGCACCTGGCACACTAGTACTCTCCTGTTTTCTTCTTTTGGAATGTAATCACCTGTTTGGGAATCATTAATGTGGCTCTTGGGGCCAGAAAATCTTGTCGTTTGTATTGTTTTGATGTACATATATTTTATATTACCTATTTCCTTACAGTAATAGGATCATAGATTCCAAATTTGGAAGTGACCTCTGAGTCATTCAGTCTCATCTTTTCATTTATGGATGAGGAATTGCTTTTGTGCTGTCAGATATCAGCAAAGCTAAAGCACAGATCTCATGGTTGACTCTGCAGGCCTTTTTCCAAGGCATCATGCTGTGCCTGCATTCGATACCTCCTTTTGCTCACAGCAGCTCGGCTTTGTGATACTAAGCTCCTGATCACAGCTCACCCTGGGCCATGGAGAGGGAGAAGGCTGAGAGATCTGTGCCTTGAGATGGGTGGCCACTTTGTTGCTTTCTGCCTCTTCTTAGCCCATAAAGAACTGCAGAGCTGAAGTTGGACCACTTTTTTACTGCGTCAGGCTGTATAAAAGAAAATCCTTGGGATCCTGGAATATCAGACCTGAAGGAACTTTAGTGCCTTCTCAAAGTGTGGTCCCATGGGGAGCTTGTTGGGAATGCAGAACTAAGTCCCATCTAGACTTGTTGAACAAAATCTGCATTTTAATAAGATCCCCAGATGATTGGTCTGCACATGAAGGTTTGCAAGACATTGCTGAAAACACCTGGGTTGAGCAGGATGTGGTCAGCTGGGACCCTGGACATGGCCCAAGTGGAAGTCTTCATTGATTAGATCAGCCATTGAAATCACACATTCCACTGCCTCCATGATGTGGAATCTGTTTAGGAAAACTACATTCTAAAAAGCATGGTGCTGCTTATGAAAGAGAAAGCCAGGCGGTCAGATGACCCAGTGCCACTGTTTGGCCCTTTGAAAAACATTTTCTGTTTGAAAAATCCCTAACAATATATGCCATATTTAGGAGGCGTATTTTTGGAAGTAGAGCTGGCTCCTTAACTAACATATCGTACACATTTGTCATTGTCAATCTACCCATTCAATTCAGATTTTCAGTTGGGTATAAATTCTTCCACTTTTAAGTAGGATTTTGTTATTGAGAAATAAACTGTAATAATTTACAAACTATTGCAGCTTTCCATAGATCTTCACCCAGAGGACATATTTTCCCTTATGGCCATGCCCATTACACCTTCTTAATTTCTATAGGCAGCACGGTCAGAATAGTGGAATGGGAGACTGTGTACGATACCAAGGAGTATCAGCCAGCGCTTAGAAACGGGCACATTGCTTCCGCTCGCCATCCACTCCAGGCCTCTGCTCTGCTGCCTGACTTTTGACCCACTTTCTTTAGAATTTACAGGCAGAAGGCTTTGTCCCATGGTCAACTCAAGTTGGGATTCAGCCTGCACATGACCTGAAAGTAGCACAAGGGTACGGAAGGATTGTCACGTAGGAAGCGAAATGAAGTTATTTCTGAGAGAAGCAATGGGCAGCCAGCTCAGCCATGCAGCCTTCGTGTCTGTCCCTCTTCCCTCCGCTGCCCCACTTACATCATCCGACTTCTGCCATTGAAGCTCAAGCCCTTGAAGCACCATAAATTATTAAGTCAACAACTTAGAATGCATGCCTGCAGATTAGACTCCGTATTGCTTCCAGGGAATTCAGATATTTGAAGAAATAAATGGCTTTAGTAGCTGATATACTTGCAAAAAAATGCGATTTATTTGTTTTTTAAGTAACTGACAAGAGTCTGATATATTTTCACCGTAGACTATAAAAGATGCGCCAGGCTTCTTACCCGGCTGGCTGTCAGTCCAGTGTGCATGGAGGATAAGGTAAGCTTGGACAGACACACACTGGAGCACATACCAAAGATGGGAATCCCGCTTGGGACATGAAAAATTCATGGGAGTTTAGGAACACTCATTCTTTGGCTGAAGTAGCCATA
This sequence comes from Homo sapiens, assembly GCF_000001405.40. Lineage (NCBI taxonomy): Eukaryota > Metazoa > Chordata > Mammalia > Primates > Hominidae > Homo > Homo sapiens. The sequence goes on along the minus strand of NC_000002.12, from coordinate 282,997 downwards.
TTCTAAGTAGAGATGGCACAACACTCATCTCACAGTGCTGAAAGCCACCCTACTGGCTTGTCTACAGGGCCCCGGCAGCTGTTGTTAACTGCTCACTGCATGGCACACGGGCACTAAGTGGGTCCTGCTCTGAAACACAGCAAGTCAGCCAGTGTCAGCATGTGACTGAGTGCGTAAGTCAGGAACAGACTAAAATTGTCCGTTTACTTCGAGGCATTCATTCATTCACTAACACAAGTGAGTAGATGACCAACATTGTCCCTGCAAATTCAGATTATCACATCTGGTACATGTTTGAGTTGTAGTCATAAGCTCATAAAGAACAGCTATCCTCTTTAAATGTTTCTATCAATGGTTTTTTTTTTTCACAGCCTCTAATAGTAAAAATGTAAATGCATACCACGTTTATGAACTAAACTTTGCACCTTGGCCCCTTGAGGGCTGATATGCAACATTTAACACCAACCATCAGCGGATGTTTTGAAGGGTAAGGTTTTATTTTCCTGACACAAATGCCACAGAATCCAGTCACTTTAGACAGCAGGATGCAACTGTAATTTCACCAATTTTATACTTACTATGTGTCTTGTATATGTGGGCACTGCCAGATGCTGGCTACACCAGCACAAGAAAGACAGGCTTCCTGTCCATTGATAGCTGTCCGGAGCACATTCATGAAAAGGGAGTATTTTTATAGTGGTTACTCTAGTTTCTCTCATGTAAAATGGATGAGGGTAGGGTAGTGCTCTTTCCTATATAGATGTGCTCTCTATGCAGAGGCAGTGCTTATGAATATTTAGGTAGCAGCAGAAGGGTTGTGTGCATGACCCCAACACCGGCAGGAGGCATGGCGGGTCCTGCCCATGCATCCCCCACTCCATCTTTCCCAGTAGAAGAAACTGCTGCTAATGAGAGGAATGGCACTGGGGGAGGGAGGCCAGTGGGTAATGGCGGGTTGAGACTGCATTTTGCACAGTTTCACTGCACTTTTTCTTTGGAGATAGTGAAGGTGTCAATGTCAGTCAAAGCTGGGAAGTGCTGTGTAGTAATGTCTCCCCACATCCCTGCTCTTTCCAATTCTCTCGAGCAGCTCATCCACTGCCTATGTGTCACACAGACTTTCTTCTGTTTAAATCAGTGAACAGATGTACATTCCTGTCACCCAAGGTGATATGCCAGGGGAGATGAGAATTTTTTTTTTTTTTTAGGTATTTCTTTATAATTAAACACAGTGTTCCCAGAGATGGGCCAGGGACATCCTTGGAAATTTTCCACTTACTTACAAGTGAGGAGAGCAAATTCCCCACTGTCTCAGCCACTGGAAGAGCTACTCCGTCCACATGCCCATTAGCCGACCCCTGCCTCCCCTCCGCTGGCTGCTGCTGGAGGCAGGTGCAGTTACACTGAAGGACGTGGTCATGTCAGTGGGACTCAGGCTCCTGTATGGGTCTCTGCGTGCGCACGTCCTGCTTTGCAAACGCCACAGTGATGCCCTGCAGAAAAGCTGTGGCAGAATCCCCTTGATAGTCCCCAGCACTCTTCACATCACTCTCCCCATCACCAGACAACCACATCAGAGCCTGACTGACGATGAGATGCAGGTAAAGGTAACAAGACAAGGCCCAGGCTCGCAAGCTTCTGTCCCCAAAAGGCCACCTGCTTGACAGCCACAGGTGTCACAGCTGTAACTGGGTTCATTTTGGCCAAGAGATAGGTAAAGTTTAAAATATTGATACCCTGTTAACTATAATTTCATAACTCCTATTTTTTAAAGATAATTTCTTCAAATTCCAAAAGTTTTAAACAGCAACAGCAAATTGTTACTGGTGTTAACAAATTGTTAAACAGCAACAGCAAACTCTTACTGTGGCTGGTCACCACAGTGTAGATACAGTCCGGGCTTTCTCTGTGCTTTGCAGACCTCAGTGAGACACCAGAGGGCAGGGCAGGTGTCCCAGGGTGCCCACACTCGTGTGACGGTGTGGCATCAGGCAGGCCCTGCAGTCCCAGTTCTGCTGGTTAACCTGCCACATGCACTTCTGTCCTGACACACAAGGATGGCAGGGCAAGACCGTAAACCATGACCTTGTCTTTGTAAAGAAAGGCCCAGAGCCTGAGAAAAGCAGGCCTTTAGCAGGAAGGGCTCTGCCCTCCTCACCTCAGAGCAAATCCATTTGCCGCGTTCTGAAGCTCATTAATAGACCTCCTCAGGCCAAAGAGAACAATGTCCCCACCAACCCTCCCTAACAGTCACAGATACACTTCATTGTCCGGACTTACAGGTCAGTTAATCAGAAGCCTGAGCTCTGGAATATTGTCAAAGAAATGGAGTTTTGAGTAGTGAGTACATGGTGTACTCTCCCAAATGCAGCCTAATCTTAGTAACCTTGAAGTTTATCATTCTTTAAAAATAAATAGAATACCAATGGTTTAGATATTCCAACAAAGAATGCTAGAAACAAATGTCTAATCTCGATTATTAGCTTTACCAACCCTGTGAACACTGAGGTTGCAGAACTGCCAGGTTAATCCCTGTGGCCTAGACTACTGAGGATTCTGATAGCACATGTAAGACTAAGCACTCTTCAAGCTGTAATAAAGCATCCACATGTATCTGTGATGATTTTCATTGCTTTAGCATTGCAGCCATGTAACAACTGCAGAAAGAAGGTATTTTTAAAAATACAATAGACTACACTTTTTGGATCACAGAGAAATACAGATGCACTCTGAGACTGCCTATGTTTATAAACATGTTGTGTCCCCTAACTGAAGTGACAGGTCTTCTGGAATTGACATTAAGAAGTGTGGATAGTCATATCACACGCAATGTATTTGTTTTCAGCAGTGAGCAGACCGTACAGGAGCAGCACACCAGGAGCCATGAGAAGTGCCTTGGAAACCAACAGGGAAACAGAACTATCTTTATACACATCCCCTCATGGACAAGAGATTTATTTTTGCAGACAGACTCTTCCATAAGTCCTTTGAGTTTTGTATGTTGTTGACAGTTTGCAGATATATATTCGATAAATCAGTGTACTTGACAGTGTTATCTGTCACTTATTTAAAAAAAAAACACAAAAGGAATGCTCCACATTTGACGTGTAGTGCTATAAAACACAGAATATTTCATTGTCTTCATTAGGTGAAATCGCAAAAAATATTTCTTTAGAAACATAAGCAGAATCTTAAAGTATATTTTCATATAACATAATTTGATATTCTGTATTACTTTCACTGTTAAATTCTCAGAGTATTATTTGGAACGGCATGAAAAATTAAAATTTCGGTCATGTTTTAGAGACAGTGGAGTGTAAATCTGTGGCTAATTCTGTTGGTCGTTTGTATTATAAATGTAAAATAGTATTCCAGCTATTGTGCAATATGTAAATAGTGTAAATAAACACAAGTAATAAATGAAGTGTTTGTTATAATGACTAGTCTTCAAAGTGACTCTCTACCTCTTTAACAGGTTCACTGTTGGGAATTCGTGACTTCTGATTTACTGAGAGATCATGACACTGGCAAAAGGTCATAGAATATGAAAGCCATAAACAAATGAAAACTTGAAGCCTAAGAATTTCTCTAAGGGATAATTAGCATTTTTTTTAAAGTAAAGGCTACTATATATTGGTGACATAATTTCCTAAGATAGTCCCTGATTTGCTGGGAAATATTCCAAATAAGGTTGTATCCATTATTTCCCAAGCGATTTTGTAATCATGAAAATGCTTAACTAGGAGAAACCTTAAGACTTCTAAGCAGTCTCAGAATTTTAGATGTAGATGTATTTTAAACAAATCTAATTGGATCCAATTTAAAAAGCTGAATTCGGCAAAGCAATGAGTTTCTCCATTCATATGAGCCCTTGTCGGCAGATGGTATCGTCTGGGTGTAGCCATAAGGACAGAATAGTCAAGAGTCCTAGGATTTGTTTGAGGATCTGTATTTATAGAGATAAACATTAAAGAAAAACTATAGGATTTTATTTCCAAACATAAAGGAATAGAAGAGTAAGAAATTTTGACTTTGAGATTAAAAGCAATTACTGAATGAAGAGAACAGGGTGTAACTTTTGAAGTGCTCTTATTTAATCCTGTTTTCTAATTACAGCTCATTACTTGACCTTTCCTTCCCCATTTTTTATGTTTTAAGGATTTCATGTTCAAATATCCAATCTATTAATATTTAATCCCCTCAGTTTTCTGTATGTCTGAGTAATTCCAACAAGAGCAAGACTCACTGGGTTTGCAAACTTTCTTCCTATGAAGACAGCCTGGCACTTCCACATGGTACAGTGGGGAAACTACTCACTTTCATCTGGCAACAGCTTATCCTCCAGATACTAGGGAGTCAAGGATCAAACGTGTCTCCTCCCCATGGCACTGCCTGGGACCCTCATGATACTGAGGTCAGGAGTGCAGATGTCCTGGCCAGGCAGCTGTGCATCACTGCACAGGAGGGCACAGCGTAGAGGCAACATGTCCAGAGGATGGTACTGGGCAAGGACAGTTCCAGCTGTAGAACCTCAAACTTCCTTCAGAAACTAGACATGATGACATGGGGCAGCAATGTGCTTATTTTCATCATTTTACTTCCTTATCCTGAAGATAAAATATGCACACCTAACATCACAGATCATGTAAAAAGGACAATACAATGTTTTCAAATGCTTCCTTACCTGTCAATAAAAAAACAGGCAGACACCAGATTTATATCTCTAGTTGTATTTTTATAACTCCCCAGTTTATTTTGAAATATTCATGATTTTGACATTATCTCAAAATACACAGAAATTACCTTACATCTGCCTATACATTTATTAAATGCTGATGAAGAATACTTATTCAATATTTAAGCATGCCAAATAATAACACTTTTCCCAACTTTTAAAATTATTTTAAAAAATAAGCCAATTTATATTGGACATTTGGGTTACATGTGCATATAAAAACAGTCATATTCCTCAACTGACCATAGACTAGCATACAAGTGTCCTTCTTTCTGGATGTAATTAAGTTTCAGAGGCAAAGTGGTTCAGATGGGAGCCAATGGGCTGACCTCCTCATGAAGTAAACTCGACAAAAATCATGAAGTATTGAAGGTGCCAACGACTGATTCCATAAATGTTTCTCTCTTCCCTATCTTTTCAATATACAAGTGTGCACTATGGGTGTGTAGAAATTAAAACACTTCTAATCTAGACTGTGAGCTCCTACGGAGGGGACTACTGTCAATCCACAAAAGGCCCTAGGGAAGAGAGAGGTAGCACTGGGGAGCAGAGGGCACCTGCCCTCCAGGCCATCCACACAAACCTACTGAAGAGGTAGACTCGATTATCTAAGTCTCAACAGGCTTAGATGTTGACCTGGGCCTTCAAGTGAGGTTTTCCTTCATTGTTTTATGTTGCTTGTTCTACTATTTTTGTAACTGGGGCAAAGTGAGATGTTCAACTAGTCTAAGAATGCTTAAAATACCCCATAAGCTGTCTGAATCAAAGATTTTTATTGATTCTCCTGCCAAACACAACTGATTTCCATCTACAATTACTTTTTAAGGTAAGAAACAGTAAGTCAACTGAACAAAGAGCTGGGCTTTGGGCCCTGGAACGTGATTACACACCGACTGAGAAATGCAGGACCTCAGGGTGGGGTCTAGTCAGGCTGGCCGCAGCAGGGCACGAACCTGCCTCAGTGGGCCTTCTCCAAGAACGCTCTGCAGCACCTGACACACTGCTGGTACACCGTCTCAAAGTCAGAGTCATTCCCCTAAATGGACAGGAAAAAGAAGAAAATGGCAAAACCTGCATAACAAAAACATCCTTAACACAATCTCATCTGTTATTTAATATGGCAGGATACAAATGTGTTGGGTCTTCATATTAGCCCTAAAACGTGAACTGTACTTACATAATAGGGATCTTCAATAATAAGTTGTTTTTGTGGATCATAGCTCCCAAGTAGTTCAATTTTAGCTTTGCAGGTTTTAACTTGATTACTTTTTCTATTCAAATCTCTGTAAAATTGAAATATGAACTTAGTTTTCTGATCTATGGTTTCAAGTTAAACAGGGACATCTGCTAGGGTGTTCTGAAACATCCATATCAAAATCAAGACAGAATGACCTAATTTGAAATGAAACGGAACACTCAGCAGGCCCGTGTGGCCCCTTCTGCAGCTGTATGCCACTGCCCTCTCTCTAGGCAAGACAGTTTGCGACAGCAGCTTATTCTCACTGATTCTGTTACACAAAATATACAATAATTATATTTTCTCCCACAAAATACATTTTAAGACAATCAAGTTTCAGAGATAAAGGTCATAGAAAGGAACCCAAAACACCATCTGAACCAGTCCCAAAACAGAGGGCTACCAATTCCATCCTCAGGTGTCTTGACACAGCACTTCCCACAGCACGACCCACTCCTTAATTACTCTTCCATCTTTTATTCCTTAAGCCTCTGCCCAAGCTGAAAACTCAGCTTCACTCTAGACTTCCACCCTTAGCTTTCACATTGCTACAAAAGAAAAAGGCAAACTTAACTAAGCGCCTCCATTTATTTAACAAATTTCGACTGAGCACCTGCGACAGATGAGTTGATGAGTCAGGTACGTGCTTTATGTGGGAACGGAACAGCCAAGAGCTCCCATGCACGAAGTTTTACAGCTCAGGATTAGGTGCAGGAATGAGAACTGCAGGCAGGCCTAAGTCTAATGCACAATCTGGCCTAATGACAGGGCAGCAGAATACCTCTATCAAGAAATGAATTTAAGCTGACCCACGAGGGGCAAATAGGAGCCGAATGACCCAAGAAGCAAGGAGGAGCTTCCAGGCAGAGGAACAGCACGTGCAAATGTGAGGCTGCAGGAACTCCACTTGCCCCACACGCAAAGAAACACGGTGCTCAGTGCCAGTCAAAGCAAATGGGGTCTCCTAAAAAGGTGTTTTTACGATGCCTATGGGCTATGGTGTCAGCAAAAACAATGAGAACAGAATAAGGACTGAAAAATAAAAATTAAAAAATACATGCATTTTAATGAAGGTCCTAATTAATAAAAAATAATTGAAACTGGTGCATCCCTATCTGTTCATTTGTACAAAAGTAATTAAAAGCACAAATAGTTTATCTTCATCAAAAACATGAGATATTTATGAATAAGTAGTGATGCAAGTCAGAATCCTGGAGTGACATTAAATTATGATCCGTTCCCGATGACGCCTTGAACATGGGACTGGGGCAGGTCAGGAGGGTGGTGACTGAGGCAGGGGTGCATACAGCAGGGCCCTTCCTCACTGAGCCTAGGCTTAAATCCCATGACATCCACCACATGCTAGCTGTGTGAACTCGGGGACATAACCTAACATTACCGTTTCTCACTTCCTTCTTTTACAAGATGGGATAATAATAGGAACCTATGGTTGCAGAGCTTTGACCTGAGAATCAATAAAACACTGCCCTGCCCAGGAATCATTACAGCAAAAATATCAAAATCGTTCTCATGCAGAACAATATGCTTGATACAAAACTATAACAGCCAAGCTAGTTTTCCAATTAAATCATGCTATTAACAACTAGACTTTCCCTTTTCTAAGGTGTATTTCCTTGTAAATACCTAAGAGACAATTCTAGATTACTAAGTTTTTTGCTGTTCTAAATAAAATAATTCTACATATGGTGACCATCACTGACTATTAAAACCTTTAAAATAGAAAAAGTAAATCTGGACAACAAATTACTTGGCCCACTGCTGAACTGAGAGTTGAACAGAAATATTCTTCAAAAACAGGATTACCTCAGATTGCTTTCATCCATACATAGTATATAATCAAATGTGGCAAAATCTTCTTTGGTAATCTAAAATTGAATAAGAAGTCAAAACACAGTGTTTATACCATTCAAGCCTAGAGGATGCAAAGCAATACTAAAAGAAAAAAAAAACTGCTGTATTTGAGCCTGTTACTCACTAATAAACAATTAAATAATTTTTAGGGTACTTTTAAGTTAAAATAGAGTTAACCTATTTCTCAAAATTGTACTGCAAAGAAATTTTGTATTATAAAGTTCCATACAATAATCATAAAATAGTATAATGTGTAGACACAATGTTTATACATCGGCTTCAATTCCTTAGTAGCAGTGTATAATACAGTCAACATACTAAAATGTCACATATTTAATCCCCTTCATTATTCTACTCTATTTTTCATTCCACAAGCACTGAACATCCTGGGCCCCAGTAACAAACACCAAGCTAAGTGGACAGAGCCGCGTCCCATGGAGCTGCCCTTCCACATGGGGGCAGGCAACACACAGGAGGCACAGATGCCCTGGAGGAAATAAAGCAGAGAGGAGATACATACAGCTTTGGGGCAGGGAGGAGTAAAAGTATTAAGTTGGGTGGTCAGAGGTGGTCACTAAGAAAGAAACACAGGAGTGATAACTGACAGTCCTCCTTTATTTTGATTGACTATCCATAATTTAAACCTCACACAGAAGAGAATGCCACTCAGTATTTCTACTGATTGTAACCTGAAAGCTTATGATTGTTTTCTGATATAATCTATAAACACACCTACTTAAAATACAAATGAAAAGATTATTTTGTGAATTTCGACTACTATAAATAATGGCAGAATAAGAAACATAAACATACGTACTGCGGAACAAAGGTGGAAAGTGTATACCTGTTCTTCTAAAAAATGAGAAACTTTGGCTTTTAGTATGCACTTCCAGTAGCTAGAAAAGACTGTATTTCGTCAACACTCCCATGACATTGACTTATTTCAAAATTGAGAATAAGTACAATACTGAATTTTTTCTTTTTGTTTTTAGAGAAAAGGTCTCACTCTGTCACCAACACTGGGGTACAGTGGTGTGATCATAGCTCACTGCAGCCTCAACTTCTTGAGTTCAAGCCAACCTCCTACCTCAGCCTCCCAAACAGCTGGGACTACAGGCATATGTCATAGCACCCAGCTAATTTTTAAAATTTTTTTGGTAGAGATGGGTCTCACTATGTTGCTCAGGCTGGTCTTGACCTCCTAGGCTCAAGCAATGTTGAGCCTCCCAAAGTGTTATTAGGATTATAAGTGTGAGCCACCATGCCTGAACAGTATTATATTATTTCTCCAAATTAGTTATGTGAGAAATTCCCTAGGATTTAATACTAAACTTGTTTTAAATTCTGGACTAATTGTAAATTTTTCATAAAAAAAGACTTAGTAACTGTTACATAATTTTTAGATGTTACAATAATTGAGAAAGAAACAGCTATAACTTATGTAACAAATGCACAATAAAGGATTTCCACTTGCAGCTATAAATGAAACAGCTTGTGGCAAATCACCCCTACTACTAAAAACAACTAGAAACGCCATATAAAAAACCAGTGCTGCAGAGACAGTCGGGCTTTGTGGCCACCAGGCCGCTCTGGCTGTGCTGCTCTAGCACAAAAGCAGCCGCGAACTACAGGTGAATGAGTGAGTCTGGCTGTGTTCCAACAAACACTGTTCATAAAAAAGGTGCCTCAAAAAAAGGTGCAGGCCCCAATCTGCAGACTCCTGCCACTTGCCACTTCTCTTCCTGCTAAAACTGGAAAGTGATGAGACCTCAGAACAGGGATCTCAAACGGTTCAGTAGCAGAACTCTTGAACTCTGTAAAATTATTTAAATCCTATGTTATGGTTTGGATGTGTCCCCCAAAGTTCCTTTGTTGGAAACTTCATCCCCAATGCAACAATAGTGAGACGCAGGATCTTTATTAATGCCACTATCTTGGGAGTGGGCTCCTGACACTGATGGGTCCTCTCTCTCTCTCTCCTCTGTTTCCCTCTTCCCGTTTTTCTAGTTCTCGCTCTCACTCACTCTGGGGCACTCTCTTGACTCCTCCACCTTCTACCACAGGACGATGCAGCAAGAAGGACTTCACAGCCCCATGAGCCCCTTGGCTTTGGACTTCTCCAAATAAATGTATTTTCAACAATGGCCAGTAGAAACTGGCAAGGTATGCAAATCCTGAAGAGATGAGGATGGATAAATTGTATAAAAATGTTGAATCACCTGACCAATGAAGATTCCATTTCCGAAAAGGTCAGTCCCAGAGTACTTCATTTAAATAAAGAACTCTTAGAAAAATCAACTTTAGCTTCTAATTCATAATATAAAGACAAGGTTATCTTCAATTGAAATTGCAGAATTTGATTGTGACTTTATTAGACTCCAAACTTAAGTGTGGCCCAATAGACTATAATTATATATCCATAATGTTGCTGGTATTACCCTATATTACTAAGGCACTTTACAGTTGAAAAAATGTTTTTGTATATATTATATAACCTCATTCTAGCAACAAACTTGCAATATCAGCAGGATGATTACTATGGCCTAAATGTTTAATAAAAATTATGCAGGAAGGAACAGAAGACAGAGCACCGCTCAGCCCCAGCTCACAGTCAGGCTCTCTCATTATAAATTACCTAGCTTTTATGTGCATTTTAATAAGTAAATTCCAAAGTCAGGCAAGTCTTTCAACACCGTGCAACCAGAAGTGAAACAAAATGGACACACCATAGCTGGTTAAGCTCACCCTAAATAAACACATTCATTAATATACAAGTCTGGTTAATCCTTTCGCTACTTCTCAAGTTACTGGACTCTATATATTAGAAATTGAACAAGAGCTTGTCTACCTGTCTTGCTTTATGGGCTGTGTGAATGCCATGATTTCTTAGGCAGCTCACAGCTCTTGGGTCTGGGGACCGGCCCACGTTCCAGTCAGAAACAGCACCGCTGTCAATGACCCACTGAAACACAAAACACACAACTTCAAGTCCAAGGACGGTACCTGCCGGGCAACGTGGCTCATGGGAATGCCGTGCCTCTTCATGCAGCTCTGCCCTCGGTAGTCAGGGGGGTTCCCTATCTCATACCCGGAAGTTGCCGCGCTGTCTACCCTCCACTGCAGGGGAAGAAACATGGAATTTTTTTTTTTTTTTTGCAATTTCCTGCCCAGAGGAGTTCAGGTTGGCCTCTTTAAGATAATGAATGGTACTTACATTCTCTGAGATGTTTTGATCGGTTACAAGTTTCCTGAAAACTGCTTCTGCAATGGGTGATCGACAAATGTTACCTTTAAAAAAAGGGAGGGGTGGGGAAACAGGGTTAGGTTGGATGGAAGGGCACATGCCAGCTCCCCTTCTTTACACACCTGACACACGGGGGCTGTGCTATCCCTCAGGAAAAACAAAGGCCAACACTATCCTTTGACGCCTTTGTCCAACCAGTGAGGGTAGACCCTGCTGGAGAACAGCCTATCAGGCTCAAGTTCAGTGATTTGACACCAACCAGCCAAGTACTCCAAGTACAGATGACAAAGATATCAGAAAAACAATTTCAACAAAAATTATTGTTTAAAGAGTTGCTACTAATGATCCAGGAGTGAATCACGAAAATGAAGTGGGTTGCAACCAGCTTATTTTAAAATGAAATACAACAGAATAAAAATAAAATACAGTGGTCTGTCCCTCAGTAGACTCAGGAGCTGGTTCAGGACACCCTCCCACCCCTACCCAGTATACCAAAACGTGCATACTCAGGTCCTATAGTTGGCCCCTGAGAATGTGGAGCCCAAGTATAGGAAAAGTCAGCCCTCCATACAGATGGGTTTCTCATTCAGACAACACGGTATTTTCCATCTGTGCTTGATTAAAAAAATTCCTCGAATAAATCCTTCAAAGTTCAAACCCCTGTGGCTGAAGGGTCAACTGTATGTATTTTCAAGTATATCACACATAAGGATGACTACTGTTTCACAAAACAATACACAAACACACAAACATGCATTTAAGCATAAACAGCGATTCAACACCAACATTTACTGAGCGATCACATGCAAAGCCCTGAGCCCAGGGATACAGATCCAGGCATTAGCAGCCCAAGGTCAGGGACACCACTCTCCAGACCACGATGTCGACATCAGGGCCATCCTTACTTTAGACCAGCAAGTGAGAAATCCAGGTTCCCCAGGGCTCCCTCAGGTTTGATAATTCCCTAGAATTACTCCCCAAACTCAGGAAAGCAGAACACTTACCATTACAATTTCATTATAGTAACAGCAACAAAAACAAAAACAAACAAACAAACAAAACAGCCAAAGCAAGTGACCTATAGGGCACATTCTGGGAGGTTCCCTAACAGGTAGCTCCACTGTCCTCTGGGACACCTTACTCTCCTGTCATCAACATGAGACAATATTCAAAGAGCACTGCCAACCCAGGAAGCTCCTCAGAGCCATAGTGCTCTGAGGTTTTATTGGGGTTTTCGGAGGGAGACACAATGGGTTGAATCACTGGCCATTCAGCTGAACTCTATCTCCACTTTATTTATTATATTTATTATAATAAAAGTGGGAAAATGAATGCTGATAAACAATACACTACAGCAGCACAGAAAAAGAACGATGCTACAAAGCAAAAACAAGATATAAGAAAATTTCTTACCAGAAAAAAGAAAGATTAGAGATGATATTAAAAGGATGATCAGGATCTTAATGGACAGAGGAAGGGAAAGGCATTTAACTCAGAGGGATTGTGGCACTAAGCAGGTGAGGCTGCGATGCTTCAGGTACAGAGAGCCAGTGTCTGGAAACTGACGGGCTGGTATACAGGAGCCCTAAAACACTGGGCCAACATTTGAACTTTGCGTAGCCACTATGAGGAGAAATAGAAAGTCCTATGGAAAAGGGTAATATGACTTATTCAACAAACATATTTTGTATGCCAACTCTATGTGCCAAGCACTGTGCCCTAACCTGAAGACAGAAAGTTGTTTAAAACACAGACCCTTCCTACAAGTTACCAAAATTACCGGCACAGCTAAGGAAACACTAGAAGAGCACATGACTGAATTGGAGAGACCTTGTAAGAGGCTCGTATGAAGGAGCAAATACAAGACAGTGTCAGAGTGGAAAGGTGTGGCAGCTTTCCTCACCCATCATAAAGGTCATGGAAGATACTCCTGTAACAAAAGACAGGTTAACAAGAGCCTTCAGAAATGAAGACCCAAAGACCCAGGGAAACGGTTTTGATGCTTAGATGACCAATGCACAGCTGTGTAGAAATGGCACTGGACAAAAGGAAATGATCCAATGGTAGCAGACTGAGGGAAACCCAGCAGGGCCACAGCATTTCCTCCCCCAGGAATGAGGCAGGGCCCCTCTGAAATGCTGTCTTCAAGAGAAGGCAAAAGGGAGAGAGTGATCTTTCTAGGTTTTATGGCTTGCTTTGCAGGAGAGGAGTTCTAGTTTCTATGATCTGCGCTGGGGAAGATAAATGATGGTTTCTACGACCTTGCTTCTGGGGCTGCTCTGAGGCCTTCCAGTCTCCTTAATGCCAAAGCACCACACTGAGTCCAGACATTAGGAGCTGAATTTAGGAAACAGATACGAAAAAGAGGAACTGTGAGAATAGGCAGCACTAACTAAGAGTTTACTCTTTATCACTATTAGGGTCTTCTGTTTATGATAAACAAATACAATGAGGATCTTCTAGTGTTGTAAAACACAGCTAATTCCCTAGTTCAGAAAACCAACTCACTGCCTTACTACAGCCTTCAGTTTCTACATTGTAAGACCTAAGCATATTACGTACTTTTTTCCCACAGAGACTGTAGTTTCCACAGCAGTAAAAAATCTTACCTACAAACCATAAAGGGAAAGACAACAAATTAGCCTTGAATACCCTCTATATGCTAATTTGTGTTGTGAAGTTTTTCCTTTCGACATTCTAAATTTTGTTTAGTTTTCTAAACAGGTATTGTCATCAGCACTATTTTAATTATTGAAAGGCTTCCCATGGGTGTGTAACTCTTTTACTTGTCACCATATACCCTGGGAATATTTTTAACAGCAAACATTGTATTCCAAATTAAGACAATTATTATTTTGGATCTGTAGAACAACAGATGCCTAGTATCTCAGCATCTAAAAATATAATAAAGACTAGCCCCACACGTTTACAAATAATTATCTTTAACTGTAAAATAACAGCTTACTTTCCCCACAACAATATGAAAACTTGCATTATTAACTGTCCTAAAGGCTAGCAGTAGCTTGCCCTGTTGATTTCGAAAGTTGATGCCACCAAATTTTGTTATGAAAAAATGGAGCACCCCGGTCATCAGTGAAACACTGCATGTACTTCAGGTTTCGCCTATCAAACAAGTTCTAAAAACAGAACATTCCATCTTCAAATGCCTTTAAAAAATGTTTCAATCTGTAAAGTCTCAAGTTTGTCTTTTCCAAATTAGGCAGACTATTTTATACCCTTCTTCAGCATCTTCAATTCAAGGATGGAGACTCATAAAAGGCAGATAGGCTCTGGGAGGGTGGGGCTGTGTCTGCTATACCTGGTAAGAGACCCAGCACCCAGTATGGGTGTAGCCCAGAAGTAAAGTGACTCCACCAGCATGTGCTATCTCCACCAACCATGCTGGCTGGGTCATGGCTCCTGCATCATCTTCACTAATAAGTCTCTATTGCAAAAACATAAAGCACCCTTCATAATTGTGCTGTAGTAAGGAGCTCAATTATTTTCCATCATTAGCTTCACCAATGAAAAACCTCTGATGCTTTTCTACACTTCAATCTCAATAGGGTCCAAACAAATGCTTTGAATGAACAAAGTTTTTTACATTTCAAAAGCATACAACTCTTACTGTCCTCTATATGGCTACCAAGTAAAATGCCATTTACCGCTCAAATTCCCTCAGAATGCAACCAGTAAAGGCATGCTCCACCTCCAGTTTCATCTCAAAACAACAGCTGAAACTCTTCTTTTTTAAACTTAAATTTGATCACTTCCCACCTCTGCTCAAAACCCTCCAATGTTTATTCAGAGTAAGCCCAAGTCTTCACATGGCCTCCCAAGATCTGGACCTAAAACAGGGGTCTGAAAATCGGCTCATGGTCCACTGCCTTTATGTACAGCCCACAGCGGTAAGAATAATTTTTACATTGTTGAGTAGTTGGAAAAAATCTAAAAGTAGAGTACCTTGTGACATGTGAAAATTATACAGAGTTCCATCCAATTCTGATGTCCACAAATGAAGATCCACTAGAACACAGCCAGGTTCATCATATGGATGGCTACTTTGTGCTACACCCTTTCTGTATGTCATGTGAAGCCAATCTAAAATAATTATAATCTGGTTCTTTAAACAAAGAGTTTGCAGACTCCTGCCCTAAAGGACCAGTGTATATAAGGAATTAACTTCTCCCTATACATCTACAATGGAAGCACTGAGAAAACAGGCGCTCAAATTATCTGCTAAATTTTCAGGTATAGATGAGGAATCCTGACTGAGAAAAACTATCTGGCCACTAGGCCCAGCCACTGCAGCTTCCCTGCGGTTCATGACCATGGCCAGTATTCTCCCTTCAAAACTTTTACCTGCTTTCCTCTGGGTTCAGGATGCTTCTCCAAAATATCCTAGGCTTGCTTCCTCACCTCCTTCAAGTCTTTACTCAAAAGTCATCTATCAGGTGGGGCCTTCCCTGACCATCCCACTCAAAACTGCACTCCACTCCCATTCCCCTTTTCTGCTCTATTTTTCTTAATCTTCACATCAACCGATTGAGCACATCAATTAATACTTGCTGGTGACTGAGAGAACGTGAGCTCCAGAGAGGCTGGGATTTTTGTCTGTTGTGTTCACCACACCACTTAGAGGAATGCATGCCATATAGTAGATGCTCAACAACAACAAAAAATCACTGAATTGTATTGAAATACAATAGTCCCCTCTTTTCCAAGGTTTTGCTTTCCATGGTTACCCCATGGTCAGCTTCAGTTGGAAAATATTAAATGAAGAATTCCACAAATAATTCCTAAGTTTTAAATTGTGCACTGTTCTGAGTAGCAGGATAAATTCTCATGCCATCCCATTCCGTCCTGCCCCAGAAGTGAAACACGTCTTTGTCCAGCATATCCATGCTGTCTATCCACCTATTGCCCTCTAGCTTATCAGATCCATTGTGATGCTATCACAGTGCCTGAGTTCGAGTCACCCTTAGTTTACTAATAATGGCCCGAAATCATAAGAGTAGTGAAGCTAGCAATTCAGATACGGCAAAGAGAAGCCATAAGCACTACCCTTAAGTAAAAAGGTGAAAGTTTTTGACTTCTTATGGAAAGAAAAAAAAAACTTATACCGAGGTTACTAAGATCTACAGTACGAACAAATCTTCTATCCATGAAAATGTAAACAAGGAAAAAGAAATTCCTGATCGTCTGCTGTCTTGCCTCAAACTGCAAAAGTTGCGACCACAGTTTTAAATGCTTAGTTAAGGTGGCAACGGTATTACATTTGTGGGTGTAAGAAACGAGCAGACACATGTTCCAATTGACAGCAATTGGGTTTGGTACTACCCACAGTTTCGGGATCCACTGGGGAGTCTTGGAATGTATCCCCTACAGCTAAAGTGGGACTACTGTATATGCAAGGATACACTTCCCCATTAACAGCAACCATGATGCATTATGCCAGCATAATCGACAATACCAACCAAAACTATACAAGGGAATGGAATATTATTTAGTAACCATCCTTAACCAAACTACTGTTTAATAAACTTATTGATTTCATCATTCAGCCTTCAATGAGTCTTAAAAATCAAATGATGCCCACTACCAATGTGAAACAAGGTAAGCCTTCTAATTCGTCTTTCACAGAAGTTAACTTCTACAAAACCTAGTCAGCGTTTATCATATATTGTCCTAAAGCTGAAAACAAAATGAAAAATAAGCCACAGTTATTGCCATCGACAAAATTAAACTCAGCTGGGATTTCAACAGACTATCAAATAATTATAGTAAAATTTGTGTAATAAAAGATGTCGATAAGGAATCACACCTTTTCTGTATTACATCTTTTACTATATTACACAAATTATAGTAAAATTTGTGTAATAAAAGATGTCGATAAGGAAGCAACTCATGATCTGGGAAAGCAAAGGAGGAAATATTTAGGTTTGACTTTATAAAATAAAAAGGCTTTCCAGGCAAAATGCATAATGGGCACCCAGCGATGAAGGCTCAGTAAGCATGTGAAGTGCTACCGAACAACGAAAGGTTCTGGAAGGCAGTGTCCCGAGGGTGTGAGCAGGAAAAGGTACAGGAGATAAAGTGAGGAGTCTGTAAAAATAAACAGAAACTGCAGGAAATGCAAACTCACAGAAGGTTTTAAGTAACCGGACTACTGACAATTTAGGCCTTCCTCTCAGGGTGGAGGCACCGAGGAATATAACCTTGTAGTGCTACACCAAAGGAAGATCCCTGAAGACCAAACGGAAAATAAATTATGTTTGAAGTAAGGCAAGCTAAGTGTTGAAATTCTAGGAGTGAAAATAATTTAAGCTGGAAAGTTCCTGAAAAGCCATTAATAAAATACACTTTCATTTTTCATGGGCCAAAGTTATATAGGGACCTCCAGGTCTCCTTTGCTTGGCTTTTACAATCAAGAAACCCGAAACCGTAAAACTTCATCTCCCTTTAACTCAGATCCCTATCTAAGCATGGGCTAAGGAAACTAGCAAACAAAACAATGTTGTCATAGGACTCAGGAGGCCCCTAAGAGACCACATCAGTCCGACAACCTCCAGGCCTACCTGGGCCCATTGGAGGGGAACGAGAGGGATTCTAGTAGTCGCAAAGAAAGTACCTTGGCTTGTAGGGGCTGTGGCTGCAGATGCCAAGAGCCCCGGATATATGGCAGGCGCGAGGGGACCCAGGTTTAGCGGGCAGGCTGGGCGGGTGCACGGGGCGGATGGGGAACAGGGGCGCTGCGGCACACTCCTAGAACACCCTAGGCCTCCCAGTCCCTGGCCTCCTCCCCCTCATGGTTCCTAGGCCGGCGGCACAACCTACAGCGCACAAGCCCGATCCAACTCTCCAGAGGACGTCAGAACATGAGTAAGTCGGCGCCCTCTTACCCAGACACACAAACAGCACGGACTTGGTAGCCTGTTCCGCCATCTTCCCGCGCGCAGAGGCGCCGAGACACCGCGGCGTTCCGCACGCCGACGCGGCGCAGGCGCACTGCCACCCTCTTGCCCCGCGCGCCTGCGCAGTCCCGCACCAACGCCAACAGGGCAGCGCGTGTGAGAGCCACGCCTGCGCAATCGGCTCCAGTGCGCCTGCGGAGGCGGTCCTATGACGGTAGTAGGACGGGCGGGGAGGGTCCGCGGGTCACCTGCAGGGACTGGGCCGCCGTTCACCTGCAGGGGCGGGGCTGCAGGTTGTCCGGAGGAGGAGGAGCTGCGGGGGTGGGGTCACCTGGAGGGAGTAGGGCCGCGGAAGGCGAGGGGGTGTGTGTGTGTGGTGGCGGGGGTTGGCGGGGGGGAGTCACCTGGAGGGGGCGGGGCTGCGGGTCGCTTGGAGGGGAAGGAGCCGCGGGAGGTAAAGGTTACCTATAGGGGACGGGGCCGCAGGAGAGGGGTACCTGGAGGAGGAAGGGCCGCGGGTCACCTGCAGGGCGGGCTCAGGCCTCGCGGCTCCGCGGGCCGCCCACCTGGGTTGGGGCACAGCGCGAGTCTCGCGCACGTGGCGGGCTGTGGTGCCTGTCGTTCGAGTTCGCATAGAGGGGCTGGGCGGGTCACGCGGGGAACCTGCCTTGAGCCCCGCGGGGTCCACGCCGGACCAGGGCGGCCTTGGGCCTGGGCGCTCCCTGAGACCCCCACCCCCAACACCGTGCTTGGAGCCGCCGCGGGGCTCTGGGCTTTTCGATCTTGAGGACGGGGCGGTTCCGAAGTCCCTGAGGGCGAAGGCCTGAGCGCGGCCCGGCGGGCGCGTGGTTTTTGTCCCGCGAAACGTACACGGCGGGTGTTTTGCGCCGCCTCCTTCGTCACCTGCCGCAGGTACGCCCTCGCTGGGGCCTCCTTGTCCGCGGGGCGGGGCAGCGCGCCTTCCTCTTCCTGGGCAGCCTCGGGACGGGGCGCCGCGGCCGGGCGGGCAGCAGTGAGTACCCGGGGACCCACCTGTCCGGCAGCACCCTCCCCTCTCAAGAGCTGGGCGGTGGTGGGAGGAGGAGGACGGGAAAACCGGCGATGCCTCTGGGGTTTCTAGGTCGCGCGTCTGTTAACCGCAAACCGCCCAAAGTTAAGATAGAGCAGCTTCCAGGACTTTCTTGACCACAGCGATTTTGATTGAAGTTTAGCCACCGTCTTTTCCATTTTTAGAAAAGCTATTCCGAAGTTTGGAATGATGACGATGGTCGTGTTATTTTTAACTTCCTGATATTTGAACGGCGAGGTGTCAGCGACCATCCTTCCGTTCCACAGAAGCGTCTCTGAAGTTTGGGTCGAATGCGCGCGCTTGGAATGTGCGTGGAACCCGCGGCAGGCGCGGGGAGGAGGCCTTGGCTAGGGCGCCGGCGAGGTTCGAGTTTGCCAGCCCCCCAACCTGGAAGAGAAGGGCCAGCCCCTCACACCCGGAAGGGAAGGGCCGGTCCCCCCAACACCTGGCGCCGGGGTCGCGGGGCCACAGGGCGAGCGCGGGGTCGCGGCGAGCACGGGTCCTCTCTGATCGCTGGGCCTTGGCGCTGGCTGCTGAGTTTTTCCTTCTTTAAGGAAGTGTGGAACTGGTCTCAATCGGTTGACCACCTTAAGGAAATAGGATTTACACTGTGGACAGAGATGTGTCCTTTACACTTCATTTGAACCAATATGCCCATGCTCCTGTGGAGGCTGAGTTGGAAAGTGACACGAAGCTGCCCCCCCGCAAGAGAGCAGGTGCTCGGTTTCTCTTCTGCTTACAGGAGATGCATGTCCTGATTTCTTGTTCTCCTAGGTGTTTTTATTGAGATGTAGGGAATATCTGAATTCATAACGACTTAGAAAATCTGTACACACAGTTGAGAGAACAGGTCTCGAGGCTAAGGTGCTGTTTACTCCCGTGGGCTGGCCTGTTATTAAAATACTTGTGCAGCGACTGATGTTTACAAATTACTATGTTGGAGGTTAAAATGATCAAAGTGATAACCTCCATCCTGTCTATCATGTTTGAGGAGAATTGGTTATTTGGTTCACTAATGTTCTGTTTAAAGAAAATTTCTGTAAAACTAGTAAATGTTACCCCTCATCTTTTGTAAGTTAAAAAAAAGTTTAAAATAATGTTTGCTCATCAAAAGTGATTTGATACTTTTGTTCTGTTTAGGAAAACTTTATTCTCAAGAGATTTCTCATTCCGCAGAAATAAGGATCTGGCATGTCAACACAAACATAGGAAGTTGAGGCAGTCAAAGGGAAATAACTGCTACCCTGACTCTGCTGAGAGCCTCACAAGTCCCTGTGCACGCCAGCTTGTTTGCCAGTGAGTGGCGTCATGATAAGACAAAATTCTCTGCTCTGAGACCTAAGCACATGAAGTTTTTAAAAAAATTTTCTCTGAGAAGATCCCATTTTTTACTCTAAAAGATCAGACCAGTGTGGCATGTGTGGAACTGCTCTGTACCAAGATCACACTCTTCAGTTGGAGAAGAGGAAGGGCAGGAATAAATAAAGGGCTTTCCTGTCTCCCGAGGGAGCAGAGAAAGCTTTCGCTGTCCTCTTCCTTCCCCAGCCACAGCCTGGGGTTGGGGGACTGGAAACAAGCTCAGGCTAGCACTTGATGTTCAGACGGTAGTCTGAAAGTTTGACTAGGGAGTTAATGATCTGACCAGAGAGACAGGTTTTTATTTTGAGAACTGACAAGCTTTGTGTCCTTAAAACAAAGGAAGTAGTTAAACCAAGGCCCCAGAAAGGTAAGAATTGACTTAAGAAACAAAGGCCATAGTTGTCAAGCAGTGGAGTTCAAAATGCAGTTTTGTTAATAAAAGTAGCTTAAAGCAACATTTGAAAGCCTCTCTAAAGATTAGATACATACACTTTCTTTTGGCTAAGATTTCTTTAGTTTATTCTAAATATACCTTTAGCAGCATTCAAGTTCCTTTGATCTTAGATGGAATTTTATCAGTTTAATGAGTTAACCTCCATTTCACATAAAGTATAAGGTTTAATAATTTGATTAATATGTAATCAGTAAGAACTTGGAAAACCAAATTTAGTAAGCTTGCTTTCCTGTAAGTATTCCTTTCATAATTAGAGTCCATTGAAGAAAATAATATAAGGGAAGCAAAAGTTTGGGAATCTGAACTCTGGTAAGGAAAGTGGTGGAGAGGGGCCCTTGGGTCTTCTTGCTTTCATTCCTGACCCTCCGTGTACAACTAGATTGGAAACCGTAGTCAGCTTTGTCACCTCAGGTGGCAATTTACTCCGAGTAGGATTCTCATGTCCCTGTTTGTCCCCAGTGACTCTAGCATTGAGTTTATAGAACTGCGATCAATACCTAAAATTATTTCCAGATCTTAAGCTGATTTATGCTTTTGAGGTTTCCAAAGTAAAAATTGTCTTTCCGGTATTTTATAAGACCTTCTAATTTAAAAAAAAAATGTGTTACTATGAAAATTTAAAACATTTTAACTTTTGTTTTAAAGAAAACTTTATTTGAAAGTTTCTTAGCTTGAGGTTTGGCAGCCACTCTTTTTTTAGAAAAAACTTAAATATTTATAGAGATTTTGCCTGATTCAAGGGACTTAAGACGTTTATGAGAGTGCAGATGCTAACCATGATGTGAGGTTTAAGAGGCTTCATTAGTAATGACCTGTGTCTTCATCAGTATGATAGAATGGGACATCAGCACTCTGATCAGGTCATGCTCTATATGCCTTATGGTACAGCAGAGGAAAAATGGGTGAGCCATCATTTGATGCTGAGGATGGGATTTGAGGCTTATGTCTAAATTTTTATTTGCATATTCTTTTTGTTCTGACAGAGAAATTCACTGCATGTAACTATGACCACGCATGATTTTATCAGAAGTTGATTAGAATCTGTAACATTTTCTGTAGTTCAGCTGACACACTGAAGATGTCCTCACTGTGACCAGCCTTGTCAACAGCTGGATCACAGTGACATAAGCTGTGTCTAGGATGAGTCTTGCGGTCTGCAGCCGTGTGAGGCTGCATCTGATTCCCAAGTCCAATGGCTCTCTTCCCGTGTTTACAGATCAGGCCATGACCTTTCCCTACAGCAGGATGTTTGCAAGATTAACTCTCAACTGAGGAATTTGCTTATTTGCTCTAATACTGCTTGGTTGAGAGAGTTCAAAGTAGAAAGTCTTCTGAGGGGATAAGATTCATGTATTATTTACAGTGCTTCAGTTGCATGTATCAGAAAATCTAGTCTAAATTGCTTTAACAGAAAAAGATGTTGCTGGTCCATTTGACGAAGAAGTCCAGAGCGGCTTGTGACTTCAGTCTGGCTTTGCAGAGCCCAGGTGCTCTCTCCACCTTCTGCCAGGTTCCCCTATGAAGGCTTTGCTCTCAGACTCTCCCCTTGTGGAGACAAAAATCCCACAGCAAGTGGAAACAGAAGTGCCTTGGAAAAAGTTATTCTGGCAGCTCCTATACAAGTCCCCCATCAGATGCTGGTATTGGACCAGCTTTGGTTATAAAGCCCTGCTGTGGCACCAAAAGGAATGTCGTCCTGATACAGCAGCCTCGGGTCACCCAATCCACTCCAGATACTATGGCTGCAGCATCAATGTAAGCAGACAAGTTGTGCTGCCTCTGAAATAAAGTAGATGAAATATTCAGCAGCAGAAAGAACAAGTTTCCACTCCAGTGAACTAATTCAAATGTATCCAGCATCTAGATATATGTATAAATGTAATTAAAACATATTGAGCATCTAGAGCATCTCTCCCAAGATAATTACCACCTGATAGTAATGGCTATAAAAGCTAAAAGTGGAATCAGTCTACATGTTTCGCAATAGGAATCAATTGAAGCATACATCAAAATGCAGACAGTAGTATTGGTGAGTATTAATGTTATAGATGCTTTTTATCCTTCATATTTTCATATCTGTACTTTTTCCTGTATTTTACAATGTATTTGTACGTTGTACAAATAATTGCTGATCATGTAAAAATATAGAAATATAGAAATTTTGTTGCCATACTTGGGTCTTTTCCACTATGAAATTGAAAAAAAATTCTATAATTCCTGGTTCTTTTATAATTTGATATTTGACACTCTAAATCTTCAATGAATTTGGAGTTTATCTTTCTGTAACACAAAGCTGTGAATGAATTTTTGTTTTTCTCCCCAAATGAACATTATCTAGTATGCAATACATCATTTCAACATAGAATTGAGGTGTCATTTTTATTATATACTAAATTTGTAAATATATTTGGGTTAATTTCTGAATTTTCTTCTTTGTGAATTGATTTTTCTCCTATATTTGCATCTGCTATTATGTATTAATTATTGAGGCTTTGTAATGTGTCACAGGTTCTGTCAAGGCTGGGCTGTCATTGTTCTCCTATTACATATTTTTTCCTAGCTCTTCTTGCTTGTTTATTTTCCCATTTGAACTTCAAAATTACTGTGTTTTATTAAAAGACCCTTGTAAGATAGAAGACAGATTTGATTTCATTAAGAAAAAACAGAAAAAAAAGCAAATTCAAAAGACAAGTAACAGAGAGTCAATGTTTTTAACTCATATTCCAAAAAAATATTAATTTTTAATGTATAAATTAATAAGAAACAGAGAGAAACCCCCTGTAAATAACAAGGTGCATGAGAAACCTTTGATAGAGAGAGTGAAATGTGGTCAGCATTGCTCATCATAAAAGAACAAATGGAAAATGCACTGAGAGCTACTGGCCAGGGCAGCGAAATGGCTCCTGCTACTCACACATGGTAAACAGCTAGGAAACTGGACAGCTGTGTGTAGAGCACTTTTTGCACATGGTGGACATGTCTGAGATCCACAAGATAAGGGGAACAGGAGGTGAACTCCATTAGTGACCGTTTTCTGCCTGGAGCACTTCCTAAACTGCAGGACAAGGAGGGGGCACCCAGAGCCCAGGCTCCTGCTTAAAAGAAGAGGCAGAAATTGAGTCTGAAGAGGCTGAGGTAACTGGAATTTGCAGAGCATGTTACTAGCAATGAGGGACGGCTGAGAGAAAGAGCTCCAGAAATCTGCAGAGGGATCCCCCTGAGCCTTCTGCTGAATATTAAGTGCTAGCTGTGTAGGGTGAAATTTGCAAAGCAGGCAAGAACAACTGCCATGAAGCTTTGAGGTGAACTATTCACAGTGCTTGCATCAGGCTGGGGACAGCCATTCGAAACAGCCACAATGGAGACAGCTTATTAAACAACCAGGGCACCCAGGAGAGAGCCCAGAAGGGACACACCTTGATGGATAAAATAGTTCTAAAGGCTACTCTAGACACACAAACAGAACACAACAACAAGCCAACAAGTGATCAAGCTGATCTACAAGTAACTCACTGCCTGCTAACACAAGTGTTAACACTTTTAAGGGAAGCAATGAAATCTAGGCACTCAACATGGTAATATCTACAATCCTGTTTTACTAGAAAGGAGTAAAAACAGGAAAACATAACCCATAGCTGGAAGAAGAATCAGTCAAAAACAGATCGAGAAATGGCAGATTATACAATTTAAAACACCTATTTTACACAAAAAGAATAAAATACCTAAGAATACAGCTAACCAAGGAGGTGAAAGATCTCTACAACAAGAATTACAAAGCACTGCTGAAAGAAATCAGAGATGGCACAAACATGGAAAAACATTCCTTGTTCAAGGATAGGAAGAATCAACATTATTAAAATTGCCATACTGCCTAGAGCAATTTATAGATTCAATACTATTCCTATTATACTACCAATATCATTCTTCACAGAATTAGAAAACAAAACTATTTTAAAATTCATATGGAACCAAGAAAGAGCCCAAATAGCCAAGGCAATCCTAAGCAAAAAGAACAGCTGGAGGAATCATGCTACCCGACTTCAAACTATACTACAAAGCTACAGTAATGAAAACAGCATGGTAATGGTACAAAAACAGACTCATAGAACAATGAACAGAATCGAGAGCCCAGAATTCATGCTACACAGCTACAATCATCTGATATTTGACAAAGTCAACAAAAATAAGCAATGGGGAAAGGACTCCATATTCAATAAATGGTGCTGGAATACCTGGCCAGCCATACACAGAAGACTGAAACAGGACCCCTTCCTTATACCATATGCAAAAAAACAATTCAAGATGGATTAAAGACTTGAATGTTGTTAAAAACTTAAGCCAAATTAAATTTTAAGGAGTTTAATTGAGCAATGAATGATATGCAAGTCGGGCAGCCCCCAGAATCACAGCAGATTCAGAGAGACTCCAGGGATGCCTCGTGGTCAGAACAAATTTATAGACCAAAAAAGGGGAAGTGACGTACAGAAATCAGAAATGAAGTACAGAAACAACTGGATTGGTTACAGCTCATCATTTTCCTTATGTGAACACTTAGCAGTGTATGAGTGGTTGAAGTATGGCTGCTGGGATTGGCCAAGACTGAGCTATTGTTACAGATGCATACTCCTAAGTTAAGTTCTCAATCTTGTCTACATATTAAGTTAGGTGGCAGTTCATCTACAAGGACTCAAATATTGAAGTATGGAGTTCTTCTCAGGTCACATTTAGCCTGTTTTAACAATGTAAAACCTAAAGCTGTAAAAACTCTGGAAGATAAGCTAGGAAATTCCATTGTGGACATAATCGCTGGCAAAGATTTTATGATAAAGATGCCAAAAGCAATTACAACAAAAACAAAAATTGACAAATGGGACCTACTTAAACTAAAGAGCTTCTGAACAGCAAAAGAAACTATCAACAGAGAAAACAACCTACAGAATAGAAGAAAATATTTGTAAGCTCTACATCCAACAAAGGCCTAATATTCAGAATCTATAAGAAATTTAAACAAATTAACAAGCAAAAAAACAACTCCGTTAAAGTATAATAATAATAATAAGTGGTTAAAGGACGTGGACAAAAGATTTAAGCAGACACTTTACAAGATATAGAAATAGGAAAAAGTGTTCAACATCATTAGTCATCTGAGAAACGAAAATTAAATCCACAGTGAAAGGCCACTGTGTACCACTAAAATAACTAAAATTTTAAAAACTGGACATTGCAAGTGTTGGTGAGGATATGGAATAACCAGAACTCTTATAAAAGTTTCTGGTGGAAGCCTGAAATGTGTAATCACTTTAGAGAACTCTTAGGTGGCTCCTTACATTGTTAAATACACATTTACCACATGAACTGGCAATTCCTATCCTAGGTAATTACCCAAGAGAAATAAAACATTTTTTCTTTTTCTTTTTTTTGAGATGGAGTTTCGTTCTTGCTGCCCAAGCTGGAGTGCAATGGCGCCATCTCGGCTCACTGCAACCTCCACCTTCCAGGTTCAAGTGATTCTCCTGCCTCAGGCTCCTGAGTAGCTGGGATTACAGGCGCACGTCACCACATCTGGCTAATTTTTTGTATTTTTAGTAGAAATGGGGTTTCACCATGTTAGCCAGGCTGGTCTTGAACTCCTGACCTCAGGTGATCCCCCCACCTCGGCCTCCCAAATTGCTGGGATTACAGGTGTGAGCCACCGTGTCCGGCCATAAAACATTTTTTTACAAAAGGCTTACAAAGGAATATTTATAGCAGTTTTATTTGTAATAGCCAAAAGCTGGAAACAACCCAATTGTCTATCAACAGTGACTGGAAGGACAAATTGTGCTATGTCCACACATTAGAATACCAGTTGGCAGTCAAAAAGGAAGAGCTGATCTGTGCAGCAATTTGAGTCTCAGTAATTTCATGGTGAGTAAAATAAGCTAGACAGAAAAGAACACACACTGATGACTATATGAAGTTCTGGCACAGACAAAATTCATACTTAATGACAGAAATCAGATTGGCACTAACCTGAGGCAGGGGCTGGGTATAGGAGTGACCACTACAGAGGGCACGGATGCTGTGATCAGGAGTGGTCTCTACCTCTGTCCATGCACACTGAGCTATACCTGTAACAGGTAGATTTCATTTTGTAAATTGTATCTCATGAAGTTGATTTGAAAAGCCTACACTGAGAGGCAGTATTTTAACTATTCTGAGATAACATTGATTAAAAAATGCAACATGCCAAAATACACTAATGCTGTGATGCCACTTGTTTTTAAAAGGAGTAAAGAGCTACACACATGCATCATGCACACTTAATTTTGCATAAAGTATCTGTGGAAATACCTTCCTCTATCTGACTTAATACCATTGATGAATCTTGGGATGGATTTTTTTCCTGGTCTGGATCTTGTTAATACTCCTGTGTTGAGCCACAAAGAACTGATACTGACATCTTTTAAAGAAATTTAAATAGAACTCCAAAATGACCCTAAGTCAGTTTTCACTTTTTAAAATTTTATTTTATTTTGAGGCAGGGCTTTGCCCTGTTGCCCAGGCTGGAGTGCAGTAGCCCAGTCATAGCTCACTGCAGCCTTGATCTCCTGAGTTCAAGTGATCTTCCTGCCTCCGCCTCCTGGGTAGCAAGGACTTCAGCAAGGACCATGACTGGCTAATTTTTTAAATCATTTTATTGGTAGAGATGGGGGTCTCACTATGTTGCCCAGGCTGGTCTCGAACTCCTGGCCTCAAGTGATCCTCCTCCCTTGGCCTCCCAAAGTGCTGGGAGTACCCAGCCAGTTTTCACTTTTAAGATAAATTACATGTTTCAAACATTCCAGGCACCAAAATATATCACATTTTATTGGAGATATTTATATTTTGCTGAATAAAAGAAAGGGATTTTTTTCTCTGCTGTTTCAGCATTTGATCTGTCGAAAGAATAAACCATGAGTTTATACATGAGCTCTGACACAGGTTTTAATCAATTTTAAAAGTTTATTTTGTCAAGGTTAAGGACAGCCCATGACACAGCCTCAGGAGGTCCTGATGACGTGCTCAAGGCGATTTGAGTATAGTTTGGTTTTATAAATTTTAGGGAGACATGAGACATCAATCAATATATGTAAGATTGATTAGATCCAGAAAGGCGGGACAACTTGAAGTGGGTAGGGGGCTTCCTGATCATAAATAGATAGAAGACAAACAGTTGCATTCTTTTGAGTGTCTGATTAGCCTTTGTGATTTACAGGAATAGTCACTTAGGCTGTAGTCTGGCTTAGTGAAACAACAGGGCAAAGGAAACAATCAGATATGCATTTGTCTCACGTGAGCAGAGGGATGAGTCTGAGTTCCATCTGTTGTCCACAGGGAATTTCCTTGTGATCAAATTGTGAGGGAGGTGTGTAGCTTCTTACCTTTGTAGCTATCTTTTTAGGAATAAAATGGGAGGCAGGTTTGCCTCACAGAGTTCCCAGCTTGACTTTTCCCTTGGCTCAGTGATTCTGGGGTCCTGAGATTTATTTTCCTTTTACAAAAGCAAGCTTCCATTAGCGTACTTCATCTCTGTTCTGTAAATTACTGAGGCGAAACAGTGGAAATGAATGCCTTCAACCTTCCAGATCCTGGCATCCTGCAGTCAGTCACGCATGTGCCTCCTAATTGTAGACAGTGAGACAAGAACTTCTCAGCCTCAGGGCACTTGTGGTCCTACACTGAAGCTATTCAGCTTCTTCGCTCTGCTGATCCCTCGTCCAGTAACAAGAGAATAGTCTATCTTCTCGATATACTTCAGAGCTGGAAGAATTATGTGAGCTTTGTTATGACAAGCCCTCTGATGAGTGTATGAATGTCCAGGCAACACTGTAAACGTAAAGTGCCATAGAAATGCAGGCCGGCGTTACTTGTAGGCTCAATTCCCAAGTCTTCCTAGAGTTTTACTCATCAGAAAGTCTACAGGCAGCCAGTTCCAACATTTTTGGCAAGAACAACAAAATATATTAAATTTATACTATATATTATAGATAGTTACAAAATATATTTTTAAATTTTAAATTCTTATTTTAAATTAGTATTGAAGTCTGTTAATTGCAGGAAGAAGATACATAACAGGGAGGTTTGGCCAGGTTTTGTTTAACATCCTTTGGGGCCCAAGGATTTTATAATTTCTGAGATGAGAGTTTAGAGTTTCTGACTCTCAGCATAGATTTGATTTATTAGGAGAAATAGAGATGATACTGTCAATGAGGATTTCCAGTCATTTCCTTTGATAGGCTATGCTGTGGTAATGCTTCATTGTGTTACCAAAAAGGGGTCCCGATCCAGACCCCAAGAAAGGGTTCTTGGACCTGGTGCTAGAAAGAACTCAGGGCAAGTCCATAAAGTAAAAGCAAGTTTATTAAGAAAGTAAAGGAATAAAGAAGGGCTACTCAATAGGTGGAGTAGTGGCATGGGCTGCTCAACTAAGGATACTTACAATTGTTTTTCAATTATATGCTAAACACGGAGTGGATTATTCGTGAGTTTTCTGGAAAAGGGGTGGGCAATTCCCGGAACTGAGAGGTCCTCTCCTTTTTAGACCATATAGGGTAACTTCCTGATGTTGCCATGGCATTTGTAAACTGTCATGGCGCTGGTGGGAGTGTCTTTTGGCAGCTAACGCATTAGAATTAGTGTATAATGAGCAGTGAAGATGACCAGAGGTCACGTTCATTGCCTTCTTGGTTTTGGTGGATTTGGCCAGCTCCTTTACTGCATGCTGTTTTATCAGCAAGGTCTTCGTTACCTGTATCTTGTGCGGACCTCCTGTCTCATCCTGTGACTTGGAATGCCTAACCTTCTGGGAATGCAGCCCAGTAGGTCTCAGCCTTATTTCACCCAGCTCCTATTCAAAATGGAGTCCCTCTGGTTTGAACACCTCTGACAATTGTATATGAGAAGAATGAAATAATAATAAATTTCTCACTTCTATTTAGCAGAATTTTTCATTAAAATATCTTTTGTTATGTTTCAGTGAATAACCCTATACCTTCCAATTTGAAATCAGAAGCAAAAAAGGCTGCCAAAATATTAAGAGAATTCACAGAAATAACTTCCAGAAATGGACCTGATAAGATCATTCCTGGTAGGTAAATAGGATGAGTGCTGTTTGTCTCTAAATGTCTTTTTCCTAAGTTGTTTTTTGCATTGTTCGACACTCCATTTCAGGCAGAAGCCTCCATCAATGCCAACAAGTAGTTCAGCCACCTTTTGTTCCACCACCTTTTTTCTCATGACTGATCCAGGGATGCTTTGGAAACTACTACCTGTTCATTACAACTTCTGGTTATTTCCAAAGGGTGTTCACAGCATAACTTGTTTCATGCAAAGGAGATCCAAATGCCAATTAACTTTGGCAATGTTACAGACCAACCTCCCTCTTAATTAATCACAGCACGTGACTCTGAGCTCTGTTTTAAAAATTTGTTATTGATAGAATAATCTTAATAATGATAAAATAATGATATTAATTATTGTTGCATTCCTGCCACTTCTCCCATCATGAGAAAACAGTCATCATAAGGCCTTGCTACTCCAGGTGGAAGGGGTCTGGACAGGGCCAGCTGCAGACCAGGCAAACCAGCAGGGCCTCTTCCCTCCCTGTCTCTCCCTTTTGCATAGGCTTTTTCTCCTGCCTCCCATCCCAGGGTGCCAGCGCCCTAAACACCACATGTTCCTGCTCCACTTGAGCTCTCTGCAGCCTCGCCTGTCCTTTGCATCGCGTGCTAAGAACTCTGCAAGCTAACCTCGCAAACTCACCAGCTAATCTCATACATAAATTTTAATTTTGTGTTTCCTCCTTCCACATAAGACATTTACATTCTCTAGCGGTTTAAGACATTAATCAGTAATTCCTAACACAGATGTGCATCAGTATCCCCTAGACCATAAAGGCACAGTTCTTAAACCTCACTCCAAACCTGCTGAATCAGACTTTTAGTGCAGTGTGTCCAGGAATGCATGTTTTAAACATGTTTCTCATGTAATTCTTAAGTAGTCAGTGACACATAAGATCAGTCCAGAGGGGAGCCTTTGAAAACCACTATCTGTTCATCACCACTTCTAGTTATTTCCAAAGGGTGTTCATAGCATACTTGTCTCATGCCAGTTAGCCTGGACAGTGTTACAGACCAGCCTCCCTCTTAGTTAATCAGAGTGCATGACTCTGGGTCCTGCATTAAAGAGATAAAGTTAATTTTTCTAAGCCAGATATCTAAAGTTATTTAATAGAACTTTAATGCTTTAAAAATTTGTTGTTGTTTTAATAATCTTAATCATGATATTAATTGTTGTTGCATTGGCCCGGTGACTTCTCCTGTCTTGAGGAAACGGTGCTTGTTAGAGCCTTACTGCTCCAGGTATAGTCTGAATCTGCAGCTTGGCATCCCCTGGGAGCTTGTGAGAAATCTGCTCAGACGTCACAAATCAGTCTGCATTCCTCCCAAGGTCCCAGTGAGGTGCACACACACACTAGTTTCAGAAGCGCTGCTTTAGAGCTTAAAGAAAACTCAACAAGAAAAACTAGATTTTCAGTATCAGTATTCTGAAGGAGCCCGTCTCAGTGGGTGAAGCTCAGAAAAAGAAATTCTGTTTGCATGTTAGTCTAAGTAAGAGATTGCCCCAAAGCATGGGTGTGGCAACGATGGAAGTTCCACAGCCAACAGAGATCCAGGCCCACTTCTCCTGGGAGTCTGGTGGGGGGCATTATGTTTACATTAAAACAAAGATGCTATTTCATAGGATAAACAGTTGCATCTACAAAATATTTAAACAAGACATCTAGATCTTAAAACCTTCCCAGTGGTGTGTTTGGCCTCCTCTAATGTTAGGATTCTAAGAAGTAGGTGAAACTTAATTTAGCAATTAAATCTATAATTGGTACATTCTATGTTATAAATCAAAAGCTAATTGGCAGATTATTCAGGGATTATTAATATGTTAGTGTCCCTGAATTTGAGTGGAAATCTGTAAAAATATAATTGACATGTGGAATATGTCCATTTTAAAATGTGCTTTTGTTAATATCTAATATTCCCAATAGGGGCAATAGCAACTCTAGAAGCATCGAGAACAGAATGTGAGGAAGACATTCTGCCAACAGGTGGCTGTAAAAATAAATCTGCACAACATATAATACAGCTTTCAATCTTGTTACAATATAATTATAACCTTTTAAAATACAAAAATAAAGTACACTTAGTAGACAGCCATCCAGGATGCAACCTTATTTTCTGTAGCTTTCTTATTAAGAACAGCTCCACAAATGTTCTGCATGCAAACTTCATGGTGTTGGATGAATTATTTCCAAGAGTCGGTTCTTAATTTAAACTTTGAAATGGTGGCATAATTACATGAGAATTTTAGTGTTCTCTTGGGTCATCTGCAAAGCTTTTGCTCTGTGTACTAGAGCCCCATGTCTGACTTCACTTCCTTGGCAGAATATTTGATAAAAATAATAATAAGTTAAACTACCTTAAAGTTATATGTTAGGCTTCCCTCGTTAGTTTGAATGAGGTGTTATTGTGTCGTAAATTCACAGAATCGTGTGGCACTATATTCAGTGGATACATATACCAATAACCCTCATTTTATGTAATGAACATCTCTGACATGTGAATAAACCAATATTTTTAAATGGAATTATATTATCAGTGTACTAATAGTTAAGTGGTACTCAAATGCTATAGCAGATCATTTTATAAAGTTGAAAATGTTTTAACATTGGAAAATTACTTAATTTTTCTGTTTTTGAATCCAAATTTTTATATTAATACAAGGTTAATTTAGCTACGTGGCTTTAAGATCAAAGTTCTAATTCATGCTGCCTTTTTGTAATTTTTAAAGTTTCTCCTTAATACTATATGGATCTTAATTTCTTTGAAAATGTAGCTTTTATCTTTTATGTACTATATCCTAAATTAATTGAAATTGCCAAAATATTTGCCCTGCTAATAGATAGCAATAAAATCTCTTTCAAATATCTAATTTATTTTGTCAGTTACAGGATGTGAGGATATTTATGATGTTGTGTTTAGCACTGCAAAAATAGCAAACACAAAAAACATTCATGGGAATAGAGAGGCCTCGTGCCCATCTGTTGAGTGACTGACTTTTGTTCATTGCTCCTGTGTGCCCCGAATTCCTAGAGATAACCTCTGTGTACACTGACTCTGTTTAACACTTGCTCGTCTATCCAGGCACATAGATCAAAATGCTTACCTTCCCATTGTTTTCCACGTTAACAGCTCACGTAATTGCGAAGGCTAAAGGCCTTGCAATTCTGTCTGTGATCAAAGCCGGGTTCCTGGTGACTGCCAGAGGAGGCAGCGGGATTGTAGTGGCGCGCCTTCCAGATGGAAGTAAGTTGGCGTCTGTTCACTGGAGTAGAGAGTCTTCATTCTTTGTTCTGTCTGTTTTCATGTGAACACATTGCATAGCGAGTAGGACAGGTTTCCTGCATATCAACTAAAACTTATGTAATAAGGGCTACTCGACTGAACGTGCAGTTTGGTGTCAGTGAACAAGCCACAGGAACCAGCCTTTCCGTCTCTCTCTGTCCTCAAAATATTAGAGAAGACAAGACAGGTAGATATAACTTTGTTTTGCATGCATTTTGTAATTCTTCCGTGGAGCAAATATTGAAACATGGCAGTATGTGCATTTCTTTTGTTTAATATGAATTCTTATTCCTCAACTTCATGGTGTAGCTGCTTTCTTTTGTTTTATGGAAATTGATATGAAAATAAGGGGCCATATGTGAATTTCTTTGTTTCTGTGGTAGATCATAAAAACTGTGACATTTGAAGAGTTTTCCCCAAGGCAGAATCATATCAAGAGCAGTATCATCGAGTTTTACTTTCTGGGATGAAATCTACTACTTGATTCTTTAGAGATGAAATCAAAATATTTGCCATGAATCCCAAGTACTAACATTTATAGTAGTATTTAAAATGGACACAGGTGTGTCAAAACTAACTAAAATGTTTTTTATACCAATTTAACATTTGCTGTTCAGTGAACACGTTTTTCTATTAGTAGCAGTTTTTTAGCATAATTTTATTTTATTTTGAGAGAGCATGGGACACTTACAGACAATAAATATACAATATATACATTTGTGAAATATATGGCCTTGAAATAGCAGTCAGCAGATTCACCATTTCTTACCAAGGTATCCCCGCAGTCAACAAAAACCTCTTCCTTATTATGTGGATCAGTTTTCATAGCTCAATGTGTGGCTTTGAAAATGAGAAGAAAATAATTCTCTTTTTCTCAAGCATTATCCAAATTTCCATGAGCAGACTTCTCAGCAGTAAAACCAAACAAAGTAGAGGCACATTCCAAGGGAGCCCATTGTCAGATGGGACTCAGAGTCTGTGAGAAAGTCCCTGCATGTCTCAGGTCCCCAACTGCTCCATTGATGGGGTGACTTGCTGACCAAGGGTAGGGACAGTCAATACCAAGCCCTGGGCTCCTCTCAGAGCCCCAGCAAACCTTTCTACTGGTTTTAAAACCTACATTTCTCTCCCTTCTTCCTGAGCTGCAGCTGCTGACTCTGCTGAGAGTAATTTAAAAACTGTCCAAATAAGACACAACATGTTCCCCAGGATCCTGGCCAAGACCAGCCATCTTAACACAGGGACAGTTCCTAACATAGGGAACGAAAAATTATCAGACACTAATTTCTGTAAGCCAAACTTCTCTAAGCCTGGGTAGGATAGTTCTGGATATATTTCAGCAATATTCTAGTATCTAGCATGCATGGTAGCAACCATTTTCAAAAAGTGCTTTGGCCAGACCATCCCCCCACCAAATTGAAAATACATTTTTCTAGACTTGTTTAACATGAGTTTCTATATCAAGAAAAATAAGCATATAGTAATCCTAAAATGTGCCGTATCATGGCAAATGGAATTACTGTACTTAGTTTCTAAATGTGATTTATCTTGTTAGAATTTTAATAACCTTGAATTTATAGCCTATTTATTCTGCTTAAGCACGAGAGGTGTTAAAACAGTTTTTGCCCTCAGAAATTTACAATGGAAACAATTATTATGTTACCGTTAGATAATCAACTCTCTCGAATCCTTCTGATCTCTTAAATCTGTGACAAAATTCTAGCTGAAGACTAGACCTACAGCTAAGTTGTTCTATAAAAATATTGACAGTTGAAGTTACCAAGTGCTCTGTATGGCTAATGGTTAGGGAACCAGTAGTTGGTGGTCTTATGCATGTTGGTAGAGAAAGATTAGAGGACATGGGCTTGTGAGGCTATGAGACTCATAATGAATATCTAATACTTTAAAAATATTTTTAACTTTTTAAAAATTACATATTCTTTTTGAAGATCACTTTAAAATCAGGGGAAATACCAAGTCTCATTATTTTCAATAGAAGCACTCTTTAGATTTTAGCATTTTTCCTTCCTATATTTACATGTCGAGGGTGTTTTAATGTTAGGATAACGTTCGTTTGTTTTTTTATTAGAATGGTCTGCACCCTCAGCCATTGGGATAGCTGGCCTTGGTGGAGGATTTGAAATAGGAATTGAGGTAAGTAGCTTGTGCACGTCCATACAACTGCCATATCCTCTGAAGACACCTAAGATGCAACCTGTGAAAACTGAGAGGTTTCCTAGCGTTCTTATTGTTACCATTGGCACTTAGGAAAAATTGTTTCCTTTATTTTCTCGATGAATGTCTAACTAAAGCTATCTGATGGTTCCCATTTACTTTCCTTTTCTTTCCTTAGTAGTAGGATTTCTTTCATTCGCCATTTTATCTGCTTCTGTCTCATGCACATTTGTATAACAGGCACATCCCAACACCTGGCCAGCTGTCATTGGCAGTTTATGGACTGCTCATGGCAAAGCCACTGTTCTCCTTCAGTGGGCATTGAAATTACGTGGGCAGTGCATCATCATTTGTGGCAAAATCCAGTTTTGTAACATATGATATTCAAATCCCTCCACATTCTTTAAGTAAAGAAGAACTTCACGTTATTTCAGTTTATAATGTTGCTCCTGGGATTGTGGCGTCTGTCGGGCAGACATGCACACTCACAGAGGCCTCCTACACGGGGATCCTCTTAGGGCTGATGCTCATCTTCAGTCTGTCGTTTTGCAAGGGCCTGGAAATTGAATCTCCTGGTATGCTCAACTCATTTTCTTCTCAAATTTCAGTCCATTTCTTCCTAAGCTATCCTTTGTAGATTTGCCCTGTTGACATAGTTGTAAATTCCCTCAGCCTTATTAGGAGGAAGTATTTCTAACTCTTTTTTCATCTTTATTCAATCTTTCTTACTCACTGCTGTATAAATTTGTAGTATAAAAGGAACATATTTTAGTTTTGCTTATCATGACTGCATTTTTGTACCATGTGCAACCAAATCAAAGCTTTCAAAAATATCGCCCTCTGGTGGAAAGTGCATTTTCATCAGTGATTGTGGCTTCCCTCCCCTTCCTCCTCCCTTCCCTCCCTCCCCTCTCTTCCCCTTTCCCCACCTCCACCCAGTCCCCTGGCCCTCCTTGTAGAAGGGCCTTTTTCTCTCAATAGATCATGCTGCTAAACTGTGCTAAGTCACAACCTGTTCTTCCCACAACCCTCTGGCTCCTTGTGAGGCTGGGGGCATGCTTTGAGCATTTATTTCAAAAATGATGAGAGACTCAGAAATGATGTCTGTATTAAATTTCAATATATTAGAGACCAAAAATTGAGAGTTTCCATGGTAATTCTTTGAAAATTTTGGACTTTTAGCCATAGGGCACATTAGAAGCCCTGAAAAACAAGAGCAAGTAAAATGTAGTCCCTTCATCCAGTAAATGAAATAGAAAGACTTTAAGCATTTTATAGACTGATACATAGTATTTTTTTTCTTTTTTCTCTTTTTTTTTTTGAGATGGAGTTTCACTCTTGTTACCCAGGCTGGAGTGCAATGGCATGGACTCAGCTCACTGCAACCTCCACCTCCCAGTTTCAAGCGATTCTCCTGCCTCAGCCTCCCGAGTAGCTGGGACTACAGGCGTGCACCACCACACCCAGCTAATTTTGTATTTTTAGTAGAGATGGGGTTTCACCATGTTGGTCAGGCTGGTCTGAAACTCCTGACCTCAGGTGATCCGCCCACCTCGGCCTCCTAAAGTGCTGGGATTACAGGCATGAGCCACCGTGCTGGGCCTTAGACTGATACACAGTATTATTTTATTTTTATTTTTATTTTTTTTTAGTTGTGATGATTCAATAGTTTATTGTTTTGTTAACAATTCTCAAGACTGGTGCGCTGCACAGTGGAATTGCTGTTCATATTTTTGACAAAATAAGACCATCCTGGGCCATGGGGTGACTACTTTACACATAAATAATCAATCTTCTCCTCTCAAACCAGTATTATTTTTAAAAGACAATACGAGACAGTGGTGAGCTGTAAGAGAGAAGACTGGGTCAGACCATTCTGGCTCCAATTCTGACCTGGGTGCTTCCAGTCTGTGATGTTAGGAAGTAGCTTTTCTTCTCCACACCTCAGCTTCTACATCTGCAAAACACAGTTAAAGATAGCCTTATATGAGTCTCTGGGCTTATATTGATGATTAAATATGGATTTATACAGTAAAAGCCCTTGAAATGACACAAAATATAATTTTATTTTTAATATCTTCTTCATCTTTGCAGCTTATTTAGGCTTGCCATTTACAGAAACTTTTTATTGCAAAGCCTGTCTTCATGACAGTATGGAAATTAACTATGGAATTTCATTTAAATAACATAACTATTAACTTTTAAATGTCAATTTCAAACAGAGATAAGAAGCATCTCCTAGGGATTGGAGACATGAGTTTTAAACTTCTTAACCATGATCTGACTTTGCTTCTCAGAGCCCCACAGATAAGTCTCTGCGTGTAATTGTGAGTGTGCAGTGATGTCACAGCAGTCGGCTATTTTTCAATGTTAACAGAAAGCACTGTTTGCTCTCCATGAAGCACTCTCTGATTCTGTCTGAGCCTCCATCCTAACAGAGCACTCCCGCCTGCTGTCTTAATGAGGGAGGGAGTCAGAACGGGAGCATGGGGTATCCAGAGTGGTTCCCTCAGGCTGTTCTCATCACAGCAGATCTGGTGCCCACTGAGACCACGGAGGGGCTGGAGGGTAGACACGTCCTTCCTGAAGGGACCAACCTCTGAGGGCACTTCTGACTCAGGTCACTGGCTGAGCTGAGCATCCCCTTTGGACCTG
The DNA here is from genome assembly GCF_000001405.40 of Homo sapiens. Classification (NCBI taxonomy): domain Eukaryota; kingdom Metazoa; phylum Chordata; class Mammalia; order Primates; family Hominidae; genus Homo; species Homo sapiens. Next base: position 244,861 of record NC_000002.12, on the reverse strand, counting down.
GCTTCTCTGGGAACTTGCCCCTACCATGTCCTAGCAGCCACAAATAGTAAGGACCAGCCCTCAAGTGCACTGTGAGTACCGGGAAGGCCGAGACTTTCTCAAACTTCACACCTACGTCCACAGAGACTGACGAGACACCCATGAATGCTTCCTTTTCTGTAAAATGGGACAATGACAGGACCTGTAACCACACAGGGTTTTCCTTTCAAGCACATAGATGGCACACACGTAATCGGTTAGTACTATCCAATATTTGTTGAATAATTTAACTATCTGCCTTTCTTTCTTTCTTTTTCTTTTCTTTTCTTTTCTTTCTTTCGTTCTTTCTTTCTTTTTCTTTTCTTTCTTTCTTTCTTTCTTTCTTTTGAGGCAGAGTCTTGCTCTGTCGCCCAGGCTGGAGTGCAGTGGAGCAATCTCAGCTCACTGCAACCTCTGCCTCCTGGGTTCAAGTGATTCTCCTGCCTCAGCCTCCTAAGTAGCTGGGACTACAGGCGCCCGCCACCATGCTCGGCTAATTTTTTGTATTTTTAGTAGAGATGGGGTTTCACTGTGTCAGCCAGGATAGTCTCGATCTCCTGACCTCGTGATCCGCCTGCCTCGGCCTCCCAAAGTGCTGGGATTAAAGGCGTGAGCCACCGCTCCAGGCCATTTTTTTTTTTTACAAAACTTGTACACATGCTATTATGGAATCATTTTCATAGCCATGGAAGGTGGTTGTCATCGCTCTCATTTTATCCGTAAAATAGCTAAGCCAGGAGAATTCTCCAGTAGGAGGCAGCCAGAGAGGGGCAGATTGGGAAGCGTCTGCTCCCACATCCAGGCAGCATGTTATTCGAAAGACAGAGTTCCCTGTAGTCTGTCTTGTCTGCACATCCCTCAATAGGGAAAAAAGAAAGGTTCAGGAAAGTTACTTGTTCTTGGTTTCACAGGTGCTTGGGTGGTAAAGCCCACCTCACTGTAACATTCTTCTGAATAACAAGCCACTGTTTTTAGGGCACTATACAAGGTAGGCAAAACACACATTATTTTCAATATACAGAGACATTAGTGTCTTACCTAAGATCACACAGCTAGTGTGTGGTTGTCAGATATGGTTCACTAGAAGCGGAGCCTGATACCAGTTCAAGTGCATGTGATATACTGAGCAAATGTTCTTCCGGGGAAGAAACTTAAGGTACTAAGGGAAAGAAGGGGAAAGGTCCAAGCAAGGCTGTTGCTTAAAGTTTAGTTAAACTCTTCTTCGTCCATGTTGATAGGTAGTTCAGGTTACCGACTCGAGGTCTGTTTTTTTTTTAATAGACACATTTACAGCTACATATTCCCTCTGAGCATTGCCCTGGCTGCCTTCCATAAGTGTGGGTATGTTGTGTCTTCATTTTCCTTAATCTCAAAATATTATCTAATTTCTCATGTGATTTCTTCTTTGAGCCATTTGTTATTTAAGAGTGTGTTGCTTAATGTCCACATATTTATAAATTTCCCAAATTTATCTTGTCCTTGATTTCAAATTTCATTCCATTGGGGTCAAAGAAAACATTTTGTATAATTTCAGTCCTTTTAAATGGGTTAAGGCTTCTTTTATGGCCTCAAATATAGACTTTTGTCCTGTACAATGTTCCATGTGTGCTGGAGAAGAATGTGTGTTCTGTGTTATTGGGTAAAGTGTTCTCCAGGAGTCCATTGGGTCTAGTTGGTTTACATGGTTGTTTAGTTGTTCCATATCCTTGATAATCTTATGACTAATTGTTCTCTTCATTATTAAAAGTGGGTTATTGACACATCGAGCTATTTTTGTTAAATTGTCTATGTCTTCCTTCTAGATTGTCAGTTTTTGATTCATGTATTTGGGTCTCCGATATTATGTGCTTGTATAAATATATGTGTATTACTATGTTTATAATTGTTATATCTCTTTGGTTGATTGACCATTTTATCATTATAATATGTCCCTGTTTAATCCTAATTACATTTTTTGTTGTTTGATATAAAGAGTGCCACTCCAGCTTTCTTAGGTTGCCATCTGCATGACACATCTTTCTCCATCCTTTTACTGTCAATCTAATGGTAACTTTGAATCTAAAGCGTGTCTCCTATGGAGCATATAATTGGATGTTGTTGTTGTTGTTGTTATTGTTGTTTTATCCATGCTAATAATCTCTGCCTTTTTATTTGGTTGTTTAATTCATTCACATTTAATAGATTATTGATATCATTGGATTTATATCAGCCATTTTACTTTTTTCTATATCTCATGCCGTTTTTGTCCCTCTGTTTCCACTTTACTGTTTTCAATTAAGTGAACATTTTGTACTATGGCATTTTGATTCCTTTTATGATTTTTTAACTCTATTTTTGAGTCATTTTCTTAATGGTTGTTCCAGAGCTTACAATATGTCTTAACTATTTCTAATTTATGGGAACTTGATTTAATAAGATACAAAAACATTACTCTCATATGGTTCTAGTTTTTTTTCTCCTTTTTTGTGCTATTACTGTTATACATATTAAATCTATATATGATACACACTCAGCAATTCATGATTATAGTTAATAATGTATATAATTTTATGTCTTTTAGAGAAACTCAGAGAATAATTGAGAGCAAGTATTTACTCATTGAACTTGCTATATTAACCTTTTTTATTTCCCATTTTTTGTTCTGTTCCATTGTTTCTGTTCATTCAGGTTACCATCTGGTGTCATTTCCTTACTCCAAGACAACTTTGCTCCCACCTGACTCTTTTGTACGGTTATTGTCTAGTATATAATATTTCTATAGTTACAGACTTAAAATATAGAAAAAATTTATTTTTAAACCAATTAAGAGAAAAGAGAAGAACTATGCATTTATACTATTATTTATGGTTAGATAATTATCTTTACTGGTGATTTTTTAAAGTGTGGATTTAAATTACTCTCTAGAGTCACTTGCTTTCAGCCTGAAGGACTTTGTTTAGAATTTATAATATTTCTTGTAAAATGGTTCTACTAGCAACAAATTCTCTCAACTTAAAAAAAAATTTTTAATCTGGGAATGTCTTCATATCCCCTTCATTTTTGAAATATACTTTTGCTGATTATAAGATTCTAAGTTGACCAGTTCTTTCTTTCAGCATTTTGTCATCCTACTGTTTTCTGAAGTCTACTGTTTTTGAAGAGAAATCTATCTATTATTCTAATTGGGGTTCCTTTTATGTGATGAGTCATTTTTCTCTTGCTCCTTTCCAGATTTTCTCTTGCATTTTAAGATTTTTTACAATTATCTATCCAGAGTGTTATCTTTTTACATTTATTCTACTCAGAATTTGTTGAGCTTCTTGAGTGTAGATCCATGTTTTTCATCAGATTGAGAATTTTCAGCCATTATTTCTTTGAGAAAATTTTCTGCTTCTTTCTCTTTTTCCTTGCCTTCTAGTACTTACATCACACATATGTTGGTGCACCTAATGGTGTCCCAGGTTTCTTGTGTTTCTGTCAATTTTTCTTCATTCTCTTTCTCTTAGTTTTTAAGACTTTCTATTATTCAAATTTACCAGTTCTTTATTTTGCGTGCTCAGATCTACCGTTAAACTTCTCTAGTAAATTGTTCATGTTGCTTAATGTACTTTTTACCTCCAGAATTTCCATTTGGTTCTTTTATATAATTTTATGTTTTTATCAATATTCTCTATTCAATAAGATATTCTCATTGTACGTTTTTCTACTTCTTAACCATAGTTTTCTTTAATTCTTTGAACATATTTATGACAGCTGTTTTAAAGTCTTTGTCTGCTAAATCTGATAGCTGGACCATCTGAACAGCAGTCATTCTCGTCTGCTTCCTTTTTAAATTTTTTTTCTATGTATGGGTCACACTCTCCCACTTCTTTGTCTTATTATTTTTGGTTGAGAATCAGAAATTTTAGATATTATATTGTATCAACTCTGGGTGCTCAACCTCTCCCCCTAGGAGCCTCTTATTGTTTGCTTGCTGTTTGTTTAGAGATATGGCTGGACTGTTTGAATGAATTCTGTGCCCCACTACTGTGAAGCCTCCAATGTTGTCTATGGGCATGCATATAGTTTTCCTGAGATGACAGGTGTTCTGACTGTCCCTGTCCGTGACCTGTCTGTTAAGCTGTTTGTCTCCATTGGTATTACACACTGTTGTTAGCCTCCACTAATTGCCTGCTGATTGCTCCATTGTTTCCAACAATGCCCTGGGGACATAAATTGCTCCACAGTTTGATCCAGTTAAAATTGTGCTCCTGTGCACAGGTAGTCTTTGAGGCTCATTTCTATTTCAGGAGGGCTCTTCTTAGCTATCTCTGTCCCTGGTTCTCCCTGATAATTTTCTAGACCACCAATGGTTTAGCTTGTTGCTGTCATGGAGCTAAATACCTCATCTTACCTGTTTATCACCAAAAGCATCATTTTTGACAGCACCTTTGAACTTCCCCACCCTGTGTTCCAAAAGCTTTCACTTCCCTTGGGGAGAGCTTTGGAGCTCTCTGCTCTTGCAGCCTGTCTCTCTGTCTGCCCAAGATCTCTGTGCCGTTGCTCCAGAGCTGGAGGCTGGGGCAGTGGCTCCCTTCTCTTGGAGTGACATCCCTGCAGCCTTGGGTGGTGTAGTAGCTTGGCTTGCCTCTGTCAGGGTGGAGCTTTTGCCCCACAGGTGAACTGGGGCAAGAGTGAGTGGGGTCCTGGTGCTCCTGGACTGTTGTGCTAGGCTGGAGCCTTCACTTACACATGGGTTCTGGGTGGAGGAAGGAAGCTCCAGACCTCTCAGCTGCTCTTGCCTGGAATGGAGCTTCTGTACAAGGAGCTGTGGGAAGAGAAATGCTGGCAGAAGCCTCTCCTGTGGATATACTGCAGCCCTGACCAGGGGCTGGGGGAAGGAAGTCTGTGTTCTTGCAAACCCCCTTCCCCAAGAGGAGCTTCCATCAGGCTGACCTGCAGCGGGGCACAGGTTATAGCTCAAATGTCACCAACTCTCTCTTCCTTACCAATATTTAATAGTGTTCATTGAATCAATGTGTCTTCATTTTCTTCACTTGCCATATGCCCTTAGGACAATTTCCAGAAGTGTTAATTTTTAAAATAATTTTTACCAGTTACGGTTATTTTGCTGTGGAGAGGGTCTGTGGCCTCTTTATGCCACCACTGCAGTGTCATTCTGATTTGTAGATACATTCTACAGTGGGATGGAGATTCAACTGTAATTGTTAAGTTTTAGCTCTTCTTTTGTTAGTTATAGAACAGTGAACAAAGTACTTAATCTTCCTGAATCAAATCTGTAAAATAAAAAATTTTTAAGTTGAATAAAATGGTCCTTAAATACCCCCTTTCACTTCTGATATTTGTGACTGGCAACAAAGCTTGCCTGTTCTGGGCTAAAGTTGTGGCGCATTGTTTTTTGCCTGGGTCAGTCTCAGTTTTTCTCCGGACATCTCCCGTACCTTCCACGTGGTGTATCCAGTGCTGCAAAAATGTTACATTTGCTCCAGGTTCTTCATCTGACCTTCCAAACACAGAAAGGGATTGGAGTACCACCTTCTTAATTATTTGTACTATTATTCTAGAATATCTGGGGAGATGCTAACCTATTAGTTGCAATGGATGCCTTAGGACATTCGTGCTTAATTCTCCTAGAGAATCCTGGTGGAAAAAGATTGCAGTCTTAATTGTGTGTTCATTAATGGCCTGTTCTTAAGGTCAGTTCTCTTAACTAACAAGGTCTAGTTGTGCAAAGGATGCTGCTTAACAGCCACTGCTGTCTGAGGCTGCTCCTGGATAGCTTATTGCATCGTGCTGTGGTTTCACTGGAGAGTGAATGTCAGACTCATTCTTCCAGGGGCATAAGTGTAAGTGACCCTAAGCTTAGCCAGAAGGCCGGCGTGGGGTTAATTTATGTTCGACAATCTCAACCTTTAGACTCCCAGATTCTACAGGGTGGAGAGTTCCCTGGTTCTTGGAACATCAGAGGTACTGAATAATTGTCTAAATTAGTGACTGAATACGTGTATCTGGATTAGGGATTAATTTGGGGGAGGGGGAAGTTTTTGTGGTAAAGAGAGAGAGATTAGTAAAGAGAGTTGAGATTGTGAGAAGTGAAGTCGTGAAAGTCAGTGGTCTGAGGAAAGACAATGCTACATTTGCTTTAAATACCACTAACGGTTTCTTTTTGGATGACAGTTGTAGCAAAGCCCAAAGCTCAGAAAGTCCTGCTGCTGGCTTGGCTTTGGACATGTACAGTCCTTTGCTGTGTTTCCAGAGCTAGAGCTCACACTGGGTCATCAAGCCAGAGCAGTCTGGCTTTTACTCAAGATTGGAATTTGAAAAAACAAAAACGACTGCTTTTTCCAGGGAGAATTTACATGGGCCCTTTCACTTTACTGAAGAGGAAGGTATTTGGGTTTAAGTTGAGGATAAATTATTGTTAGAGATCAGAGTCCAGTTTCTAAGCCCCCTAAGAATGGGATGTAAGGAAAAGATCTGTTGGTCTGAGGAATGGAGGGGGTGTTGTTGCTGGAAGGACGCTCCACTTAAGCTTGGTTTACATATTGAGACTGGCCATGCCACACACACACACACACACACACACACACACACACACACACACAAGGAGGGAGGAAAAGGTTTATTCCCCATGTAGTGAGGCTTTTAGGGAGATTGGGGCAGGCTCCAAGGCCAGCCCAAGAGTGGCGTGAGAGAACGGCAGGGTGGAGGAGGAAGCCCAGCTTTCTTAGCGGGTTGTCCAGATGTGGGGCTTGAAGGCTGACAGCAGTCAATCATCCAGAAGGGGGTGATGCTCTGACAGGACAACAGCCCGGGACTCAGCTGTGTGGGTGTGAAGCAGGCTGACCACACAAGAGGGAGATGGGGTGGTACCCTCTCAGCAGCTGCTTTCAGGAAATTCAGTCGCAGAGAAGAGGGACATTTCTCTCCCGCAGCTTCCCCTGCATGGCAGCTGTGGTTTTTCACATTCTAATGTTTAAGAATTTATTTAATTGAAACACTTGCATCTGAGTTATTCAGTTTTATTTTTTAATTTTTTTTTTGATTTATAGTGGACTACATATTTTCCTGGTACTTGTAATAATTTAATACATGCATACAATTTGTAAAGATCAAATCAGTCTGATTGGGGTATCTGTCACCTTAAATATTTGTCATTTCTTTAGGCTGGAAGCATTCAAGTTCTCTTCTAGCTATTTTGAAATAGTCAATAGATTATTGTGAACCATACTCACCCTACTGATCTTATAAATAAAACACAAGTCTTATTTCTTCGATCAGACTGTTATGTAGTTGAGTTTTAATGCAGACTTCTAAAGAAGTCTTATCAAATGCTTACAGGGTTTTCTGAGAGTGCCGTCCCAATGTGTTGTTCAGCTCCTCCAGATTCCTGCAGGAAATCTGTCTTGCTCCTTCTTCTAAGCTGTGGAAATAAACTGAGGGCCATTGCTGCTCACATGCTCGCCAAGCTGTCTGCAGAGCTTTTGACCTGGTTCTCGGGCTAATTGGTAGTGTCACCAAAAAACACAATATTCTCTTATTCTTATTTCAAAAGAACTAAAGAGAGATCAGACCAAAAAAAATCAAAAGACTTTGTTTTTCCTTCAGCTGCCTCTCATAGCTTGGCCTTACTTAACTGTACCACGATGTACCAAGCAGAAGCGGAACATAAGAACCAGTGTAGCTACAAGGTCATGGGTAGTACTTTGTATTTTCCGAGTGGGAAATGTGGGAAGCATTATGGAAGGCAAATTTGTTATCTAAAAATACATACAAGATACAGGTTATACAATCACTGGTGAAAATGCTTAACTTTGCATAAGAAAAGCTAAATAATTATCTGCCATTCAGCACCATAACCCTCAGAAATTGTCTATATGTAAAATAAAATGAACAGTTGGCAAGCGTCAAGCTGAAGCATCTTGTGTGGGTCAGCTCTCTGGTAGATTTAGTTTGACCTACAGATCTGAAGTGTATTTTATTTCATAAAATGATTCAAATTGAACATTATTAAGAACATACTTGCATCAGGAACTCTCTTAGGGCCTTTCAAGTATAATCTCATTTGGTTATAACAGGATTTTTCTGTCACTCATATAAAAATGTTGACTTGAGAGCATTGATTTGATTAAAAAATGTGAATAACTGTATAATGAAGGCATATTTTAAGCACGAGTCTGCTTGACCTTTGCATGTTTTATTGAACTGATTTCAATTCATCCGTAAACAGCCTTGAATGTGTGCCACTATTATTACACCCATTTTCCAGAGAAGGAAATTGCAGCTTTCAGCAGCTCAGTGATTTGCCCAAGGTCGCACAGCATGCAAAAGGGAGTAATGGAGTTCCCACCTAACTATTTTTAATTTTGAGCCCAAATTCTTAGCCCCATGCCAGCACTGTTTCAACTTCCCAGGTACACTTGACGCCTATATCTGATTCTCACAGTAGTTCCATGAGGTGTAGGTCCTAGTAAGCAAATTTTAAACACAGAACAGTCAGAGACACAAAGACTGGTTAAAAGACCCCAAAGTCCACAGCTCTCGAGAAGCGGAGCTGGGATGGACATTGGTTCTTCACACCCAGGGGTGCCCTGGCCCATGCTGCCTCCCCTGGCCCATGCTGCTGCCTCCCCTGGCCCATGCTGCTGCCTCCCCTGACCCATGCTGCTGCCTCCCCTGGCCCGTGCTGCTGCCTCCCCTGGCCCATGCTGCCTCCCCTGGCCCATGCTGCTGCCTCCCCTGGCCCATGCTGCTGCCTCCCCTGACCCATGCTGCCTCCCCTGGCCCATGCTGCCTCCCCTGGCCCATGCTGCTGCCTCCCCTGACCCATGCTGCCTCCCCTGGCCCATGCTGCCTCCCCTGGCCCATGCTGCCTCCCCTGACCCATGCTGCTGCCTCCCCTGACCCATGCTGCTGCCTCCCCTGGCCCGTGCTGCTGCCTCCCCTGGCCCATGCTGCCTCCCCTGACCCATGCTGCTGCCTCCCCTGACCCATGCTGCTGCCTCCCCTGGCCCGTGCTGCTGCCTCCCCTGGCCCATGCTGCCTCCCCTGGCCCATGCTGCCTCCCCTGGCCCATGCTGCCTCCCCTGACCCATGCTGCTGCCTCCCCTGACCCATGCTGCTGCCTCCCCTGACCCATGCTGCCTCCCCTGGCCCATGCTGCTGCCTCCCCTGGCCCATGCTGCCTCCCCTGGCCCGTGCTGCTGCCTCCCCTGGCCCATGCTGCTGCCTCCCCTGACCCATGCTGCCTCCCCTGGCCCATGCTGCCTCCCCTGGCCCGTGCTGCTGCCTCCCCTGGCCCATGCTGTTGCCTCCCCTGGCCCATGCTGCCTCCCCTGACCCATGCTGCCTCCCCTGGCCCATGCTGCCTCCCCTGGCCCGTGCTGCTGCCTCCCCTGGCCCATGCTGTTGCCTCCCCTGGCCCATGCTGCCTCCCCTGACCCATGCTGCCTCCCCTGGCCCATGCTGCCTCCCCTGGCCCATGCTGCTGCCTCCCCTGGCCCATGCTGCCTCCCCTGACCCATGCTGCCTCTCATTTGATGGGTCATATTATTTTTCAGTTCTAACTTTGGACTTCCACATTGCAGTGATTAATTTGAGTAACAAATGCTTTCACTGTGTTGACCTGCCTTGAGCATTCAGTTGAATCTCATTGTAGTTTCTTCTTTTATTTAGAGAAAAATTAAGTCAGCTGGGCTCAGTGGCTCACGCCTGTAATCCAGCACTTTGGGAGGCCGAGGTGGGTGGATCACCTGAGGTCAGGAGTTCAAAACTAGCCTGGCCAACATGGCGAAACCCCATCTCTACTAAAAATACAAAAAATTAGCCGGACATGGTGACGTGCCTGTAATCCCAGCTACTCAGGAGGCTGAGACAGGAGAATCACTTGAACCCGGGAGGCGGAGGTTGCAGTGAGCTCAGATCACGCCACTGCACTCCAGCCTAGGCAACAAGAGTGAAACTCTTTCTCAAGGAAAAAAAAAGAAAAATTAAGTCATGGAAATAGGCATTCCTAATGGAAACTGCTTTGCTTTCTGGTGTGTTGAGCTTCTGTGACCTATAGTGAAGTGGCCCAGGTTCACAGCTTCCTGGTAAGGAGCACACCCCTGGCCAGGAGGAGAGTGTAGAAAGGCTCTCAGGACCTTCAGCACCATCGTCCCTGGTGCTGTGCTCTTCGGGCTTGGCTTTTACAAAGTTTAGTCTGATGAGATCAGAGAGCATGTTGGATCCCTTCCAACAACCTTTGTTTGACTTGTTAGCACTGACGGTTTACCTAACCCCACTAAACCTTAGGATCACCACCTACATGACCAGGTTGTGTGGAAGATTGAAGGACATGATGCAGGTAAACCTCATAGTATACACATGGTGCACAGTAAATGCTCGCTGAGGTTTGTTGTAATTACCTGTGGCAATATTGGCTTCATAATTCATCAGCTCAAAATAAAAATATGGCTCTTGTCTCACGTTCTTTCCTGTCTCTATTGATGTTTTGCTACAGTGCATATGGTGTAGTTGAGTGTTAGTCAAGATGAATTTTAAATGATATTTAGTCTTAACGATTTTTAAATCCATGGGTTTCTACACTTTAGGTATCAGACTTGGTGATAATTCTGAATTATGACCGTGCTGTAGAAGCTTTTGCAAAAGGCGGAAATCTGACCCTCGGAGGGAACTTGACTGTGGCGGTTGGGCCCTTGGGAAGGTGAGTTCTTTAAATAGATGTTAGACAGTAAAGGTTTAACAACTGCATATTTTATTTTGCATTAATAGGAAACTTGAATTAAAATGAACAGATTTGTACATCCCCAGATTTATACATGCCCGAAAGATTTGAGGTCATCACAAATAGGAAATTCACAAAACACAGCCAGTGAGATAAGCTAGAAAATCTGAAACCAGAACACACAAGAAATAATGAAATGTTTTGGAAGCATAGGCCATTGTATCTGTCAGACTTGAACATAAAATCCACCTTAAGCTTTGAGAGAGCCAAACACAAGTCAGATTTTATGATAAAGTTAAGCTTCGATTAGGAAAGAAAGAGCTTTTTTCAAAGTAAATCATAAAAATTGGATATGGATGTGTTTTTTTTGAGCCGTGTTTACAGTACTTAAAGTGTATTTTTCTTCTCTATTAATGAAATGCTAGTCTTGGATTAATTGTGCAATGTAGAGATATTTTATACCCACACTATTTATAGAAGTTACACAGTAAAATCATCTAAAAATGTTTCTTGGTTCCATGAAAATACTCAATGCAAAAATAATCCAAATTCTTTAGCACTCTTGAGATGTATTTCCCAGTTTTAAGAGAGGAAGATCCGGTTGGAAAATGTCAGATTTACAAATTTTTAAAATATATTTACACATGCTGCACTGTATTCTTTTTCAACACAGTTCTATGTTACCAGAGCCTTCTGTAATAATTTCATGTATGTTCTTCCCCCGGCCTGTTTTTCCTCTAGGCCACATTAAAACATCTAATTTAGGCCTACAGTAAGTAAAACATAGAAACAGCTGAAGAAGGTACAGAACAAAATAATTCATTTGAGCTAGAAGGAGTGCTATTTAAATAGTGATCCTCGGCTTGGAGCTGCTCACAGCTTTGTGATGCAAAATCTTGTGCTTTGCAGGAACTTGGAAGGAAACGTGGCCCTGAGAAGCTCCGCTGCCGTCTTCACGTACTGCAAGTCAAGGGGACTCTTTGCAGGCGTGTCTTTAGAAGGGAGCTGTTTGATTGAAAGGAAAGAAACTAATAGAAAGTCAGTTCAAGTTAAAGTGATTTTAATTGAAAGTGTGATGAGAAAATAGTACTTCAAAAGTTGATATAATTTGCAGAGTACATTTATATATTCTTTTTACAACATGTGGTTTTAAGTGTGTATCTTACATTTAAAAATTAAATATACAAATAATATATGCTCGTAGAAAATGCAGAAGACACATGAAAAAGAAATAAAAAAAACTCGATCCCTTTAAAAGACTAACACAATTCACATTTTGCTTTACTGCCTTCCAACATTTTCCTAAGCATAATTTTTTTTGTTTTGCCATATATGATGATAATCACCATATATATTCAGTTGTAAATGCTGTTTTTTCCACTTCGCATTTTAAGATAGCTGGAAACCATCATTCTCAGCAAACTATCACAAGGACAGAAAACCAAACACCACATGTTCTCATTCACAGGTGGGAATTGAACAATGAGAACACTTGGACACAGGGAGGGGAACATCACACACTGGGGCCTTTCAGGGGGTTGGGGGCTGGGGGAAGGATAATATTAGGAGAAATACCTAATGTAGATGACGAGTTGATGGGTGCAGCACACCAACATGGCATATGTATACCTATGCAACAAACCTGCACATTGTGCACATGTACCCCAGAACTTAAAGTATATTAAAAAAAAAAGAAACTTAAACATAAGTTAGTAATACTCTTAGTTGGATGCACCGATTTCAGTGATTTTCAGATGTTTGTGGAAGGCACACCAGTTACAACTCATGTGTCAGTCAGTATTCCTTGTTGTGAGGTTTCCTGTTCTACACTCCACCTTTGTCTTTTCTCATGTCAAATAGAGAGCAATTTAAAATACAGTTTGATTTAAAAAAAAAAAAAGAATCTGGAAGTATCCTAAAAGGTAAAGGGAAACTTCTACTTTAAATTGGCATCTGGCTGATTTTTCCCAAAGATGCAAATTAAGTGGCTCTTACAAATTGCCACTAAAATATGTGTAAAGGCCCAGAAAGAGATAAAGAGCTAAGACTGACAGCAGGACTTCTTCCAGAACCTGCAGAAGTTCCATCATTGCCAGCTTGATCGGCTGGCACTGCTGGCATTGGCCATTCAAATTCGCCACGCGTGGCAGACAGACCCGCCACTATCCGAGACAAAGCATCCAGTGTTTACCCCACCGAGTCATTCAGGAACTGAACAGCACTATTTAATAAAGCTAAATATAAACCACAAGAGGTAGAAAATAGGAGGGATGGGGAAAAATAAGGTTTTCAGAACTATTCATCTTATAAAATCAAAAGTGATGTGTTAACTCCTGGCTTTATTAATTTGAGAACAGTTAACAAAAGAATGCTTTTAGAAACTTCTGGTTCGAGCCCGTTGGCAGGCCTTCCCACTAAAGTTCAACTAAACCCTGGATAAACTAAAACAAATATGTTGCTTAATGAATGGCAGGACCTCCAAGCATGTAAGGCAAATGTTTATTTAATCTTGATAAAAATAAATATTTTAAGGAAATTACAAAGCCACAGTTATAGGTACCATTTTTTAAAGAAATTTAAAAAGTAAAAACCTATAAAAATGTATGTGCTTGTGTGTATATTTATATGTGTTTATATATGAATATGTGTATGTATATATATGGGCAAGTATAAGTATTTCCATGATAATGTGGATGTGCTTTTTATATTAATAAAGAAAGGATACATATAAGGATATTTATGGTAGTTGCCTGTAGAAGTGAACTTTGGGGTACATTTAAGACTTGAACATGGGATATTGCTTAAAGTTAGTGTTTAAAAAGTAGTGTATATGAAGTGCTATGTATGAATGATTATATATACACACCGTGTGTGCGCACATGCTATGTTTAACTCTAGAAAAGATTTGTGTATATTAAAATGTTTTTAATTTTATATTTCCCATTAGATTTTATTGTCAAGATATCCGAGCTTATGACATTTTATTTGGAGATACACCGCGGCCTGCTCAAGCCGAAGATCTTTATGAAATTCTTGATTCCTTTACTGAAAAGTATGAAAATGAAGGACAACGAATCAATGCAAGAAAAGCAGCAAGGGAGCAGAGGAAGTCTTCTGTACCGTTTGGTTTTATGTTTCACTCAGTATTCTCAGAAAATCTCTTTCTGTAGAACATTCTGTCCCTGATATCAGGTTCCTAAGAACCTACTAAGCCTCCTTCGTAGTTTCACTGACTTCACATTCTTGTGAAAAGGTCATGCTACCTTGACATTTCCTCTGTACAGATTTCAGGGAAAAACATAATTTGTCCTCTGTGATTGCATTTCTCCAAGGATGGAACTTTGTTGTATCAATAATACAAATAATATGTGGGAGGCTGAGGCAGGTGGAGCACTTGAGATCAGGAGTTTCAGACCAGCCTGGCCAACATGGCAAAACCCCCTCTCTACCATAAAAATAGAAACATTAGCTGGGCATGGTGGCGTGTGCCCATAATCTCAGCTACTCAGGAGGCTGAAACAGGAGGATCGCTTGAGCCCATGAGGTTGCACTGAGCCAAGATCATGCCATTGCACTCAGCCTAGGCAACAGAGTAAGACCTTATCTCAATAATAATATATGAATAATAGTTGCAGATACTGACGCCTTTGTATGTCAGGCCTTGGGGCACCGAGGGATTTGTGTGCATTGTTCATGATGTTCCACAGCACCTTTCAGAGTTGGTATGATGCCTGTTTCATGGAATAAAAACTGAAGCCTAGAGTTTGTCTGTCACTGCCTCTGCCAGTTGCTTGCTAAACCAATTACTACACCACCGTCCCTGCAGCTCCCTAAGACCTTGCACAGGTGGTCAGAGGTGCCTGGGGGAGGTTAGCTTCCAGGCATGAGAAGAGCACACCCTGTCCACATCTGAGTCTTGTCATCCAGTTCAATTACATAGAGTCCAGAGGGGTGCATGTGAGCTTTGAGAGTGCCACATTAATAAGCACACATGATAAAAGTTTGCTACATAACCTCATTAGAAAAGAGTTATATGTGCCTAAGTAAAAACAAGATTTTAAAATTATGTGTATTTATCTTTTTGTTTCTCCCAGGCTAAAGAATTACCTCCAAAGCCATTGTCAAGACCACAGCAGTCATCTGCACCAGTCCAGCTGAACTCTGGCTCTCAAAGTAAATATTTTTGTTGCAATTCAAATACAGTTGTAATTAAGTAATTATTAAATGTTATCATTAAGAAATCAAGATACATTGTTAAACTTTAGAGTTAAATAGAAGAACTAACATATTTAAGAGTAAAATAAGTGCTCAGCCTCTTCTAAATACATGAGACAAATTGTCATTGCTATAATTTATGAAAACTTCTCTTTCTATTCATAAGACACTTTCTTTTTTTTTTTTTTTTTTTTTGAGACGGAGTCTCGCTCTGTCGCCCAGGCTGGAGTGCAGTGGCGGGATCTCGGCTCACTGCAAGCTCCGCCTCCCGGGTTCACGCCATTCTCCTGCCTCAGCCTCCCAAGTAGCTGGGACTACAGGCGCCCGCCACTACGCCCGGCTAATTTTTTGTATTTTTAGTAGAGACGGGGTTTCACCGTTTTAGCCGGGATGGTCTCGATCTCCTGACCTCGTGATCTGCCCGCCTCGGCCTCCCAAAGTGCTGGGATTACAGGCGTGAGCCACCGTGCCCGGCCCATAAGACACTTTCTTAAATCTACAAAGATATTTATCTTCAAAGGTTTTCTCATTTATTTTCTGTGCCATTTCTTCCAAAAACCGTTATCCTTCTGATTTGAAATGAGAACAAAATAAGCCTGTTTTTTTCTTATCATACTCATATTTATAATTCTGAATATCAGTTTTGACATATGTTCTTTGGAGCTCAGGATCTCATAAGGTGGTTTTTAAACTAGATGACATTTATAAAGCACCAGGTTTTGGTCTTTATCTTTCTCTCTATCATTCATTTTTGTGAATCACTTGTGTTTCTGTTTTTCGTATATGGAGGTTACCAGTAAATAGGAATACATTGAAGTAGGGACTTTCATGTGATGATTGACTGTTATACAAGAGTCATTGTGCTGTGGCTTTGGGTGCACAAAGGTGACTTTAACGTAGATCTTGCCTTTAGAGGACTTTCAGAACAAGAGGAGAGAGATTACATGTAGAAACATAACTGCTGTTAGTGGGAGAAGGCATATAAGTTTTGCGGGGAGTAAATAGTAAAGCTCTGCAGAAGGCGGGAAGCGCATCCTCGGCCTCCTCCTTAATTTTCTGTAATCATTTTCCCCAGTTTTGAGCCCAAGTCCCTCATATGATTCTTGGCTGTGCCTTTGACTGGTCTAAATGTAACCCTCCCAGGAAGATGCTCAGGAACCAGGCCTATTCCTCATTACCAACCTGCCTCCTGCCCCTGCGTCTGTCTCCTGTTCTTCTGGGATAAGCCGTGGTCCACTGCTGATTCATGTTCAGATGATTGATTTACTGAAACTCATATTTGCAGTGACTAATGAGATATGAGCACTGAATTTATTTTTATTTTAGATCTGAGTGATTATATAGAATTTGACCCATATGTATGTTTTAAAATATATAAAATGTCCTCACTGAGAATGGATACCTGCATATGCATGTATGAAATCCTCTCATTTATAAAAATTCTAGTCCTCTTAGTATCAGGTCCTTATCAGTGCGGATTTAAAAATGACTGTGGACCTTACCTCAAAAAATTCCTTTCCGTTAATAATTGAAAAGCTCTGAAGGTTGTTTCTGCCATATAACCCCCTTGTGTGAGCTTTCTAAAAACAGGCCCTTTGCCTGTGCCAGCTTGCGGATCTGTTTCCCACGGTGACCACGTGTGTTCCCCGAACCCTTTCTTGGGGAGATGGGCAGTGCCCTCCCCATTTTGCACAGCCACAGCTGTGTCCCTGCCGGTGGACAGGTTAGCCTGGCCACATTTCTGCAGCCTCAGCCTCACTCGACACACTCGTGAACACTCCTCCTCCCTCCACCTTTTCAGCTTCATCCTTTGTGGCTAGGCCACTACAGTTTTTCCATGCGATACCATCATTTCTCATGTGCTGTATCTCTCAAGTTTTGAATATCAGTTTTTAATTCAGTAAACTAAAAATTTAAAACTAGTGACTACTTTTAATGTTTTATGTTAAATCTGACCTTTTCTTAAGTTCTTTATTTAAAAACTAAGTATTTTCAATTTATTTACATATCCTTACACACACACACACACACACATAATTTTATGGAAATGCACGTATGCTCATATGGAGGGTCTGTGAAGGCAGTATTTTTTTTCTTTTCCTTTGTTGTGTTGCTTCCTTTTCCCATTTCACCTATGTTTTCACTTTCAAGATACCTTCCTCTACCCTGATTTCAGGAAACCCACGTTCACAACATAAATTATGAACTTTCACGTTGTTTTCTCCATTCTTGTGTAGTCCTACACATGGCATGTACAAACATATACATAAACATGGCCAGAATATTTTTGTCTCATAAAAATGCTATCATCTTATACGTGCTTTACTATATCTTCTTTATATTTATTTATTTATTTGTTATTTGTTGGTTTGTTTTGCTCAACAACTCCGCGTAGAAATCCCTAAGTCAACTGGTATAGTTCTGTTTGCTTCTTTTTAATAATTATTCAGTATCCATGGCACAAATGTATATAGTTTACTCATTCACTCTCCTATTGATGTATATTAACTTTATTTCAGATTTTTTTCCATGCCAAACAGTGTCACAATTGATATACTTCTAAATTAATATTTATATATACTGGCACTTTTATTTTTTTTGAGATAGTTACCAGGAGTGGACATAATAGGTCAAATAATATATTTTTAAAGTTTTAACAGATTTAGCAGATTACTTTTCAAAAGTTTTTACTACTTAGAGTCTCATCAACCATTTCCCCACCGTAACATTCACCAGCACATGCATTCCCCACCATGTATACCATCCACCATGTACAATCCTAACCATATATACTCCCCACCATATATACACTCCCCATAACCTTCCCACCATAATAGTCCCCACTATAGTTGCTTCCCGCCATAGGCATTTCCTACCATGCACATTTCCCACTAGACACCATATGCATTCTCCATCATGTATGCTACCCACCATATGCATTCCCCAACATGTGTACCACCCACCATGTGCATTTTTCACCATGGTTACTATCCACCATATGCATTCTCCACCATATGAATTATCCACCATTTATGCTGCCCACCATATTCTGTACCGTGTATACTACCGACCATGTGCAATCCTAACCATATATACTCCCCAGTATATGTATTCTCCCCAGTATATGTACACTCCCCACCATATATACACTCCCCACCATATATACACTCCCCAATAACATTCCCAAGTCTTCATTATATAGGCTTCCCACCAGACATTCCCACTATACACATTCCCCACTGTCCATTTTCATTCTCAACCATATATCTTCCCCACTGTATGCATTCCTCACTATATACATTCTCCACCATCTACATTCCCCACCAAGTGCATTTTCAACTATTACATCCATTATGACATTCTTCAGCATATACCTTCCCCACCACTATTAGTGCGGAAGCATCTAGAAGATTTTGCCAGTCAAGGCTTGTCACATCTCCTTGTTAATTGGATTGTATTTATTCCTATTAGTGAATGTAAACATCTCTTCATATAAATTGCTGGTGTTTTGGATTTAATCTTATCTGAAAAGTCTCTTCATTTCATTGGTCTATTTTTCCTATTGGGATATTTGTTGCTTTCTCAATTTATGGAAATGTTATCTATATTATAGGTTTTGTTGGTCATTTGGATTGCAGCATATTTCTACACTTACCATTTTTCTTTTGATCTTGTTTTTCATAATTTTACTCCATGAAAGTTTTAAATTTTATCTAAAAATAAGTCTATCATTTAGTTTTTATAGATTTGGATACTTTGGTCATGATTAAGGTCTTCCCACCTCCTACACAAGAGTATGTTCATAGTCTCCTAGATTTTCTTGTGATTTTTTTATCTTTGCATTTACTGGATACTTAGTCTTCACATAATTTGAGCTCATTTTCCTAATTTTCCCCTCCTCCCCAATATACAATTCTAGTTGAAACAGTATGATGTACTTGTATCCATTCTATAATTTTTCAATGCTAATTATGGTAACATTACATGTATACATTTATTACTTTGAGATATAATAATTTTACCATTTCATGCTTTCCATTTGTTGAGATTTTATGTCTTTCAATAAGACTTTGTAATTTCTGTGCCTTTTGTGTTAAATTTGTTCCCAAGTACTTTGAGATTTTGATCTGCTAAGGTGAATGGAATGCACTTTTCTATTTCTACTTAAGTACCAATTTTCACAGTGAAGGAAATCTTAATTTGCATATATTTTGTTTGTCTTATATCTCGTCACTTGCTCAAAACTATTTCTAGTCAGTTTTTAAAAATAGATTCTCAGAGGATATTTGTATCCTTTTCCCATCCCACCAAACTTTATTTCTAAATTCTGACTTTCATAAATGTCTTAGGCCAGTGGCCTTCACACTGGTGTGTGCCTGTCTTTAGGAGTACGCAGAGACTGCAAAAGGGGGTGTGGGCACAGGCCACTTAAGAGACACCATCTCCAGATCTCCAGCTCCTGGATAAGTTCTTTTTAAAGCTGAACATGATGTGCAAGGTGTGCTCTTCGTCTTCTGTACTGTTAGAATCAGTTTTTCTGCAGTTGAAGAAGAAAAGCAAACCCCCAGACCGTTCTGCCTCTTTCTACACTACATCACCCCAGAGCGTCAGAACGGGAATCCAGTGTGAAATGTGGATGCAGTTAGTGAATGGCTCTTATGCAGTGTAAATCCTTCCATGAATCAGTGATTTCTGTTTCTTTGCCTTCAATGCAATTGAAGAAGAACCTAATAGAATTGTCATCTGAATTTATAATGAGAATAGTGTGTGTACTTCTGTGTCATACAGATGTCAGGTATTTATCATCTACCTTATACTTCATGTATCTTCTGGCTTTATTCAGGTATACCTTGTGATTTAAAGCGCAATCAAATGATGATGATCCTATCAACTTAGTGATTTAAAATATTTGCTCAGCAAGGGCAGGATCTGGCAATTTTGTGTATTTTGTATGATATATACTAATCAGTTTTCAAAATCACCACTCTCCTCTTTTTTGGCAGGTAACAGAAATGAATATAAGCTCTATCCTGGACTTTCCAGCTATCATGAGAGAGTTGGTAAATCAGTAAATCTATATGTTATAAATGATTCATATTCATTTTGTGATCACAAACTTCCTAATTAATCTGACAGGTTATGAAAATCTCTGGGAAGTGTTCAGCCCTTTAATTTATAGAATATTCACATTCTTTTGAGAAGTACTTCATTTAGAAAATGCTATGCTTTTGTTATCTTACTTGCCTTTAAGGTAATGAGGGTGATAGGAAGCTGACAGTCAGTGTTGTCTGTGTAGGGAGTGTGTGCTGGGGACAGCGCTGCTAAGCCCCGGATAGGAGCTAACCGTCAGTGTTATCTGTGTAGGGAGTGTGTGCTGGGGACAGGGCTGCTGAGCCCCGGGAGCCATGGCATCATCTGAGGAGCATGTGATCTCCTCCACATTTGCTGTCTGGAAGCTTTTGAATTTACAATGGAGATAAAATGAGAAAGTTTGCTAATTCTGAATTACAATTTCATCCTTATTCCATTTTCTCTGTGTTTTAGCACCATAAATTTTATATTTCTAAGAATTTTATTTTTCACATTCAAATGTTTTGTTATTACTGGAAACTACTTTATAAAACTTGTTAAGATTTACCATAGTAAAAATGGTCCTTCAATCTGTCTTACTTAAATATTCTTCAGAGGTTTCCCTGAAGAGAATTGAGCAATTATTTGCAAATGTGAGTGGTACACAAATTGAGGGCAAAGTTAAACAATCATAAAATAGCCTGTTTATTTTTTCACATTGAATACTTTCGTCATTGGAGTCACAAAGCTATATGCTGCTGGATATAAAACTGTCGGAGAATTAAACATTTCATGTAAATAAAATACCAAAAATTAGGTACTCAAGCATATTTTAAAAATTTATATCATGCAGATAAAAATATGTTGAAAAGGTCTCTTAAGCAGCATCCCCTGAAGAGAGGTCAGCATGTTCCTGATGGATTTAGGGTTGGTGACCTTTCTTTTCACCCTGGCCTCCCCTTCTGGGAGCCCACTCCAGTGTTTTTCCCAGATGTTTCTCCTCCGAGGGGGTTGAGCATCTGCTCCTAGAGTCCTGTATGGAGAGCAGGTGCGATGGTCGGGGGCTCACCTACAGAAGATGCTGTGCCATGGTCTTAGGTATGCAGAGAAAGCTCTGAGAGGTTTTAAAAATGTGTTTCACCCTTTGTGGTTCACACCCATGTTACAGGCCATGTTAAAGAGACATCAAGTTCACACCCACATTACAGGCTGATTTAAAGAGACATGAAAAGTTTGGCCTTTGGATACACATCCTGTAGAAGCAAAAGTGGTTAAGGTATAAATGTTGACACCAAGACAGCGTAAACACCTAGATTTTTATCTTACACAGCCTCTTACTTTTAAAGACTCAAGATTAGACTTAGACTTAGGTATCTGGTTGTTAAAGTGCTCCTAAACTTGACAAGGTCAGCTGACTGGCTGCACTTGCTTGGGAAGGGAGGGGATCCCTACAGAGAGACAGAGCTGAGGGAAGCTGGCTGAAAAAGAGCTGAGGCCACAGATCCCCCAAAGAATGCCTTGGTAATGTGACATTGGGAACTAGAGTTCCTTTCTCTATTAGAAACTTCCTATAAACAGCACCAAGGAAAAACGTTTCCTGATAAGAAATTAAACTCTAAGTGGGCTGTGGAGACAGAGATTCCAGTTCGAACCCCCGTACTTTCACTTACCAGCTGTGGGACCCAAAGGGAACATCACTTGCCATGGTTGGTTTCTCCGTTGCTTCTGTGTTTGTATTTGAGGACAGGACAAGGTAAATGGTAACTCAGTTACAACTGAGTTAATATTCCTTTAGCCCATTCTCCAAAGAGGTTCTTGAAGAAAAAATTAAAAGGGAAGATTTACAGTCCACTTTTTAAATAAAACTCACTTTACGTTACGGAATTTTTTTAAACGCAGCTGTGAAGGCATTAACCTCTTACCAAGGATTTCCTCATGTTTGCTTACCATCGCTGCAGAGAAAAGTCACAGTTACATGGCCCCAGGGCCCGAGCCTTAAATTGAAAACCTGATGAAGCAGGACACTGAGTCCTCCACGTGCGAGCTCCTGAATCTGTCTCAGCCCCACGGAGGGGCTGCTGGGTGTGATGATCAGCTACATCACCTGTACTTTCCTCCCACCATCTTTTGGCTTTGCCCTTTGGAAGGTCCAGCTGTGTAGTTCTTGGGCCTCTGAGAGAGACAAGGCTTGCAAATGCACAGTCCAATTTTCTGATCTTCCCTCTAGGGACTCTGGAAGGAATGGTTTCATAATCAAAAGCTTGGACCCTCCAGCGTCAGCATTCTTCCCCGTCCTCTTACCCATCCCATAGTTGTCTGGGATGGGGTTTCTCAACCTGGGCACTACACACAATTTAGGCTGGATAACACTTTGTTGTAGGGGCTATCTTGTGCCTCATAGGGTGCTTAGCAAAGGCTGTGTTCTCCTAGTTGTGACCTTCCCAAGGCTGTGATTTTTTTCCTGAAACAGTCAGGCCAGGGGTGCTGGCTGCACAGGGTCTGCCTCATGCAGGCTCCATGAGAAAGTGGACTGGAAGTGAAACAGGGACATCCACAGACCAGCCTTTCTAATCATGGGCCTCAGGGCAGCTGCCAGTCACCAATGCTGACTGTGATCTAATTCTGCTTCCTGTTTGGGAAAAATAACCCCTACTTCAACTAAACTTGAATATTATAAAGGAAATGGCCAATTCCCTCAAAGATCCTTCCGATTTTTTAAGTACATGAGTATAAGGCTGAAAGGCATATGCTGTGCAGAAGGAAAGGCATCTGTGAATGCCTAGCTTTTTAGTAACTCAGTGGGGTTTGCTTCCCGGTAACCAGGAAGGTTTTTCTTCATGGAAGGAATCATTACTTGACTCACCTTTTATTGGTGAATTCTTTGTGGGCATTAAACTTCTCCTTGTGAAAATTATCTCTAATATTTACATTAAAGAGGAACTTTAAGTCATTTGGAGTTTTTCAAAGAAAAAAACTAACAGGGCACAGCACTAACTGGCTTGTGGATTGTTATCTGAGAAAGCAGATAGGCTCCTGGATCTGCTGGCCTCACTCTTGTGATTTTCATGTGGATGGAGTTTCTCCAACAACAGCTCAACTCCTGACTCTCTTGTACTCCTCCCCAGGAGGCAGAGGCATTTGTGGTCAATTGGGTGAGGAATTGGGCACAAGGAACAGTCAACACACATCTTAGCCTCAGTAAAGGAGAAATGTGAGATCCCGGCCCCCTCAGACCTTCAGTGGTGGCCTTCCCTTCAGCTGCACCTGAAAACCACCCACGTTGCTCCTCTACCCTCCTCTCTCACTCTGCTTTATCCTCATTTCATTTGGAATCTGCAATTCAGAGAAAATTAGACCAACACCTGATTGTGAGGGCAGGGACCAAACCAGGTGTGTGATCTCGCCTTCTTTCTCTTTCTTAGTTCATAATATATTTATTTCTCTAATTATTCCTCATAAAATATATTCCTGAAACTGCTTAGAACCAATTCAGTTATCAGGGATTACCCAGAACCATAGCATCAGATGCTGTTATTTGTACAGTCTGGAAACCCAGTGAGGCAGGTCACCACATTAATCCCCCTTGAACATTTGCCTCATAAAAGTAAAATGCTCCGATAAATGTCAGTTTGGTCTGTTGAGCACAATTTCATATTTATGAGGTTGTTGAGGGTCTTGGATGACCTGGAGACAAGCTTCATTCCTGACCTTGGACAAATTACTTGTTATCTCTGAAGCTCAGTTTCAAATTCTGTGATGTGGGATAGGAGTAGCTGGCTCATTGCAGTGGGCGGTGTAAGAGGAGCACATGTGTGTGCCTGAGCAGTTCGCGGTGGCTGCTCTTCCCAGATGCACATCGATTGCTGTTATCATTGTTGTCGTCCTTATTATGCATTTTTGATTTTATAAATGAGACTGCAAGTGTATAAATGCATGGTAGCTAAGATGGCTGTGGCTCCCAGAACATTCCCTGATGTTCACAAGCACTCTTTTAATTCACTTCTTCCTATTATCTAACGTGTCTGGGAGACAAGAGGGAGGAGAACAGAGTTCCTGGAGGTTCTTCACTGATTTGTTCTGGTTAATTAAGATTCAGCTTTATATGTGGATATCCTAAATATAATCATGAATAAGAGATTTCCAGGATGGATTTTTCTTTAGCATTAGCTTGCATCCTGATCTGATGACAGGGAAGCACGGCGTGAGCGCCTGCCCGGTACCCCACCCAGGGCAGAGCACAGCTCCTTTCACAGTGCATGGCAGCGACTGCTCATTAACGTGTAGAATTTAATCGTGTACTTAGAACGTTTAACTTAACTTCTGTTGTTTCTAGACTATGTCAAAATTTTATTTTGGTGACATTCTTTTATCCTTATTCCTTAAAATTGTTAACTAAAAGTAAATATAGGACAAAATAAAATATACAGAAATTCTTTTTATTATAGAAAAAAGTAGTTATACCAGTATTATCTCTAGTGTAATTATTATTAGGATTATTTCTTTAGAACTCAACTAAATGGCACATACTTTAAAGAAAGAATGGTAGCACCATCTTGTGAGAGCTACAAATTCAGTGTTTTAGTCAGAGTAGTTTAAAGTGTTGACTATTTTTATTTCTTATGGGTGGACCAAATTCACTTTATTATTATTATTATTATTATTATTGTATTATGGGTTCAAATAGGACCTGGCTCTAGAGTCTGGTTATTGATGTTTTCTGTATGTCTGTACATCTAGTTGCCTAATTTATGCACAGAATTATATGAAGCATAGAAGCATCAGACTCCATGTAGCTGAGTGCTCAAAAACTGTTTAATTATATTTTTATGATGTTATGTGGTTTATAATATTTAATGTCCTTTATTCATGTTAACTGCTCAGTTCTCAAAGTATTTTCTTCCTTCTGCAATACATGGATATACACATTGCATTGAAGTACTTGTGAAACATGTAGAAATGCTCCTACCTGTGCTAATTCCAACTTATCTCTGATATTGAGAGGATGGATCAATTAAGCACAGAAATGTAAACAGCCACAAAGCCCAGGGAGAAGAAATGTCTGCTGAGGAAACAGCAAAATATAACTGGGCTGCAATCTTCAAGCCCAGTGAGTAAAGAGCCAGGTTTTAAAGTTGAATCTCCTAGGGTTTGATATAAGCTCACATATCTGCCTTTCTCCAGCATCTGCCATCCATGAAACTGTCACACTATCTTGGCCCCTTCCAGCTGCTGTAACAAAACACCATAGTCTGGGCAGCTCATAGACAATGGAATTTTATTTCTCACGCTTCTGGAGGCTGGATTCCAAGATCAAGGTTCCAGGAGACTCAGTGTCTGGCAAGGTCTCGGTTTCTGCCTCAGAGATGGTGCCATCTGGCTGTGTCCTCACAAGGAGGAAGGTGCAAGAAGCTCCCCTCAGGCTCTGTCTGTAAGACACTGATCCCATTCATGAGGGGGAAACGTAATGACCTAATCAGCCCCCAGAGACCCCACTTCTAACACCATCACCTTGGGGTTGAGGATTTCAACACTTGAATCTCAGGGGGACACAGACATTCAGACCACAGCAATGACTATATTAAAATAGAAAAAATGTAAGTTGTATTATCTCATAGATTATTCAAAATTTAGACGATTGTAACCAGAAGCATGTGCTAAATCCTTAGGTATAGAATGTGCAGAGAAAAATAAGTTTAATAATGTGATGAAAATTACACAGACTGTTGTGGTTTCTGCCAGCCTCCAAGACATCAGCATGCCAAGCCCTAAGTGGTTAATTTTTATCTTACCAGCAGATACCCCCAATTTCTCCCTTAAAGAACATAAACGTGAATACTTTTTTCTTGTTTCAGGCAATTTGAATCAACCCATAGAAGTGACAGCGCTGTATTCATTTGAAGGACAGCAGCCTGGGGATTTGAATTTTCAAGCTGGAGACAGAATCACAGTTATATCAAAAACAGATTCACATTTTGATTGGTGGGAAGGAAAACTTCGAGGTCAAACTGGCATTTTTCCAGCCAACTACGTAACCATGAATTAAAGCGTATACTATTTTCTTCTTTGAGAATTACAAAAAAATTATTTCTACACTGACAGGATTTACTAGTTAAGCAATGTTTAATATAAATTTTAAAAAACTTCTGTTCTACAAAATTTCCATTCCGTATGTAAAAGATTTTGTTTTTCTATATAAAAAGAGCTGACTGACATATCTTTAAATACTTTGTACTAACTTTATCACACTTACTGTGTCATAGAATATCATACAGTTTATACGCTCATAGTTCTCTTGTGAACACTTCAAACATCGCTAAGCATTTGATCTGGCCATGTATATGGTAGCTGTGTTTTAATTTGAGAATCTTGAGGGTAGAGCCACAAATTTCAATTCTTACATTTCCATTTGCAAAGTGACTAGAGAAAAAGAAATCAGCTTAAATGAGGTATTAAGTAATGTTTAGAGTCGTAGGTATTAACTAGAATATAAATCCTTAGAAATTGTCTTTATACCTTCAAAAATTATACTATGCATTTATCATAGAAATGTGATTACAAAGAAGTCTGACTACCATGTCTTTAAACATATGGCATCTCTCAACTTTTCTTCCTTATGGGGCTACATTTGTTCATTTCCAGCAGTAGCATAAACTTACGGTGACATGGTAGACTTGTCTCTAAATAAAATTTTTAAATGTTTACTAAGTTAATATTTCAATTTTGTTTTTCTTATTTTTTTTGTAAGGTAGGCAGAAGTCCTATGTCTCATATGCAGGGTGAAATCCACCTCCGTTCTGGGCTGCCTGAGCTCCTTCCTGAACTCTAGACTCCCCTCTCCAGCTATGCACTTTACAGCTCCGTTTGGACAAGGAACAACACCTCAGCCTTCACGGGCTCAAATCCAAGCTCTTCTTTCTCCTCACTTAGCCTGCCCCTCCCACAGTGTTCCTCTTCAGTAAATGGAAATTCCATCCTTGGATTTCCTTGGTCCTCAGGGTGACTTCAGAGCCAACTTTCGTTCTTCTATCTCATGCCCTCTATTAAATCCACCAGAGATTCTGTTGCCTTTCAGACACTCGCTGACCCAATATTTGCGCTCCCCCATGCCCACCCTGAAGCGAGCTGCCCGCTCAGCCCCAGCTCCCGCGTAGACTCCTTGCTTCAGCCCTGGCTTCACCCAGCAAACCCTCCTGAGAGGAGCAGGTGCACATTGCACTGTTTGTCCTGCTATTTGCTCCTCACTGCCTTACGTCATACACACACCCGTGCATTTGCCTTTTTATTGATTATACCTTCTTAAGACATGGAGAAGGAGAATGAAGACACATGTTATCTTCACCCAGAGAGAAGCAAAACAGTTATTTCCTACTTTCTAAGCCCTTTCCAATCACTGCTGTCTCAAAGGGAATCATCACCCTGAGTCTGCTGTTTTTAATTCCATAATTTTCTTTACATTTTTACTACGTATGTTTGTGTCCTTAAGCACTATATGGTATTTCCTTCCATGCATTTAAACTTACAAAATTTAAAGTTTTAAACTTATAGAAGATACAATAAATTCACTCATTTACAATGGACTTATTGTAAAGAAACTATGCTCTATACGTTCAACGAATTAAAAGGTGGAGAACTTCAGCAGAAATTTGACACTATAAGAGGGAACTAAATGAAAAACATGAGACTGAAAAGTAAAATAAACTTAAGAAGATAATAAATGGATTTAACAATCATTTAGACACAGCAGAAAAAAGAATCATTGACCTGAAAGCAGATCAGAAACATACATCCAGACTGAGAGTTGACTGAAAATACTAGAAAAACCAAAAGAAACTGGGATAAGGCAAGAAGGTACAGAAAATGAGTAGCGAAGGTTCTGGTCAAAAAGTGGAGAGAAAAATCAGGCAGATGCTCTACATGAAGATAGAATGCCAGAGCATATTCCAAAACTTTAAAAAGACGTTGAGCTACAGATTTCAGAATTACTATGAACAAACAGAATAAACACATGAACAAGCAGAATACTATGAACAAGCAGAATAAACACAAGGAGAGTCACATATGGGCACATCATTATAAAACTGCCAAAAACTGCAAAGATAAATCTAAGAAGTAGATGAGAGGTTGATTAATGGGTAAAAATGCACACTTAGAAAAAAATAAGACCAGGTGTCTTATAGATCATTAGGGTGACTACAGTTGACATTAATGGATTATACATTTCAAAACAGCTAGAAGAGAATAATTTGAATGTTCTTAGTATAAAGGAAAGATAAATATTCAAGGTGTTGAATATCCCAGTGACCCTGATTTGATTATACAAATGCATCAGATTATCACATGTATATCAAAAACATGTACATCTATTAAATATCAATTTTTAAATGTAGATGAGAACTGTTATAAATCACTAAAATGATAACAATCAAAAAATGGACCAAAGATTTCATTGATTTCACCAATGAAAATATACGGATACCAAGTAAGGACAGGAAAAGATGCCCAATTATCTTTAACAATTAAGGAAAGCAAACGGGAACTGAGAGTGAGATGTTGCCACCAACCTCTAAATGGCTAAAATGAAAACAACTGACGCTATCAAGTGTGAATGAGGATATGGAGCTCTGGAAACTCCCATGCAGTGTGGCTGGAAATGCAAAATTGCATGGTTACTTTGGTGTGGCAGTTTAACTTCTAGCCCAGAGATTTCATTCCTGGGTATTTGTCCAGGAGAAATAACAATACATGTCCACATAAAGTATTATATGATGTTCATAAGAGCTTGATTCATAATGACCCCAGACTGGAAACACTCCAAATGTCCATCATCTGTTGAGTGGATGAAAAGCATCATGTTCCATCTATACCGTGGAACACTACTCAGCATAAGGAATGGATCTTGATACATCAACAACATGGTGCATCTTCAGAGCATTTTGCTTCGTGTCGGAAGTCAGACACTGAAGACATAAATCCACTTACATAAAATTGTTGAAAAGGCAAAATTATAATAATGAAAAGCAGATAAATATTTGCCAGGCGCCAGAGGTTGAAGGAAGAGCTTGACTGCCAAGGTTGACAAGGGCACATCTTATGATGTTAAATTTAATAAATCTAAAACAAATACATAATGCATGTGGCTGTCAGTGGGCCTGTTAATATTTAGCAAGCTAAAGTATATTAGACAAACAAAGAAATATTAAAAAAACAGATTAACACACCCCTCAGCATACTGTAGATCAAGCATATAAAAACATAAATATATATACTATATAAAAATAAAAGGTATCTAATGATTTGAGACTGTACCCTGAAATTAGACTGCCTATTTATATCAAGTATCCACAGAACACTCCCAAAAGTTGACCATAATGCCACAAAGAAAACTTCTTTTATGCCATGATAAGAAATAGTATAGATAACATTTCCTGGCTCTGTACTACAAATAAGAAAATCCGTACTAGCTTGAAAACTTCAAACTCTTAGTAACTCAGGGTATATATGTGTGTGTGTGTGTGTGTGTGTGTGTAGAGTGAGTTTGTGTGTATACACACACAACACACAAAAAATCCTAATCAAATAAAATAGAAATGACTATGTTGCTTAATCCTTTTCAATTAAATTCAAAAATATAAAAAGTCAGCTTCGTAATATTAAAATTGTTTCAGAGGATAGCAAAATAATTTCCAAATACTTCAATGATCTGAGCCTACTACTAATAACAAAACACATCTCAGATTAAATCTTTTAAAAAACAAAAGTCCAATCTCATTCCTAAACATTGTTACAAAAATCCTAGCAACACAGTGACGTGATAGAGACCAGGTGTAAACTCTAGGCTTGTTCAGTATTAGGACATCTATGATCACTCATCCTCTTAAATGGTCTCACAATAAAAATAAGATCATCCCCATCTATCCTGAAGAGGCATCTGACAAAATTCAAACCCCATTTTTTTTTTTTTTTTGAGATGGAGTCTTGCTCTGTGGCCCAGGCTGGAGTGCAGTGGGGCAGAGCCACGGACGTTCACAAAGATGCCGATTAAATTTTAACAACGACTCCCCAAATGTTTCTAATATCACCAAACCACTTCCTTCCACAGATGTCTTAATTTTGTTTAAATGTGGTATTTCCTAACTGCTTCCAAGAAAGTTAAAATGAGGCCACAGGGATTTTCTGACATCTCCAACAGAGGAAAGCTGTTGTTAGCAGGAGCAGCCCGGTGCCTGTTCGCAGGGGCAGCTCAGTGCAGGCCGAGCAGCCCGGTGCCTGTTGGCAGAAGCAGCCCGGTGTCTGTTGGCAGGGGCAGCCCGGTGCCTGTTGGCAGGGGCAGCCCGGTGCCTGTTGGCAGGGGCAGCCCGGTGCCTGTTGGCAGGGGCAGCCCGGTGCCTGTTGGCAGGGGCAGCCCGGTGCCTGTTGGCAGGGGCAGCCCAGCGCAGGCCGAGCAGCTGCACTATGCGCTCTCCGAAGAGCCACTGACTTTGCACAGCAAACGTCAGATACGCTGCCTGGAAATGGGGCAGTTTTAAATCCACTGCTACAGAGAGTGTGTTGGGCGGTCCACACTTCCGAAAAGTCTGAAATGTGAATCCCGGCCTTGAGTCAGTTTCCCGCTTACTTTTGGCGTGGCGTCGTGGGCGGACCACGGGATCTGGAGCGGTCAGTCCGAGGCCCGTTCGGCTCCCGCTGCGCAAACGGGGAGATTCACGCTGCCTCAACCCCAGCCTCGTCTGTAAAGCACCCACATGCTGGGATTCCCAGGGGCCTCGGGGGGAAGGAGGCCGAGCGTCCCCGCTTTGTGCGTGCTCCTAATTCTTCCCTGGGTAACACGAACGTTTCCACGCGAGCTTGATGCCCACAGGGTGCATACCAATTTCCATGAAAAGGTAACCTGGACATTTTTTTTAAGCTAAGTTAGAAACTGACTAAATAATTCTCACATTACCTAAGGAAAAGCCTCACATTTAACGACAGAAGGTTGTCCCTTAATAAAAGCAGGTCTCACACTGCAGACCCTCCCTGCTGTCAGAGTGATCCCAAATGAAATAACTGTCGTGCCTTTTACTATGGATATAACAACTCATTTCCTGGTTAGAAAATAAAAATGAACGAATTTTACAGCACTACGGAGAAAATCCAGTCTATTCACAGCCATAAAATAAAATTGTTAACAAATATGTCACCACTAATGTGAAATGTTAAAAATAAGGGAAATTTGAGATGATGACAGAGGATATCGGGACTCCTTGTACTTGCAGCTCAGTTCTTTCTGTAAACCTGCAACTATTCAAAAAATGAAGCCTATTAATTAAAAAATATTAGCTGAAACCACCATTTGATCTTATAATTTAATCCACTTATAAATAAAATGTTTATCATTAAAGAAAAAATATAGTTTCCAC
The DNA here is from genome assembly GCF_000001405.40 of Homo sapiens. Lineage (NCBI taxonomy): Eukaryota > Metazoa > Chordata > Mammalia > Primates > Hominidae > Homo > Homo sapiens. The sequence continues at coordinate 213,454 of NC_000002.12, read as the reverse complement.
TTTCATATGACAGCAGTGGCCTCTGTTTTCAAGATTCAAACCTTCATATTTATGTCATGTAATTTAAACTTCTCAAGAAAATTACAAGTAACAGGCTGAGAATGCTCTAAGGATGACTTGCAGAGCTACCTATAGTTAGCTACTCTCTGGGGCAGAAAGTTTTAGTGGCTGGATAGAAGCTCAAACCAGCCGTAATATTCCCTTAAGCCAAAACCTAATCCAGAGCAAGATCCTAATTTTCTTCCATTCTATGAAGTGGGCAGCTGAAGAAGAAGTTTGAAGCTGGCAGAAGTTGATTCATGAGGTTTAAGGAAAGAAACCAGCTCCATAGGATAAAAGTGCAAGGAGAAGCAGCAAGTGCTGATGGAGAAGCTGTAGCAAGTTCTGCAGAAGATCCAGCTATCATTGATGAAGGTGGCTACAGTAAACAAAGAATTTCCATGTAGATGAAACAGGCTTCTATTGGAAAGAAGATGCCATCTAGGACTTTCATAGCTGGAGAAGAGAAGTCAATGCCTGGCTTCAAAGCTTCAAAGGACAGGCTGACTCTCTTATTAGGGGCTAGTGCAGCTGGTGACATTTTGTTAAAGTCAATACCCACTTGCTATTCCCCAAATCCCAGAGTCCTTAAGAATTGTGCTAAATGCACTCTGCCTGTGCTCTGTAAATGGAACAACAAAGCCTGGATAACAGCACATCTGTTTATGGCATGGTTTATTGAATATTTTAAGCCTAATGTTGAGATCTACTGCTTGGGGGAAAAAATCCTTCCAAAATATTGCTCATTGACAACACTGATGGTGATGTACAAGAAGATAAATGTTGTTCTCATGTCTGCTAACACAACATCCACTCTGCAGCCCATGGATCAAGGAGTAATTATGACTTTTTAGTCTTATTATTTACGAAATGTATTTCATTAGGCTACATCTGCCATAGATAGTGATTCCTCTGATGGATCTGGGCAAGTCAATTGAAAACCTTCTGGAAAGGATTCACTCTTCTAGATGCCATTCAGAACATTCATGACTCATGGGAAGAGGTCACAATATCAACATGAACAGAAGTTTGGGAGCAGTTTTGGGAATAGTTGCTGTGCAGGTTGTTTGTGGTGAAACATGAAGAGAGGGGAGGGGAAGCTCTGATGTGAGGGTGGAGCAGCACCTCCCGACCTTGAGAAGAGTCTGCCTGAAAGTCAGGGGAAGAGCTGGAAGGAACCTCTTAGTGCCAAGGGGAGTGACCCAAGAGAGAGGAAGCAGTTTCCCATGTCAAAAAAGACATCAGAAATAGCACCAAGTGTAGGCACCAAAGTCCCAAGAGGATGGAAAACAGGCGGCACTGATGGAGGCGGATCTGGAGGAAGATGTGGGAATTCCATGAATTTAGAAGTGGGGTCCTTGGCTGAGCCTGAGACGGAGGCAGCTGGGAGAAAACCCTCTGTAGAAGTGTGTGGAGCAGGTCAGAATCTGTGTACCACCTTTGTGTTTACATTCAGATTAGTTCCTTAAAAGAAATCTTAGTGGGAAGTCAGCAGGTGAAACCACACAACTTTTAAAGCTTTCACTATAATCTCAAGAAAGCATTTTCATTTTATGTTCAGCAATTGAAAAACATGTAGGACTTTGAAAGGTATAAGACTGGTTAGAAATCATATTGATTACCTATTTTAGTGCCCCTTGTATATAACAATAAATTATAAAAATAACCCAAGTTACTATGGAAAAGTGTTTGCTGTAGACCAGGTAGTCTGGACGTAAACCCTGCTTGTGCCAAGGATCAGTTGGGTGACTTCAGCCAACATAACATATCTGAGCTCACCTTCCTCAATTTAAAAACAGGGGCCCTAAGAAGTGCCTCCGGGTACTGTGGTGATGATTAAATATGATCAAATATGTGCAATGCTTGACACAGGAAAGTTTACATATTAAGATGAAGAAAAATAATAATTTGGAAAGATGGTATTATATGTTACAGAATTTTAAAAATCAGAATTCCAAATATGTCAAAATGATTTATTTTTAAAATGTACATATAACAGAAAGAATGGAAAGCATGAACTCAAACTGCTAAAAGGGTTAGAGCTAGTTAATGTGTATGGTATTAATCAACTATAACTGAATATTTATTAATAAAAATAGTTATTAAAAATAGAAATCTGTTTGACAAGTCACCCACGAACAAACAGGGGACCAGGTCTCCTATCCAGGATCCTATGAAGGAGAGAAGAAAACAGATTTGCTGGTCACAGAGTGCCCGAGGGGCTGATGGCAGTGAGGCTGGCATATCCTTGCTGTCTTAGTTCTGCACAGGTGGTCCTGGGAGACGGACCACACGGCTGGGGACGGCACAGCAGCAGCCCTGACCCAAATCTGTCAAATGCTCTGCCCCACTGGCAGCTCAGATGGATTCCTTTAGCATCTCCTCAGGATTCCAGGTCTAATGCTCAAAACAGTCTTGAAGTTCCACAGAAAGGGCGACACCTTGTCCTCTGAGTCAGGGGCTGCCTCACTCACAAGGCATCTGATGAGTTAGTTAGCAGATGAAGGGGAAGGTGGAGCAGGAGGGAGCGGAGGCCTGGCTGACGTGGAGTGCAGAGCTGCCTCCAGAGCACTCTCACCTGTCATCTGGGACATCATCAATTACAAGTCCCACTGCCTGCATTCCTCTTGCCCAGTGTGCATGTGTGCAGGGATCCAGCTCCACCACAGAGACCTGTCTAAACAGAGCTGCCTCCAGCTCAGAACGTAAACACCTGCTGGTGGTCCCTGTTCTGTGGGCTGTCACTACTGTCCCACGTAGACTGGGAGGGCTGGATGGGGGGAGATGAAGCCTCATCTTTAGGGGCAGAGCTCTGGGAGTGGGGTGCTCATTGGCTTTTGAGGAAACGACCCTGCTCTCAGGACAGAAGATCTAGAAACTTGGAATGCTTCCAGATTTGTCCGTTAGAAGAGCCAGTACAAAATGTTAGCTGTGTATCTCAGAGGGAAACTGAGGAAACAGAAATGCATGTTAGTGAATTGAGAACAAGTTAGGAACAAATAGAAGACACTATGAGATTATGCTCTGTCCTCACACCCTAAAGGCTAATGCCAGATTTGCACCCTGGGAGGTGAGTGTATGTGAGAAATGAGGGCACAGTCCTGCACTGAGTGTGGGGAGGGCCCTGGCCTGGTCACTCCCTACTCCTGGGCTGTTCTGACCTGCTGCACCCCTCCCAGGCACACGGGCACAGATAATCCTTGTGAAATGAGAGAGAAGTGTACTTTAATAAGTCTGCCATTGCAAATAGTAGTAAGTAATAGAAGACATGAAGATATTGGACTAAACATATCAGAAATTTCTTTTTCTTGTATAACAAGAAGTAGGGAGATACAAAACCCAAAGCTGGGAGGCTGGCACAGATGGAGCAGAAACCCAGGCATATTCCAACTTTCTGCCCTACCTTTTGGAATTTGTCCTCATCCATCCACCCATCTCTCAGCAGATATCCCATTAGTATCAACTGCGCCAAGCCCTGTTTTGGGTGCTGGGAATACAGAAGTGAACAAAGGAGACAACGACATGTTATTGCAGAGCTTAATACACAACAAACAAAAGTCTGATTACAGCATATCAAGATCTGAGAAGTGCTCTGGAGAAACATAAATTGGAGGGGGAGGAAGATGTGTGGAGGGAGGCTTGCTGTTTAAAATGGGGTCATCAGGAGACATCTCAAGCAGCAGGAGCCCACCCTCAGGCCACTCTGCAGTGCAGGGATCAGCTGAGCCTTCCCTGCCCTGTGCCTGGGGCAGGGAGGGGCAGGGAGGGGCAGAGAGGTAAGAGGGGAGAGGAAGGGAGAGCACGTGAGGCGGCTGGAGGGCTCTGAGTGTTACTCCAAATGAGCTACAACTGTTGAGGTTTTGAGCTGAGAAGTGTTGCTGTCTGATTTATCTTTCAGGAGGCTCTTCCTGGCTGCAGTGATGAAAATCAGCTGTAAGAAGAAAGGATGGAGATGGTGAGAATTGACTGGATTCTATGCATCTTCCCACTTTCTCTCTTTTATTCCTTTTAAACTCTGATTAAACATTTATGATGCCCTCTCACTTTGACCATCATAATCTTCACACTCTTTTATATCTTCTGTCTTTTTGTCTCATGGGACTATATTCTGGATTTATTTAGATGTATCTTCCCGTTTTCTGATTCACCTTCAAGTGTCTCTAATTTGCTTTTTAATATTCATTGGGTTTTAAATGTCAGTTATTACAGCTTTTATTTGTGAAAGTTCTAGTGTCTTTTTCAAATATTATCCCTTTATTGTCTCTTGTTCTTGCTATATTTTCAGTTATTTTCTGTTATTTCTGTAGCCATATCAAACACAATCATTTTGTATTTCATGTCTGGTAACCCCATCCTGCGCCCTTGAGAGCCTGAATGTTTCTTTGCTGTTTCTCTCTCCTGGTGACTTGCTTCTTTATTTGTTGTCATTTTTATAGGAAACTGATCAATTTCCTCAGTACTATAATTATATCTGGGCTTAATGTTGCAGATTTCCAGATGAAACTTGTTTCTGCCGGTTGCTTTGGGGCTCAAGTAACCCAGAACTGCTTCATGTTGGGGCATCTAATTGGGTTTTGGACCACGAGTCTGTGTGTGTGACCTATGCCAGCACTGATGTAGGACAATTTCCAATTTTTTCTTTTGTGTGTAGAGTTTATTTCTTTTTATTCTTACACAGAGTGCATGGCCTTTGGAGTCTCAGATTATTTGGGGATCTCTGATTCATCTTCCCACCTTACACAGCCCTTGACTTCTTCTCCTGAATTTTGTATCCAGTGCAGCCTTCAGAGTCCAGTCTGCAATCTGCACCCAATCTGGGTTAGGCATTACCTTACAGGATTCCTGCCTTCACTTTGTTTTTGCTCTCTGCATTCCTATTTTTTGTGCCAGCTCAGCATTGCTTTTAAAAATATCTATTTCCTCCTGTACTTTAATGGACATGGTTACTAAAAGTATAAAATCTGGCTTACTGTTGGAAACAGTCTTTTTAACTCTTAGTTCAAGCTGCTACAGCAAAGTGCCATAGACTAGGTGGCTTGTAAACAATAGATACGCATTTCTCACAGTTGTGGAGGCTGGAGGTCCAAGATCAAGGTGCCAGCATGGTCGTGTTCTGATGAGCACCTGTTCTGGGTTGCAGGTGGTGCCTTCCTGCTGTTCCCTCACGTGGTGTAAGGTGTGAGGTATCTCTGGGGCCTCTTTTATAAGGGCTCTAATCTCATCCATGGGGCTCCCCTCCAGACCTCGTCACCTCCTCAACACCCCTCCTAACCCCGTCAAACTGGGGAGTAGATTTCAACTTAGGAGTTTGGGGGAAGACAAACATTCAGCTCACAACAGACCCTTTATTTAAGTTTTGTTAGTTTGCTTTGTTTTCATTTTCTGTTTTCTAAGGGGTTCCTTGCAATGGCTCTTCATGGGGCTGCATCTGTGTTTGCTACCCTTTTGGAGATAAGTCTGCTTTTCTATTTATTTTCTGACTTCTATCAGTTCATGGTCATTGTCTTCTGGTGTCTCATCATCTCTCCCTTGAAATGTTGCGTTCTGGATTTGTGATCTTCCTTTATAGTAGTAATGGCTGCATTAATTTTTGTGGTTGATGAAATATTTAACTGCATTATTTATTTTGTGGAAACAATTTTGGATGTTACTTAGTTCTACAACTTTCCTTCATTTCTTCCTCCCTCCCTCTCTCCCTCCCTTCCTCCCTCCCTTCCTCCCTCCCTTCCTTCCTCCCTTCCTCCCTCCCTTCCTCCCTCCCTCCCTCCCTCCCTCCCTCCTTTCCTCCCTCCCTTCCTCCCTCCCTTCCTCCCTCCCTCCCTTCCTTCCTCCCTCCCTCCCTCCCTCCCTTCCTCCCTCCCTCCCTTCCTTCCTCCCTCCCTCCCTTCCTCCCTCCCTCCCTCCCTCCCTCCCTTCCTTCCTCCCTTCCTTCCTCCCTTCCTCCCTCCCTTCCTCCCTCCCTCCCTCCCTCCCTCCCTCCTTTCCTCCCTCCCTTCCTCCCTCCCTTCCTCCCTCCCTCCCTTCCTTCCTCCCTCCCTTCCTCCCTCCCTTCCTCCCTCCCTCCCTTCCTTCCTCCCTCCCTCCCTTCCTCCCTCCCTCCCTCCCTCCCTCCCTTCCTTCCTCCCTTCCTTCCTCCCTTCCTCCCTCCCTTCCTCCCTCCCTTCCTCCCTTCCTCCCTCCCTCCCTCCCTCCCTCCCTTCCTCCCTCCCTCCCTTCCTCCCTCCCTCCCTCCCTCCCTCCCTCCCTCCCTCCCTCCCTTCCTCCCTCCCTCCCTTCCTCCCTCCCTCCCTCCCTTCCTCCCTCCCTTCCTCCCTCCCTTCCTCCCTCCCTCCCTTCCTCCCTTCCTCCCTCCCTTCCTCCCTCCCTTCCTCCCTCCCTTCCTCCCTCCCTTCCTCCCTTCCTTCCTACCTTCCTCCCTTCCCCCCCCACCCCAGTTTCCCTCTCTTTCCCATGCAAGGGATGTGGTTTGGCCCTCAGCATGCGGCACCCTCACGGCCCTGGGTCTCTGGTCACTGGGGTTTCTCTGGTTTCTGATTCTTCCCACACAGCTCGTGCCTGACCTCAACTGGGTCTGACAGTCCTTAGAATTCATGTGTAGTCTGAGGATTATATTAACACCTGTTCCTTGTTTTGCTGATAATGGGGTTTTTAAGTTTTACACTTAAAAAACTGTATTATCATGGTGGCTTTTCAGTGATTTCTGGGAATAGCGAAGAGAATGCCAACTTCTTCAGCAACGTTCATTCTGCAAGTCTACATTGATCTGTTCAAATTTTAACATGGCGACATTTTTGTGTGACTTAGAAAACATATACAACTGTCACATCAAACCCATTGTTTCCTGAATAGAGTTAGTTAGAGTAAGATAAAACCTAGTAATTTTAATTGTATTTTATGTACATTATACAAACTATAAGCAAGTACATTTAAGAATACATGTGAATATTTCAAAACTTCAGCAACTGAATTGGCTGCTACATATGTTTCGAATTTGGGGTAATGTGAATGAAATAAATTAAAAATGTATATTTTCCAAGATTCAGTTCCGTGCCCACAATTGAGATCTACACTATAATATGTGGAACATCAAATCTGGATGTGGACGGTTTTTATTATAAATATTCAAGTTGTTTCACAATAAAAATCTCCTTACCGTTGCTACATAGAGATACCTTTGCCATTGAAATTATGCTGAATTTTTCGTATGACAGTGAAAATTGCCAATTATGTTTAAGGACAGAGTACTGCATTCTCAGTTTTATAGAAAGTCACATGAAACATTTGAAATTGGGACTCTGTAAATTTTTTTTCAGAACAGGTGGTGGAGTGACGGAAAACAAACCTAGTTGTGCTCTTTCTGTACATGGTGAAATAACACCCAGCAAGAGAACAGCATATTGCTCATGAAGGCTTTTGGAAACAAAAGTATCTTGAAAAAAATAGTTACTTTCTTAATTTTGTCAAGAAATTAGCATGAGAAAATAGTGAAATAATTGTGATTTTTCAAATATAGGAGGTGGTATTTGGAGAAGGGCTTAGCATAAAAAACCAAAACACTAACTTGTCTTCTGAAATGGAAACAAATTTATCCTCATCCTAGCCTAAATGACATCTACTCAAATACCCATTTGTTGCTAACTCGTTATAAATCTCCATTTTTTAATCATTCAGAAACTATCTTTAAAGTTTCATTTTGTAAAATCCAACATGTATATTAAGGTATGTTCCATTCTTCTGTCAGTGAAAAGAGTCAAACTCTAAAATATTTTAAGAGATTTATCCTGAGCCAAGTAAGTGACCAATGGCCTGTAACACAGCCCACAGGAGATCCTGAGAACTTGCACCCATGGTGGTCAGGCTACAACTTGGTTTTATACATTTTAGGGAGACGTGAGATGTCAGTCGATACATGTGAGATGTACATTGGTTCGGTCCAGAAGGGTGGGACAACTAGAAGCGGGGGCTTCCAGATTACAGGTAGATTAAAAGATTTTCTGACTGGCAATTCATTGAAATAATTAAGCTATTATCTAAAGACTTAGAATCAATAGAAAGGAATGTCTGGGTTAAGATAACGGGTTGTGGAGACCAAGGTTTTATCATGCAGATGATAAAACCAGTAGCAGGCTTCAGAGAGAATAGATTGTAAAGGTTTTTAATCAGACTTAAGATCTGTGTTGATGTTAATGCTGGTCAGCTTTTCCTGAATTCCAAAAGGGAGGAGAGCATAATGAAGCATGTCTGACTCCCACCTTCCCATGATGGCCTGAACTAGTTTTCCAGGTTAACTTTGGAATGCCTTTTACCGAGAGAAAGGGTTCCTTCAGATGGTTGGGGGCCTTATAATTTTATTTTTGGTTTACACTTCTATTTATTTTTTTAAAATGACACATGTAAGCCCCCAGTTACATGTAAATATTTTAGTTAGTTTTTATTTATTTCAAATTATACCAATATTTCATTTAAGTTACCAATATAAGATAAGATTTCCTTTTGAAAAAGATGAAGAGAATGTGATTTTCTCATATGGAAAAAATGTGAAATTATACATGAATGACTGATGTTTGAAAAGCAGCACTATAAGAGAGCTTGGCACCTGTTTTTAAGAAAATATGCCAAATATCTGTGATTCATGAGATTCTTAAAGCCAGCATTATGGAAGAGAAATGCTAATACAGGCAGTAGAAGAATTGTTTTAGACAATTCTGTAAAAATTGACATAGAACAATTTGAAAGTCAAGTTCTGTGGTTTGAGCTTTTATAAGCTATAAAATAAATGATGCTATGTCTAAAATTAATGAAACATGTTACTGATTGAATTTCACTTATATTAAATTTGGGGGGCTTATAAAATAAGCATGATCTGAGAAATGCATTGCTACTGATTCTATTCTAATGTGTATTAGTTTGTTCTTGCACTGCTATAAACATCTGAGACTGGTAATTTATAAAGAAAAGAGAGTTAATTGGCTCACAGTTCCACAGGCTGTACAGGAAGCATAGCTGGGGAGGCCTCAGGAAACTTACAATCATGGTGGAAGGCAAAGGGGAAGCAGGCACATCCTCACATGGCCGGAGCAGGAGGAAGAGATAGAAGGGGAAGGTGCTACATGCTTTTAAGCAACCAGATCTTGTGATAACTCACTCACTATCACGAGACAGCAAGGGAGAAATCTGTGCCCATGAGCCAGTCACCTCCCACCAGGTCCCTCCTCCAACACTGAGGATAACAACTGGACATGAAAGTTGGGTGGGGACACAGATTCCAACATATCAAATGCTATAAAAGGTTAGAATAATATTTGGTCCTTCAGGGATTACTCTTGCTCTAGATTTTCATTAGCATGTTGGGTTTCAACATGCTAAAGTCCTGATTATCATATTTTTAGATTAGGCAAATTTGTCAGGGATTATAGTTATGTAAAATGGCAATTCTAAATGTCTCTATAAATTAAAACAAAGGCACAGATCTAATATAATTCAATCAGAATAGACAAGTCAGCATTTCCCCTCCCCACAACCCACTGCCCAAATTGAATACATACAAGTGAGAAAGGAATCTTTTAAAATAGCAAAATGTAGGGCTTTGAGGATTTCCGTGCCCTAACTCATGGCGAATCTTCAGTGAAATATCCATCTTAGGTCGGGGAAGGGTCATTGTGCTGTCTGGGGATTCCCAAAATGGCAGAGTAAGAAGTTCGGCCAATCCCTGCTTCAGAAAGCAATGCAAAAGCTTGACAGAAGTGCCAAAAACAACCATTTCAGAACTCTGACAATTAACCGAAGGCATGCGGCAAGCTGACAGGAGGCTGCACAGAAAAGCCCATGCCTGGTGCATGGCAGGGTCACAGCTGCTGAGGCTGAGATTCCGGGTAGCCTGACAATAGACAAGATGAAAATTTGGAAGTGAACTCTGGGGAGTGAAACAGAACTTTGATAACCTCCCACATTGTCCCTGGCGCTCTGGGAGGCTCTCGTGTGCACGGAGCTGAGCAGGAGGAAACTCAAATTCACAAAACATGAGAAGCTGGCTCACCTGGCACGCCTGACCCTGGACCCAGAATTGTATCCTTCATGTCTCCCTAGGAATGTGAAGCTACTGCACACTGTTCACAGAGATCCTCAATTGTGAAATTACTAATGAAACATCCAGGGAATAGTAAGAAAAAAAAGACCAATACAAGTGAATTTCTTTATATAGCAGTAATGACCAAACGTAGTGGGTGCGTTAGGCATTTCTGGAAACAGCTGGGAGGCTATGATGGTGTCTGGCTGTGTGTCTCGAGTGACGCAGGGCTGTCTGCTACAGTCTGGTCTTGGCTGCAGTGTTTGGGAAGTGCCTCCACATCACACCAGGACCTCATGCACATCTAAGGTGCTGTGACTGTGACATGCAGCTGCAAAGAATGATTTGCCTCTACAGTCACCTGCAGTCCTTGGAGAGCCGCTGCATCGGTCCATTCTCACCCTGCTACGAAGAGCTACCTGATACCGGGTAGTCTATGAAGAAACAGGTTGTAAAGGAAGCATGGTAGGGGAGGCCTCAGGGAACTTATAATCATTGCAGAAGGAAGGGGAAGCTGCACCTTCTTCACATGGCGAAGAGGGAGAGAGGGAGAGAGCAACGGGGAAGGTGCTGCGTACTTTCAAACAACCGCATTTCCTGAGAGCTCTATCACGAGAACAGCGAGGGGGAAATTCACCCCATGGTTCAGTCACTTCCCACCAGGACCCTCCTCCAACTCTAGGGATTACAATTTGACACGAGATTTGAGCAGGAACACAGAACCAAGCCATGTCAGCCACCTTGTAAATAAAAGATAGGTTTAACCATATCAAAGAACATAAAAGCAACAAAATGAGAGCAAAAACCATGCCAGACACCTGTTTTACAGAATGCATATCACACCCACAGCAGGCAGGAGGAAAAGGACTGGCCTGGTGACCCTGACAGCGATTTGATGGGATAACAAAAGGCTAAAGCAAAACAAATTTGTAAAATGTACACGAGCCCTATATTCTAGTTAGTAAAAATAACAAAAAGTACACCATCGCACTTGAATTTTGTGTATAAGTCACTTTTTGAAATGCGTATATTTAAAGTGTTGCTTGAAAATTCCTTTAAGGCCTGAGTCCATGGCACTTGGCATCCAGAGGGGCCCAGGGCATTCACAGCACACAGGACTAAGCTCGCAGAGCTTGGCTGGGCCACTGTTGTGTTTGGCTTTTCTGTGTGTTTTTGCATGAGCGTTTACATTATTTCATAATTGTGTTTTTGTTATCACAGCAGTGAAAACAAAGCTGTCTTCAGACTCAAGTTCTTGTGGGACTAAATCAGCAAAGGACAGAAGGTGGAAACTGAGGAAGATGTTGCTGGAGGCGGGGCCCTTCCAGTGGAGTTAGCCAGGGTCACCTGCGGAGCCCTGCAGGTCCCAGGCTGCTGTGCTCATGTACTGAATAGTATTTCTGGGAAGGCTACCCAGACTTTGATGCAGCTTTCAAACAAAAAGTTAACAGTCTTGAGTGGCTTCTCTGTTTTCTCAGTGCACCTGTTCCTCGATCAGGTAGTGCTGCTGGCTCAGGCCCCGACTGCCTCTGGTTCCACACAAGAAAGCTGGCATTCCTCTTGAGTGAAGTCCCAAGTGCAGACAAATTTAGTAGCAAACAGACTGATCTCAAAAACTCCTACTGGTCACAGAATAATGACTTGTTTGAATTAAGAAGAAATGATTCAAGAACTCAGTTAAAAGCAATAATAATTTTATATAATGATTTTACATGAGTTTAAAATGGTGAACCTTTTTCTTTAACCTTTAAAAATATCCATGCTTTCATTTAAGTCAAATAATAAACATATTACACGTGTGCTTCAGGCCTCCTGGTTTACCTGGTACTTTCCACACCATTCTCTCACTTAATCCTCCATGAACATCCATACATAACCTGGATGTTCATTTGCTCTCACTTTATCCTTGCAAAACCATCTGGAATTTCTCCCCTGGTGCTTCCAAGGAGATCATAATTATAACGTAGATCCTGGAAAAGACACCTCCCAACGAGGTGACATTTGTGACCCCTTGGATCAAGGTCAGCCCTTACAGTATGCTATTTAAGTACTGAAACACAGTTTCCTGCAAAACCTTCCAAGTCAATATACACATCTGTTGCTTCAAATCATTTAAACCGCCCTGTAAATGTAGCCAAATGTCCTGTTTTAGTGGGCTCTGGCTTGCCCCCAGCAGGGGTGGCTGCAGTAGTTAGTTGGGGTCCCCTTGGTCCAGGTTTTTAATTTGCAGCAGTATTGGAAGGGTTATTTAATATAGGAGTTTTAAATACTATAGACAGCAGAATGAGGACGGTGTTATTGTGCAAATATTACTGGTGAAGAAACTTGGTTAATTCCCACCATCACACCCCTAGGAAGTGACAGAATCACAGCTCTAAACAGGTGGGTGTTCTGCTTCCAAACCCAGGGCTCTCGGATCAGCCATGAGAACATGAGGAGTTCAGCTCTTCCCAGCCATGACTCCCAATCACCTACCCGCAGGGGCCTTTGATAATAATCCTCCAAGTCCTGAGCGTGAAGTAATTTCTATATTTGCACATGAATTTTAGGTCAAGTGGTATAATAGGATTCGCAGGGTGGTCAAACGCCAGAGCTGGAGCTCGGCTGTCGGGGCTGGACCCTGGATCTGCTGCTACCAGCTCCCTGACCTTGTCTGAGTGGCTGCCGTCTTTGAATTTCAGGTTTCTCAAATGTCTAATGGCATAAAACAAGATAATGCATAGAGGTGGTCTTGTGGGGTGCTGGGCCCATAGTGAATGCTCCCTATGCATCATTGAAGGCGATTCTTACTACTCTTGTCACGTAACACTTCAAACTTGCACTGGTGGTTTGCATGCAATTGACATGTAAAAGCACATCTGATTGCTTGGATCGTAGCTGAAGTCAAGTCCTGGTGCTTTTTTTGGCCTTTGCCGCTGTCTAGCATGGTCCTCAGTAGATGTTTGCATTATGGAATATGAAACCAGGAGCCCACTGAGTGTCCTACAGGCTGTTAGTTCCGGAGTTGCTGTACCAGGTGATTTCTTGGATACTTCTTGGTTCTAACTTCAGTTTCATGTTTATTGAAGACTGGCCAGACACTTAGTCCTTTAAAGCTGCTCCACTCAATCTGAACCTACCTTTAACGCACTGTATTTCCCATGCCTGCCTCCACTCTGTATCTCCCACCAGATAGCAATCAACTCCCTGAAAAGACAAAAACTGTGTCACGGTGTCTTCAGAGCTGAGCCTGCTAACTGGTGTGTCGTAAGCACTAAAATACACTTTTATTGAATAAATGCCGTTGACAAATGGAAGTTAGGTAAGCCTTCTAATTCCCATTTTGTTTCACCTATGTATATATTAAGACCACTGTATATTAAAAGTCTAATACAAAAATCTACTATGTTAAATGATAATATAATAATCTATTCCATCAATATAAGTACCATATTTATTGAATACCTACTGTTTGCCAGTCAAGGCTATGCCAATGAAGCAGAGAATTAAAAAGATAAACCGCTGCCTTGTGCAGTGGTGTGCGGACTGTCGAGGAGACGGACAGAAGCAGTGGTTACCGTGCTGGCGTGAGCCAGAAGTTTCCTGCCCTCTTGTCACTTCTGGGGTCTAGAAAAGTAGCACAAAAATGCATTATGCAAATGCAATATTTGGTGAAACTCACTAGGTGACATTATACTAAGAAATAAAACCAAAGCTCATCTTGGTTTCAGTTAGGCCTCAGCCCCGCTGAAGTCTCGCCGGTATTTTTCTGCCCTGGATACAGTGGAGACAGGCTTCAGCCACCTCACAAGCTTGCTGGACAACGGGCTTTTCTTCCTCTGTCTTCTTCAGGACTGTGAGTGCCTGACGGGCAGGAGCTGCACCCGTCACCTTGCTGTCCTCGCTGTTACCACAGGGCCACATCAGTGAACACAGGCTCTACTGAGGCGGCAGCCTCCCCGTAGCTTGTATTCTTGCAAAGAAGTTGAAAACCAAATCAATGCAGTCACAAGACACAGATACATATGGATGCAAATTTGCTGAACTCAGGAACGACCACCAGATTGGCAGGGCTAATTCACCCTCAGTGTTTTGTATTTTTTCCCTAATTATTCTAAAATGATCCTGTTGCTTTATTCCCACAGAACAAGCACTGGCAGACGAGGAACACTATCCCCAGCAGGCCTCGGCTGCCGGCAACGCACCCCTGCCCTCAGAAAGACAGCCTTGCTCTGAATTTATTTTCATAATTACATGAACGTTATCTAAAAAAAACAAAGGACGTGGGAAAGAATAAAGCTTAAAATAAACTTTAAGCTGTGGGAATGCAGGGGGCCAGGCTGGAGAACAGAGAAAGCCAGAGTGAGCTCAGTGTCTCTGTGCTGATCTACTTGGCCAGCAAGAAGGCTGCATACAACAGAGATCTGTGTCCACCAGCCAGAAGTTCAGGACTCAGACACACAATATGCTGACTTTATTCTAGAGCTAATTCATTCCAAAGTATGAGAAACATAGAGAAAAGCCAGCAACTGTTAGCCACACAGGTAGTAACGTTTCTTTCTTAAAGACTAGAGTTATATTTCTTCTATTGTGGTACAACCTCATTGTTTTTACGGCCATATTATCATTTTATTCAGGAATGTTGAAATGCTCTGAAATATCACTTAGTCATTAAAATGTTGATTACTACAACTAAATGACAACATAGAAAAGTGCTTATGATATATCATTTAGAGAAAATTTAGGATACACGACCTTACAAGCACTATGACAGGAGCTGAGTAAAAGTAGACTACGTCAAGAGGCCGGAAAGGAAGACAGAAGGGAAAAGGCCCCGCGCGTCTCCGTGTCAACAGGCCGGAAAGGCAGACAGAAGGGAAAAGGCCCCGCGCGTCTCCACGTCAACAGGCCGGAAAGGCAGACAGAAGGGAAAAGGCCCCGCGCGTCTCCACGTCAACAGGCCGGAAAGGCAGACAGAAGGGAAAAGGCCCCGCGCGTCTCCACGTCAACAGGCCGGAAAGGCAGACAGAAGGGAAAAGGCCCCGCGCGTCTCCACGTCAACAGGCCGGAAAGGCAGACAGAAGGGAAAAGGCCCCGCGCGTCTCCACGTCAACAGGCCGGAAAGGCAGACAGAAGGGAAAAGGCCCCGCGCGTCTCCACGTCAACAGGCCGGAAAGGCAGACAGAAGGGAAAACGCCCCGCGCGTCTCCACGTCAACAGGCCGGAAAGGCAGACAGAAGGGAAAACGCCCCGCGCGTCTCCACGTCAACAGGCCGGAAAGGCAGACAGAAGGGAAAAGGCCCCGCGCGTCTCCACGTCAACAGGCCGGAAAGGCAGACAGAAGGGAAAAGGCCCCGCGCGTCTCCACGTCAACAGGCCGGAAAGGCAGACAGAAGGGAAAAGGCCCCGCGCGTCTCCACGTCAACAGGCCGGAAAGGCAGACAGAAGGGAAAAGGCCCCGCGCGTCTCCACGTCAACAGGCCGGAAAGGCAGACAGAAGGGAAAAGGCCCCGCGCGTCTCCACGTCAACAGGCCGGAAAGGCAGACAGAAGGGAAAACGCCCCGCGCGTCTCCACGTCAACAGGCCGGAAAGGCAGACAGAAGGGAAAAGGCCCCGCGCGTCTCCACGTCAACAGGCCGGAAAGGCAGACAGAAGGGAAAAGGCCCCGCGCGTCTCCACGTCAACAGGCCGGAAAGGCAGACAGAAGGGAAAAGGCCCCGCGCGTTTCCACGTCAACAGGCCGGAAAGGCAGACAGAAGGGAAAAGGCTCCGCGCGTTTCCATGTCAACAGGCCGGAAAGGAAGACAGAAGGGAAAACGCTCCGCGTGTTTCCATGTCAAGAGGCCGGAAAGGCAGACAGAAGGGAAAAGGCCCCGCGCGTTTCTGTGTCCAGAGGCCGGAAAGGCAGACAGAAGGGAAAAGGCCCTGCGCGTTTCTGTGTTCTGTTACGGGGCTGGGGTGTGCAGTCAGGGTTTTCCTTTCCAACACTTTATATCATGGCTTATTTTCTTAATATTAGTAAAAACACATTAAAAATGAGTTCAAGTAGAAATTAATAGAGTAAGAATACATAACCTGGATGTTCATTTGCTCTCACTTTATCCTTGCAAAACCATCTGGAATTTCTCCCCTGGTGCTTCCAAGGAGATCATAATTATAACGTAGATCCTGGAAAAGACACCTCCCAACGAGGTGACATTTGTGACCCCTTGGATCAAGGTCAGCCCTTACAGTATGCTATTTAAGTACTGAAACACAGTTTCCTGCAAAACCTTCCAAGTCAATATACACATCTGTTGCTTCAAATCATTTAAACAGCCCTGTAAATGTAGCCAAATGTCCTGTTTTAGTGGGCTCTGGCTTGCCCCCAGCAGGGGTGGCTGCAGTAGTTAGTTGAGGTCCACTTGGTCCAGGTTTTTAATTTGTAGCAGTATTGGAAGGGTTATTTAATATAGGAGTTTTAAAGCTATAAAATATATAGCCAAGAAAGACTGAGTTTTGATGTATGCATACAATCCCAAACTCCTTAATACTAAAAATCAAGAGACTAAAACCCTTAAGCTTCTGTTCCCAGGAGATTATAATGGTTTCACAAAAGCTCCCATGTTTCTGTTTAGACCCTGAGAAGGGCTCTTTCCACCAGAGAAGACAGAGGTCCTTGGCCCCACCTCTGAGGTGGGCACAGCCTCACCCAGCCCAGATGGCTCTCACGGCCAGGGCCAAGACACGTCCTGGCTGAAGGCCACCGTACACAGCAGCAGGGCCCCTGAAATATGAACTCAACAAAATTGTAGCATAGAGAACTCCGTAACAGTTAAACTCTGGACACCAAATGAAATCCACCAGGGACAAAAATCTGTTTCAGTAACTACTGCCAACATCGGACTTTCCCCTGCCCTGTGATGGGGAAAAGAGGGCAAGTTAAGAGCCACCCTCCCACAACTTTGAGCTCCAGCAGCCACTGAAAAGAACCACCTTCCCCACATGACACAGACAAGACTCACCAGTGACAGGGCCAGAATCAGACCCTCTGCATTCCCATTTTTGTCCCACAGATGTGTAGCTGAACTGCTTTGACTCCACTGATCTATCTTAAAAAAATACTTGTTAGCCGAACTTCGACTCAGCTTCTCCTCTCGGCCAAGCCCACCCATGAATGCTGCGATGGGGACCCCACCCTCCCCTCCATCTCTTCCCAGTGGGCTGACCCATTTCCTGCCCACTGTCCACTGCGCCACGGGCCCCTCCATGCCTCACCCAGGTGTTCTAGGCTTGGTTACTCCCTCCTCCTAAAACAAAAGTGCTTTTCTGCCTGAGATGCTTGAAGTTCTTTGGGGTCAGAGCATTCACCCTGTGTCATGAAGTCCCCTCCCTCTCTCAAAATGAGAACTTCAGGTAAACTCTCTGCTTAAGCGAGTCTGGATTTGTGTTTCACTGAAACACAGAGAAGACAGAGAGGACACTACACTGGCTGAGAACTACCATACGTCCTTAATAACAATGAACAATGAACAAGAGAGAGGGCCCCACGTTCTGGCAACATGGCGAACCTGTGAACTAGGGAAGCCCTCCCAGCACAGAAAGTGCCAGGAAAATAAAAACAAACAGAACATTTTAAAATTTATGACTGTGTAAGTAGAAAAATAAGGTGAGTCTTAGAGGTATGAATCTGTAAGAACAGGCAGCCTTGATTGGCTGAGGCTGTGATTTTCCCAGAAGGAAAATGTGGCCGAGGCATGGGGGTTCATAGGTTTCACCTGAGGGCGGTGGAAATGGCCTTTGTAAGTTTGAGTCCTGCAAAGGGGACAATTACAGCATGAGAAAAGGGGACAGACCCTCAGGATAATCACTCTGTTTGAATTCTGGTGGAGGGGAAATGAGACCAAAAATATCACTCCAGAGTCTTCCTCAACTCAGTGCTTTGATTTGGGGTTCAATTCATGCTGTCTCTGTGGCCCAGCAAGCCCTAATTCTAGAATGGAAAGATTGGTACCAGGTAGAAGCAAAAACACTCCTCTCTGGGGCAAAACACTTTAAAGAAGGCCTGGGCCACGTTCCAGGCCTTTAGGAGACTCTCCTAGGAAAGTGGGATCTGATTTGCTCCAGTCGTGGAGCCTGGGAAGGTGGTTCTGGGGGAAGGTCGTGCCTTTCTGACCAGCCTCTGAGAGCTGAGTCAAGAAGTTAGAGGAGAGCTGGTGCCTGGTTGGGCCTGGCCAGTAACTCCTGCAGGAACTGCAGTGAGGGCCGACCCTGAGCCCAGAAAGGTTCCCGATGATTAACAGGAGGCTCTGAAAAGTGCATCATTTATTCTTAGCATTGTCAAATTGCTTGACCCAAGTCAGAGGTGATTTTTTGGTTTATTATTTGCAAAGCATCGTGCCTTTACCCTGCAGGGGCCATTTCCCCTCACAAGGAATGCAGCAAGGAGCTTGGAAGCAGACGGCTGTGGGGAAGGACCAGCATGGGTGGGGGTGCTTTGAGAGGAGAGACAGAGGGCCTTTGCCCTTTCACCGGAGAGACATGGTGCCACTAAGAGTTGCGAAGGGTAAAGAATGTGTGAAGACACAGATACCTTGGGGGACAGTTTTTCCTCTAACTCAGGAATGAGGATGGTTCAACTCACACTATTTCAAGCCTTCCAAGTAAACAGTAGTTAGTAAAAACACAATACCTGTCTCTAATATTACTTGCCTAAATATATGGACATATGAAAATGTATCTCAAAAAAATAATCTAAAGAGAAGGAGAAAACTATAATAAAAGGTGTTTATTGCAGTGATAAAAATATCAAACAACAGTAGTAAATGTAAGTCTTGCAGTCAAGCTTTAGGGTATTGTTCAATAATCAAAATAAAATGTTGATTATGTAGCAACACATTAACATGCTTATAATAGAAAGTGAAATAAATTACATACCCGAATATATTCCTAAACTATGATCAGAATGAAGGAAAACATGTCACACATATGATCACAAACTGAACGCGTGTGTGGGAAAATACAGGTACATGGTCTTAGTGTAGAAAGAATGTTAACATTGATTTTTTTAAAAAAGAATTCTGAGGTTTGGGTTCGGTTTTCATTATTGTTTCTGCACTAGATGATTTGTAAAGTTCTAAACATGTAGCCTCTAGACTGATTAAAGGAGCGTGTGACGTGCAGTGCAATATCACAGAGACAGGCAATAACAAACAATAACAATACAGGCTCCTGGGACATTTACAGTCACACATTTGCCCATGTCGACAACAGAAGGTTCTTCCTTTTCAAGCTCCCTAACCCGGGAAGACACTGCTCCTGCTGTAGTGTGACGGGGACACTTTTGGCAGATGTGGTCTCCAGCGTGCTTGGTTTGGTGGTCCAGGAACCGCCGGCTCCATCTTTGCCCAGCTCTCCCTTCCCTGTGTACCCAGAGCCAAACGAAACACCCACAGGGGCAATGGTTAAGAATTAATTTCTATGTGTTTTGTTATCCGTTAAACACAGGTTGTGAGCTAGCAAGAAACAAGATACTTTTGGAGGCTTAGTGACTTTTTTTTTTTTTATAAAAAGCGACCTTCTCCTCAGGCTTATGGTATGTTCTTAGTTATGGGAAAATGTCTATACAGGCCACAGAAGGGCCAAGACCATGTAAAACTGGAAAGTTACAAAAATTTTCTAAAATAACCCTCTCTTTGCCTCCCTCAAAGCTAGAAAACGTTGGGAGCCAGATGTTTTCAGAAGGGAAATAGTGTCCCCGGGAGGAGCTGTAATTTTGAGCAGCAGAACTTTGCCTCTGTGGCCTGTTTATAGTTGCCTTGGGCTCCGGGTGAGACGCAGCTGGACGGGGCTTCTGGAAGCCTCCAGGCATTAGTATGCACGGTTAAGGATTTAAATTCTTCACAGGCCTCTGCTGGCCCACAAAGGACTGGCAAAAATGCAGGGATGACTAACGGGTTTCAGGGCCGAAAACAGACTGGAGGGTGCCCCACACAGCGCTGCCGGATGAGGTGCAAGTTAGTTTCTGTGTCTGGCTGACAAGTCGGACATGGCCTGCGGCTGCCTCCACAAGCAAGAAAACCTTTACAGCTAATTTTCGTGGACCGAGAACTGGAAAACCCCAAGCTTCACCACGGAATGAACAGACGTCGGCTGCAACATACTCTGTGGTAAAAGTGTTAACATCACGGCATCCTCCCTGGTTTTGCACCATTAGGTTAAAATGGAGAACTTGCTAAGGTGTTCAAAGGGCTAAAGACCCTTGGTGTGGTAACATGTAAAAAGCGCAGTTTTCAGATTTGGGAAGACTTGACTGCCCCATTGACAGCAGCCAGGTGGCCTCCAGCAAATCTCGTTCTATAATAGATCACCGGGTTTCTTCACAGGGAAGGAAGGTGCATTAAAAAATTTAAAGGGAGGTGTTAGATATGTGTTCTTCTTTCTGTGTTAGTCCCTGGCCAAGAAAACATGCCGAATTTTCTTTATTTTTCTTCCATCATAGTTACAACAACACAAATTCTCTCCAGCTTAGTTCTCTAATATCTTCACCAATCACAGATCTGGCCACTACGCTCCATCCTCAAGCCCACCCAACTTTCCCCTGGGTAGCCTGGCAGAGTACACAGCTGTCTGCCCTCATCGAGTGACTTTGCCTCTATCAGTTACGGCAGCGTAGCAGTGGCTGATCAGGGTATGGGATGGGGATTGGGGAGGAGGCCGATAGAAATGGGTGCAGTAGGCCAGGCGCAGTGGCTCATAACTGTAATCCCAGCACTTTGGGAGGCCAAGAGGGGTGGATCACGAGGTCAGGAGTTTGAGACCAGCCTGACCAACATGGTAAAACCCTGTCTCTACTAAAAACACAAAAATTAGCCAGGTGTGGTGGTGTGTGCCTGTAGTCCCAGCTACTTGGGAGGCTGAGGCAGGAGAATTGCTTGAACCCAGGAGACTCTGTCTTAAAAAAAAAAAAAAAAAGAAAGAAAGAAAGAAAAAGAAACAAGTGCAGTGGAACAGAAAGACGAGTGGCTGTCACCGGGCAATGCAGGTAGCAACTTGAAACTGATGAGGGCAGTCCTGGGACGGAAACCAGAGGACCCTCAGTTTCGCTATTATTTTTTTAACCTGATGTCATAAAGCTTCTACTATTCTGGGTAATTATGTCCCAAAGTTGGCAAGCATACATGTGCTTTTAAATTTTTTATTTTATTTTTAATGGTAGTCACAATCATATAACATGAACTTTATCATTTTAAACTTTTCAAGTGAACAGGTTGGCACTGTCAAGTATATTTACACTGTTGTGCAACAGGTACCTAGACTTTTTCATTTTGCAGAAGTGAAACTTTATGCCCACTAAGAACTAATTCCTTTTCTTTTCCCAACCCCCCAGCCCTTCACCTCTCTATTTTCTGTTTCTACAACTTTGACTACTTGAGATACCTCATATTAGTGGAATCATATAGCACCTTCTGTTATTTTGATAATGGCCATACTGAGAGGTGACAACATGCTAGCAGCCCTTGCTGGCTCTCAGTGCCTCCTCGGCCTGGGCCTCCACTCTGGCCGCGATTGAGGAGCCCTTCAGCCCGCTGCTGCACTGTGGAAGCCCCTCTCTGGGCTGGCAGAGGCCAGAGCCGGCTCCCTCTGCTTGCCTTGAGGTGTGGAGGGAGAGGCGCAGGCGGGAACCAGGGCTGTGCACAGTGCTGGTGGGAGGTGGGCACAGGCTCGGCGGGCCCCACACTGGGAGTGGCCAGCCAGCACCGCCAGCCCGGGCAGTGAGGGGCTTAGCATCTGGGCCTGCAGCTGCAGAGGGTGCACTGGGTCCCCCAGCACTGCCGGCCCTCCCGCACCACGCTCAAATTCTTGCGGGTCTCAGCCACCTCCCTGCGGGGCAGGGCTCTAGAACTGTGGTCTGCCATGCCTGACACCCCCCGCCCCACCGTGGGCTCCCGCGCTGCCGAAGCCTCCCCAACGGGCACCGCCCCCTGCTCCGTGGCGCCTGCTCTCATCAACCGCCCAAAGGCTGAGGAGTGCTGGGCGCATGGCTGGGAACTGGCGGGCAGCTCTGCCAGCGGCCCAGGCACGGGAACCACCAGGCGAAACCAGCTGGGTTCCTGAGTCCGGTGGGGACTTGGAGAACTTTTATGTCTAGGTAGAGGATTGTAAATGCACCAATCAGCACTCTGTGTCTAGCTCGAGTTTCTGGATGCACCAATTAGCACTCTGTATCTAGCTAATCTGGTGAGGACTTGGAGAACTTTTATGTCTAGCTAGAGGATCGTAAATGCACCAATTAGCACTCTGAGTCTAGCTCAAGGTTTGTAAACGCACCAATCAGCACCCTGTCAAGACGGACCAATTAGCTCTCTGTAAAATGGACCAATCAGCTTTCTGTAAAATGGACCAATCAGCAGGATGTGGGTGGGGCCAGATAAGGGAATAAAAGCAGGCTGCCCCAGCTAGTAGAGGTAACCTGCTGCAGTCCTTTCCTGGAAGTTTTGTTCTTTGCAATAAATCTTGCTGCTGCTCACTTTTTAGGTGTGCTTTACCTTTACGGGCTGTAACACTCACTGTGAAGGTCTGCAGCTTCAAACCACAAACCCACCCCCGCTGGGAGGAATGAACAACTTCAGACGGGCAGAGCAAACAACTCCAGAGGGGCCGCCTTAAGAGCTGTAACACTTAATGGGAAGGTCTGCAGCTTTACTCCTGAAGCTAGCAAGACCACAAACCCACCAGAAGGAAGAACCTTTGAACAGGTCCGAACATCAGAAGGAACAAGCTCTGGATATGCTGTCTTTAAGAACTGTAACACTCACGGCGAGGGTCTGCAACTTCATTCTTGAAGTCGGTGAGACCAAGAACCCACCATTTCCAGACACGGTACTAATGAGTGTGACGTAGTATCTCATTGTGGTTGTGATTTGCATTTCTCTAATAATTAGTGATGTTGAGCATCTTTTAATGTGGTTTGTTGGCCAGTTTTAGGTCATCTTTGGAAAATTGTCTATTCAAGCTGTTTGCCCATTTTCTAATCAGGTTGCTATTTTGTGATTGTTGACACATGTGTGCTTTGAAATGACACAAAGAACATAAGTTAATGGAGAAATCTGGTGATCTTTTTCCCCTTAAGTGATTGATACATACGCCTAAAATCTGGGGGCTGAAGTTAGGGAGTATGTACTAGTAGAAAAGAATAAAAGGGGTATTTTGAAGTTTTATTTAATATGGGATTTCTCAACCTCAGTACAACCAACATTTGAAAGAGAACAGTTCTTTGTGGTGGGGGCTTTTCTGTGTGCTGAGAGGTGTCTGTGAGATTACAAATGGCAGTCCAGCCACCAGATGCCCCAGCTCTGGTCATTGCCGCATGTTCTAAGATAGGCAGAATTGCCTGTGGTGGAAAACCACTGACTTTACGGTTTTGTGCAAGGACCAGGAGTAGTTGTGTCACCAAAGTCTTGGTCTTGTTATTCTGGATGTTATCCAGCACTGTCAGGCTTCTCCTTTACCACCCAAACAATACTGCACAATAGAGCGAAGGTGATCTTGTGTGCTAAATCGCCTTCTGAAGATTCGCTGTTGGTTAAATTTCTGGGATACAAATGGCTTTAGGGGAAAATGTTGATATTTTAGATGACTTTAAATGTTATTTCTGCTGTAAAAATCTTATCAAGACGTTATTCAAAGCCTACCCACATGCAGATACAATTTTTTTCACAAAACAACTAGCTTGATATTATTTTGATTCTATTTCACATGTGTGCTGTACTCTAAGAATATAAAAATAAAATATCTCTCTCTAGACCATTTATAAATACCCTTTAAAAAACGAACACTAGGTAGTTGCTTTAGAATTTTGGCATGAACACATATTCTTTAAAAATGACAACAAAAACTCTCTTTTCAATTTTTCTCTGGTGCTTACTTTAGCAAATTGTCTATAGTTTACCAAATACTTTTTAACACAACTTCTTCTTGTCTTAATTATTAAAGAAAATATCAGATAAGCCATTGTCACTTTTCCTACTAGATAGTGGAGTGTTATGTATTATTGTATATTCTTAGTATATATATGTGTCTATCATTCTTTGACAGGCTGATTTGGAAATATATCATAGTATAAAGAAAAACATGATGTTTCCTAAAGTCTTTTTACAAATTAAGGTGATTACAATTATATTGTGCAATACATTTTATATATTACTTTTAAAATTTTATCTTTTTCCTGTTTAAAAAATTATCCATAAACATAATTTTAACTATTGCATGATTTTCCGTTTTCCTCTGTTTGCTAAACCATTTCTTGGTTTTGTATATATGGATTATTTGAAATTTTCACCCTTATAAACCTGTTTGTGCTTCAGTTTTCTTGTAGCACTTAAGGTGTCCAGACAGATTTCTAAAATAATAAATCAAAAGCCATATTTTAAAGCTTTTTATATATATTACCAAATTGTTTCTCTAATAAGTTATACAAATTTGTTCACCAGTAGAAATAAACATTCCCAATGTGACGTGTTTCCAAAACATCACAAAGAGGAAAGCTGTCTTTGGAATTCTATAGATAGGGGTAAAAAGATGAACACATTATGGCTCATAACAATGGTCTGTTCAACAAAGAAGCCATTGAACCAGGACTATTTTAGATTTTCCAAACTAAAACTAATAACTCAGTTTATAACATAATACTGCCTAATGCTTATGTCTTCTATGATTTTTCTTTATTTATGTCAATTGGGTTTCTTTCTCTTTCTCTTTGTTTCACATGTTGCCCAGGCTAGTCTCAAACTCATGGGCTCAAGCAATCCGCCTGCCTCTGCCTCTCTCAAAATGCTGGGATTACAGACGTGAGCCACCATGCCTGGCCAGGCTTCTTTTTTAGTAGATATTGTTACCCTGGATGAGATGATGGCAGTGTTTTCAACATCCTATAACTTTGATAAGTTGACCAACATGATTCCATGCACACATCTAAAGAGGAAATAAAAGCTTGTAGGAGTTGGGTCAGGGTGGTAGAATAAATTATAGGAAGAAATTATAGGAAAAGATGCAAACCTTCTTGGAAGGCCAGGAGGTTTTGCAAAAGCTTTGAAAGATAATTTGGCTGAAGGCAGCCAAGTTCTCTTATCCAGAGGCTGAGAACAAAACGTAGATAAGTAAGTGTAGGGGAATTAATCTAGATAAGTTAGTTTACTTAGGCCTCAGAACCTGGCCTTTAATCATCTGCACCCAGGACTGCTCTCTCTGAGGGCATTGAGGGTGGGGTGCAGCAACCACGTTAATTACCCACAAGTTGTGTTGACTCAAAGCCTTTGTCATTAAATCTGTACTAAATAAATGCCCACAGGGCCAGCTTGTCAGCTCTGCAGCTGCTGTGACTCCTTATGGCACCCCCTTGGTGTCTGTGAGTGGCCTGGTCCCCTAGCCATGTGACCAGACTAAAAAACCTGTGTCTGTGGACATTTTTTCATCCGTCACTCTGCCAGAGTCTGTGGGTCAGACCTGGCAAAAACTACTTGTTTTTGTAGTTTTGTTTGTTCATACATATTTTCTGATCTCCATTTTTGCCATTTTTAACTCATTCCTTCTTAAACTGATCTTTTTGCTCAGGCTTATGGGTAATTTTTCATTTTGAGGTAGGTTGAAGGGTTGTAAGAATAGTGTGAATGTCTCCCACTGCCCTTCACCTTTGCACAGCAGTTGTTTACATTTTGACCTGTTTGCCTCCTCAGTCCATCTCTCTTCGTGTCTTTTCGTACATGTGCATATTATTTTTTCTGACTATTTGAGAGTCAGTTGGAGCCATCAGGCCACTTTACCCTTAGGTACTTAACTGGATGTTTCTTAAAAGTTCAGGATGGAGAAATGTTTTTGTTTTTGTTTTTGTTTTTATCTTTATCAAATACTGTATAACAAATTATCCTAAACTTAGTGAATTAAAACAACAAACATCTCTGTGCTTTAGGAATCTGGCCATGACATGTAGCTGGGTGCTTCTGCCTCAAGATTTTGTGCAAATTTGCAATCAAATCATCTGCTAGGACTGTGGCCTCATCTAAAGACTGAGGAAGGA
This sequence comes from Homo sapiens, assembly GCF_000001405.40. NCBI lineage: Eukaryota > Metazoa > Chordata > Mammalia > Primates > Hominidae > Homo > Homo sapiens. The sequence goes on along the minus strand of NC_000002.12, from coordinate 187,315 downwards.
ACTGCTTTCGGGTTCACCTACATGGCTGTTGGCAGGATTCAGCCACACATACACCATCACCGTGGGGCCTGTCCTCCCGGCTGTTCACAGAGACCCTTCTCAGCTCCTGGCCACACAGGAGCCCCCACAGGGCAGCTCACAACACACAGCTGCCTCCATTTCAATGGGCAAGGAAGAGAACCACAGAGCACAAGATGGAACCCAGAGACTTTTGTAACCTCACCTTGGAAGAAACATAATCACTTTTGTCATATTGTATTTATTAGAAGTAAGTCACTAGCTCAACCCACCCTCAGGGAAGAAGTTTCCATGAGGGCATGGTTACTTACCATAAGAAAGAGTCAATCAACTCTGCTCCCGATCTCTGCAAAGCTTCCAATAAAAGTTAAACAACTAGTTTTGGCTAGTGCATATCCACCCAAACTGTTTTTATTATGTGAGCTTTATGTTACAAAAAGCAACCAGAACAAAAACTAATAATAATTTTAAATATTTATGATAGAGACACATCTCTATCAATGAATTATTTAACTGTAACATTAATCTCCCTTAGAATAGCCCACATTCAGGTTCACGGAGGAAGGGGAATACAAATCATACTCATCACAGTTTCTCTTTGTAACTGAGCCCAGGTTTCGCTGCTTGCCACTGAAAAACCAAGCTCAAGAGATGAGAGTTAATGGGAGGAAAAGCAGGTTTATTCAAAAGCTGGCAACCTGAGAACATTGTGAACTAGTGTTGCAGAGACCATCTTGAGTTTTTCAGGCTGGCTGGAGGGTTTTTATGGGAGGGGGATATGGAGAAGCTAAACACAGGGGTTGACTATGTATGTCAATATGTTTGGTCTCAGTGACTGTCTTGAGTGATGGCCATCTGGTGGTCTGGTGGGCGTCAGCCTGATTCCAACAGGAATACAGATTAACTGCTTAGAATTCTTCCCAGGACGGGATGTTCTGCAACCTTGATTCCATGCTTAGTTTTTCAAGGACAGTTCCTGGAGTTCTTTAGGCGAAGCACATGAGTTAAGCATTATCAAAAGCCCAGCATGGAAAGAAGGGTGAAAAAAAGAAAAAAGAGAATAATTTTTCAAGACAGAGTGGCAGTTTCTGCTACAAATTCCCTACTGTTGATTTTTAATTCAATTTCTATGGAAAATTGGTTGTCAATTACAATCTGGCTACTTCCTGCTGGATGGGGCTGTTGATTGGGAACTTGGGAATGAAACCATTTGACCTGGCTCTGAGCTGACTTTTTTTTTTAGTCTTTAGGAGGACCTGAATTCCCAATTGCAAAGGATGTAGGGACACATCTTAGGATGAGTGGTCTTTTTAGAAGCAGACTCATGAACAGAAACTAGTATAGTGCCTACAGTCTTAACATATTTGGCAATTGGTGAATTTCTTAAAGTTATCAGTTGGTTTTCCCAACAGTGCAGAAACGTGGAATGGCCTACCATATAACATTTTAAAGGGACCCAATTTCTTCCTATTTTGAGGATCTATTTTAATCTATAACAGGGCGACCAGCAACACCTTATCTCAAGTCAAATTGGCTTCTTGACAGATTTTGGTAATGCTTTTTTTTTTAGTATGGTTTATCTTTTAGTTTCTTTCTGTCAATTGTAGTCTCCAAGATGCCAATTTAAAGGCTGCAGGAAGAGGCAAGTCAAAGCTTTCCTGAACATTCCTGCAACCTTCACAGTCTTTTTAAAATCAGGGGCTAGATGAATATTAACTATAAACTATATGGCTCCTATATCAATAAGAAAGGCAATAAGTTAATTACCCACTGTCAGTTGTAATGGGGCTCCTGTGATACATGATGACAGGTTGGCTAAACATATGTTTTTAACGAGTTATAGGAGGAGCTATGAATATTCATGAAGGTGGTCCTGACTCATGTATTGAACAAGTCAGGTAACATATGACTCATGTTCACTTTTGGCATGGAGACTTCACATTTCAATGTACTATAATTAGGCTGTATGTGCTAAAAGGGATTTTCAGGACAAAGAGGCATGCAAGTACACAATCTGTAAACTGACCAGAACCAGTCTATGGTCAGTGGTCTATTATCAGGGGAAAGTTACTAAAATCAGCTCTTGTCCAATCAAAGTTTTAGTTACAGCTGGTAGAACAGGGTCTGGAAATCAGTAAATTAGCATCTGGTGGAGCTGCAAATTGTTTTAATACTGCTTATCTCAAGACAGGTTCTTGTTTAGCTGCTGAAGAAAAAGAAATATATAGTGGCAGTTTAGGGTGACTGTATTAGTCCATTCTCATGCTGCTAATAAAGACATACTTGAGACTGAGTAATTTATAAAAGAAAAAGGTTTAATTGACTCACAGTTTAGCATAGCTGGGGATGCCTCAGGAAACATACAATCATGGCAGAAGGAGAAGCAACACATCCTTCTTCATATGGTGGCAGGAAGGATAAGTGCTGAGCAAAGCAGGGAAAGTCCCTTATAAAACCATCAGATCTCATGAGAACTCTCTATCACAAGAACAGCATGGAAGAAACCACCCCCATCATGCAATTACACCTCCAGCAGGTCCCTCCCACAACATGTGGGGATTGTGGGAACTATAATAGAAGATAAGATTTGAGTGCAGACATAGCCAAACTGAATCAGTGACTTAATCCTTGCCTGGAATGGCCATAAGTCCCATTTACAATTTGGTATCTTATTACCACAAAGAGTTGTTTCTGTCAGTCTTATGATCTAATTTTAACATTAATGTTGTTCAGTTGTGTCTAAACCATAAAAGGAAGAGGATATAATGAGACATGTCTGACCTTTTGTCTCATCATGGCTGGGAACTAAGTTTTTAAGATTCCTTCTCTGGAGTTCTCTTGGCCAAGAGGGGGTTTATTCACTCAGTGAGGGGGCGCTTAGCATTTTGTTTTTTAGTTTGCATTTCCCCTTTTCTGTTAAGATATGCCAGAGGTAGTATAGATAGCCAAACTTTTATTTTGTCCCATGTTGATATGAGGGTGATATGCTACCTGCCCCAGGTCCATCAAGTCCCTCAGTGGGACCCCTTTGGCCAAGGGACTTAGAGTCAAAAGACTTATAGCCAATGAAACATTCTAGCCCAGATGAGAATAAAAAAAAAAAACTCTCAAATAGCTCAAAAAGAAAACAATAAGTTTTCATGCCTCTGGAAAAACAAAACATAAAGAATGGCAACATTTCAAATAAAAAAGGTCATAAGCTCTAGTTTTGAAAAAGACAGAAGAAAGCTCATAGGTAGCTAAACATTTAAACTATCTAGTATCAAGCATTCAGATAGAGGCAAAATTATTAAATGAGTCTTAATATCTTTGAAAACAGGCCACTCTCTGCATCTCATAAAAGCAGTATACTTTTCCCAGGTCTGGAGAAAAAGCTTTGGTTAATGAGTCTGGTGTCAGACACTGGTGTCAACATTTAAGATTTAGCAATAGTTGGTACCTTTTTAGATGAGATAGTTATGCCCAGGAATCAAAACCCTGTTACTTAACAGGACAAGGATTAGTCAATAGCACCTGGTAGGGACCCTTTCAAGGGGCTGGAGGTAATGATACTGGAGTCCATGACCTGACTGGAAGGTGTAAAAAGATTCTACAATGTTGTGGTGATTAATTTTTGTAGCTTTGGTAAGTCCCAAGTAATAAGTCTAGGTCAAATAATTAGTTTAGAATTTTTATTTTGAGGACATTTATCACAGATGTTAAAAGGCTCAAAACATTTTGTCAAAACAGAATAATAGTTATTCTTTTAGCCAAGAGTGATAATCAAAATATTTTAAAAACAAGACAGAAAGTTTCATGGATGTAAAAACTTTAATCCTTTTAAATCTCAATTTTCTTAAGCAATAAAAAAACTTTCAAATATAATATAGAAATTATTTTGATAAAATGTAAAATCTTTATCATTTAGGCCAGTTACCAAAAAGGCAAAGAAAAACCTGCAGTGTGATTGCTTCTCTTTATGGGAAGCCCATTTAGATAACCTGGAAGTCAAATGTGATAAAAAGAGTACTTGAATTTAATAAAACACAGGAAGAGAGTGTTCAAAGTTATGAGTATAGCAGAGAAATACATGACTCTTAGTAACTGTAGGAGGAGTTTTCTGGTTACATGGAACAATTCAGACATATCAAGAAAAGCCAAAAGTACAAAAGCAAGTTATACTGCAGTAAAACATCACTTTCTTAGACATTTAAGATAAAGTATTTCAACATTAGGCCACAACAACAGTCAGAACTGGAGGAAAAGTTACTGGTGCTAATGAAAAAGTTTTAGGAAAGAGTTATCATGTTAGGGCTTCTCAAAGGGAGAAAAAACTGAAAGCAGCAAGACACAATAACAGTTGAGATATGAATCTGAGATATGAATCTGAGAAGTTTTCAAAAGGAAACAGGTTATATAATTAAAATCAAAACCTCTTGTAATTTTATTAAGAGTAAGTTAATAACTTAAGAAAACTATGTTTTAACAGTAGGGGACCAATCTTAGAAAGACTACTATAAATAATTTTCTTTTTGTTGTAGCCAACTTAATTACATATAAAATTTGTTTTGTAAATTTTCTTTTACAAACCTCATTATGACTTATGGAGACCATTGACAACATGCTTGGACTTCTTGATGTGTTCTATATGTCCCTCTTTTAAAAATAATCAGTGATTTTACTTCAGAACAAAAATTTGCCATATAAGATTCTTTTTCACACAAAATTATTCTCTTTTTAATAACCTTCCTTACCAAAAATATATCTTCATATCTATAATTTTTTCACAACTGTCTCTTCTACCTACTGATTTCTTTTTATCTTTTTTATAAATAATTCTTAACCTCCAAATTGCATAAAATTATTATTTGTAATAAGAACACAACTTGCATAATTATATATTAACTATACTTCTTATTTTAGTAACTTTAAATTTTAGTTCAAACCAGGAAGCAAGAAATCCTGAACTGTCTATAAGATGTTAGGATTTTATAGATGAAACCACTCTACAATTTTTAGAAATTATGTCTCTATATTGTAACCCTTTCTTAACTGAACATGATCCAGACATCCAATGAGCATCCATTATTTAATTGAAAATAATTTTAAGATTTTAAGTTATGCAAAAAGTTTACCTACAAGCATTTATCTCATTTATGTGTACTCAATTCTTTCATTTTTAACAGCCTATCTAGATTACTTCTGAAAATTAAGATATCAGAAAAAAATCTAGTCATTATTTAAAGTTATTTCTGTTAGCCATTTTTAAAACCTGTGAACATCAAGTTTTTACCAAAGTAAGAATTCTAAAGTTAAAGGAGATAGGTATTTTGCTGATAACTCAGAAGATTCAGCTGTTTTTATTGAGCCAACAATTTTAAATCAATCTCATTTGTCAAAAAACAATCACAGAAACAAAGATTATTCTGTTTTTGGCTGGGTTTCCAGTCCTATAACTCACATGCCAAACATTGACACCCTAAAATGTCCAGCAGAGGCAAATACAAAATAACCATTAAACCCAGGCAAAAACATATGCTGACAATTCTAAATACAGTTCTATTTTTACTGTACCAATAATTTAAAAAGCATTTTATTTATTAAAGATTTTCTTAAGTCTTATGAACTTGAAAAGCATTTGAACTTATTCATTTGATTTATGAGCATTTATTTATAATCTAATTTGGTAGCATGCTAGACACAACACACAACATAATACACATACATATACATCAACACATTAAACATGTATACACACACTAGCAAAGATCCAATAGCTTTTACCTTGAAACTCTAGCCATTAGATAGCATCACAAACTCATGAACATATAAAAGATATATGAACCCAAATTATTTTTGACAAAATTGGGACCTGTCCAAATGGCTACATTTTGTTTGCCCCAGTGGGTAAATCCAATAAAAGCTATGGACCACAATTTTGGGTAAAGCAGTTTTCATGGCAGTTCAATTTTTTAAAATCTTTTTAACTCTTCTTTCTGTTTTAAATGAGCTTTTAATGTTTACATTTTAGCTTGAACTGGATAAATGTATTTAAAAAATCCAAATAACCTTGAATTAGTAGTACTGTAGTGAGCTTTATCTCAACACCAGTAGCTTAATAACTATATAGCATATTCAAAGCAGGCAGAAAAGAAAATGAAGAAATAGACATAGAGAGCTTCAGAGGACTCTATTTAACTCTAAAGTTGCAGGTTAATCATTTCAGTTCTAAATTTTTCTTACTGTAATTTGTCCTTTCGTTTTAAAACATGTGCAAAAAGAAAAAACCTGGCATGCCTTTGAATTTGCCCGTGTTTTTAAACCATTAAATAACAAACAAATGGAAACTGACACAAATGGAGGACTCCCAAACTAATACTCAAAAAGGGAGACAGGAGAGATTTTTTTTTATTATTATACTTTAAGTTTTAGGGTACATGTGCACAATGTGCCAGTTAGTTACCTATGTATACATGTGCCATATTGGTGTGCTGCACCCAGTAACTCGTCATTTAACATTAGGTATTTGTTTTTAGAATATTATCTCACACAATCTGGTACCACAAACGACCTGTGCTAGGTCCAAATGGCACTAAAGCCCAAATGTCAGAGAGAGAGAATCCCACTGTGCACATTTGCTTGACTTACCCAGTCTTGAAGCCATCAACTCCTCAGATACCACTTTTTCTTGCACCAGCTGAGAGTTGCAGGCAGCTGATGCCTCGTAGGGGTGAAAAGGGAAAATCTCCAAGAAAAAGAGTTGTTGGTAGCTGCTGGGACGTTCCTGGAATCCTGGCCCCAGCCACAGGGTCAGATAGCCATGATCAGCTGGCACTCTTGAGCAAGTTGTTGCTCTGCCCAGTAGCGTGAATGGGTAAGTTCTGACATGCTGCTTAGGACAACTTCTCCACCCACTGAAAACTAGGCAGGCTAGATCACCTGAGGTGCACAGCACCATGCTGGGTGCCACAAATTGTAATTGAACCCAGGTTTGGCTGCTTGCTGCTTGAAAACCAAACTCAAGAGACAAGAGTTGGTGGGAACAAAAGTGGGTTTACCCAAAATCTGACAATCTGAGAAGATGGCAGACCAGTGTTGCAAAGAACATCTCAAGTTTCTCAGGCTGGCTGGAAGGTTTTTGTGGGGGGAGGATGTAGAGAAATTATGTGCAGGGCTTGACCATGTGTGGGTCAGTGTGTGTGGTCTCAATGACTGTCTTGAGCAATGGTCACCTGATGGTCTCCCTGGCATCAGCTTGACTGCAACAGGAATGCAGACTCACTGCTCAGAATTCTTCCCAGGGTGGGGTAATCTGCAACCTTGATTCTATGCTTAGTTTTTTAAGGCTGGTTCCTGAAGTTATCTAAGTAAATCATATGACTAAGCATTATTAAAAGCCCAGAATAGAAAAAAGGGAAAATAAAAAGGAAATAAAAGGAGAACAATTGTTTCTCAAGATGGGGTGGTAATTTAGGTTACATCTTCTCCAATGGGAAGCAGTGAGTATTCAGAAATAGTGGAATAATTTGCACTTTTTTTAAAAAAAGTATATTATCTATTTTCCTTTAAATATGCAGCAGAAGTTTACTATTATACAACTAAATTGTGTGGGTTCTCTAATTGCCCACCTAGATTAATATGTGGTTTATTTCACCTTGATGTTTTTAAAGAAAAGCCTGTGCTGTGTGAGGTTTAGAGCACGCACCATAAATAAGGAGGCTTGAGATGGCTGTGCCTTCCGGAAATGCCATGACCCAGGACCTACGCAGGGCCCACTGCTCTGAATCTTAACGCTTCTGAAATGGCTGTGCCTCCTGGAAATGCCATGACCCAGGACCTACGCAGGGCCCACTGCTCTGAACCTTAACGCTTCTGAAATGGCTGTGCCTCCTGGAAATGCCATGACCCAGGACCTACGCAGGGCCCACTGCTCTGAACCTTAATGCTTCTGAAATGGCTGTGCCTCCCCGGAAATGCCATGACCCAGGACCTACGCAGGGCCCACTGCTCTGAATCTTAACACTTCTTAAATGGCTGTACCTCCTGGAAATGCCATGACCCAGGACCTACCCAAGGCCCACTGCTCTGAACCTTAACACTTCTGAAATGGCTGTGCCTCCCCGGAAATGCCATACCCCAGGACCTACGCAGGGCCCACTGCTCTGAACCTTAACACTTCTGAAACGGCTGTGCCTCCTGGAAATGCCATGACCCAGGACCTACGCAGGGCCCACTGCTCTGAACCTTAACACTTCTGAAACGGCTGGATGTCTCTGCATGAGCTGTGCTTACCCAGTTGTTCCATTTATTCTTATATTTTACAAGCATTTAGTAAATTCTTGAGCTAGGCCCTGGGGACTACCAAAGGAATAAGATATCTGTTATTTTTATTTTATTTTATTTCAATAGTTCTGGGGAACAGGTGGTTTTGGTTACTTGCGTAGGTTCTTTAGTGATGGTTTCTGAGATTTTGGTGCACCCATCACCCAAACAGTGTACACTGTACCCAATGTGTAGTCTCTTATCCCTCACCCCCTCTCACCTTTCCCCCTAAGTCTCCAAAGTCCATTTTATCATTCTTATGCCTTCGAATCCTCATAGCTTAGGTCCCACCTATAAGTGAGAACATATAGTATTTGCTTTTCCATTTCTGAGTTACTTCACTAGAATAATGGTCTGCAACTCCATCCAGGTTGCTGCAAATGCCATTATTTTTTTACTTTTTATGGCTGAGTAGTATTCCATGGTGTGTGTGTGTGTGTGTGTGTGTGTGTGTGTGTGTATACATATATATATATAATATATATAATATTTTATTTATTCACTCGTTGGTTGATGGGCATTTAGTCTGGTTCCATATTTTTGTAATTGTGAATTTTGCTGCTATAAACATGTGTGTGCAAGAAGACATCTGTTCTTAAATTGCTCTCAATTTAGTTAGGAATACTTAAAATGGCTACACTGCAGGATAGAAAGTGTGCACAAATGATCACCTTTTAAATAGATGCATGAGAAGAAAGAACTCTGAAACGCAGTGATAAGTATGGTTCAGTGGAGCCCTCAGGACCTATCTCAGTGTGTTCCTCTAGCATCTCTTCTAGTTTCCTCATGCACTCTACTTTCTAGCTGCACCTGCATTATGCTTAGCACCTGTCCTATTCCCTCCTTTACTCTGAACCCCAGGTTCCCCTGTGTTTTCATGAGCACCTGTCCTATTCCCTCCTGCACTCTGCTCTCTAGCTGCCCCTGTGTTCTCCTTAGCCCCTGACCTACTCCCTTCTGCACTCTGCTCTCCAGCTCCACCTGCATGTTCCTTAGCACCTGGCCTATTCCCTCTTGCACTCTGTGTTCCAGCTCCACCTGCATGTTCCTTAGCACCTGTCCTATTTCCTCCTTCACTCTGCTCTCCAGCAGCACCTGTGCACCCACAGGTGGCTTTCCAGCTGTGCCTCCTGCCTATGCCCTGAGGAGCTCAGCACCCAAGAGTGAATGGATCAAATTACTGACTCCTTTTTGGTGTCGATCATCATTCTAGGCTCTTCATACACAACGTAAAAGGCAACACATTGCTACCTTTATTCAACTAGAAGGAAATTAAACTTCATAAAAGTTATACCCAGAGACCTAGTGCATGGAAAAGGGGTTTGTGCAATTCTTTCCACTGCTGCTTTTTATACTCAGTGCCCTATTCCTCCCTGAAAGAAATTCTGTTCCAAAATGCTGCAGTCACTGAGATTCTTCACTTTCTTTTCTCTCTCTCTTATTTATTTGGCCTATTTTTTATTTTTTTATTTTTTTGAGACAGAGTCTCATTCTGTCACCCAGGCTGGAATGTGGTGGCTCAATCTTGGCTCACTGCAACCTCCACCTTCCAGGTTCAAGCAATTCTGCCTGAGCCTCCCAAGCAGCTGGTACTGCAGGCAAGCACCACTACGCCAAGCTAATTTTTGTATTTTTAGCAGAGATGGTTTCACTGTGTTTCCCAAGCTGCTCTCAAACTCCTGACATCAAGTGATCCACCTGCCTCAACCTCCCAAAGTGCTGGGATTACAGACATGAGCTACCATGCCCAACCTTCACTTTCTTCTCTGAGTCAGAGATCTCTAGCAAGATAGCCTTTTCACAATTTTTATTGCAATAGAAGTATTTGAGACCTTTGTCAGGTTAAACTGTTGTGAGTTAAAGGTATGTCTGTTTTTCTGAGATACACTGAATTTAGGAATGTATGACTCAGTAATGAAAACTTGATCTGGCATCACCCTAGGCATTTGAGCTCCCAGACAGAGAAGGATCTGTTTTTCCAATCACTGACAAAGCCTGGCATGATCATGGTTCGCAGGAATGCAGCACCCCAAGAGGACCCTAGCAATTGGGAGAATTTTGTTTATATGACACTAAGCCCCAAATGACCTTAAATTCTAAATAAAAGTTCCATGGGCAATTTGTATAAGGGCCTTGTTTTTAAAGAAAATAAATTATATGACAGGTTTGTTATATATATATTACAAACTATACTGGTGAACATTTTACTCAACATTTAAAAATCTTTAATTAAGACCTTTCAGTACATAAAGCTTACATAACAAAGTCTAGCAAAAGTCTATAAAATCTAAACACATTTCTAAAAGAAAGGGTGGTGCCACGAAAGTTTACATGCTGAGGCTTTCAGGGTGGCTATGCTGTGTTGGATGTGGGTGGTGTTCTCTCTCTCGTGGTTTTGCTTCTTATGTGACAGTTCCGGCTCACGAGAGCTCTCTGGGCCCGTCTGTTGGCTTGCATCCTGTGGCGTTTGGCAAGTGAGATCTGTTTAATACAAAGTGTCAATAAAGCCAAGGTTATGATAGTTAAAAATAATCGATACTAATTCCCTAGAAATTTTGTCTTTTTTACCAAGCCACTGGTGCAATGTGGAGTCACTACATTTTATGCAAGAAGAATAACACCCTCACTCCACAGTCTGAACCAGAACTGACACTCGGTGGTGATTCCCCCTTTATTCTAGGAGGTGTTAACATTAGCTATGGCAATGTAAAACCGATGTTTTTGGAAGCAGTAGGGGCAGGGAATGGAAAATCCTCTGCAGCTGTCAACATGGGGAGTGAGACAATGCTCGTGTTGACTTGTGGAACTGGATGAGAATCTACTGCTCCTTCTCTAGTGACAGTCTCTGTCATTTGCATAGAAGGTTAAACGCAGGGAGGGCACGGGGGTTCCATGTAAACTTCAGTAAGTTGCATAAACAGAGGCGGCGATGTTTTATGTCTCTGATCTTTTCCAAGGACATCTGGCCTCTGGGTTGCAGCGCAATGCTCACTAACAGAAGCTGACTCATTTGTGTTATGTCTCTGATCTTTTCCAAGGACATCTGGCCCCTGGGTTGCAGCGTGATGCTCACTAACAGAAGCTGACTCAGTTGTGTTTTCTGGTTTTGGGGAATATCTTTAATCACCACATGAATGTTTATAAACTGTTGGGGCTAAACATGAAACTCACTCTTCAGGTGCCGTCTCCACCTAGCCACCGTGTACATTTTCTTTCTCTCTCTTGCAGCTGTTCTCTTCCTACGGACTGAATGAAAAATAAAAGGAAGTCATTTCTGCATGTGTCACAGAGGCATCCTTTGGTTCTAAAGGAAGCTAAGTTGGATTCCACAAGCCCATGGTCCTTATAGCATGTGAATAGGATTCAGTCACGGACGAGAAGGAAGAGGTTCAGGAGAGACTGTAATCGCCCTGTCCAGGCTAACCCTCCAGCTGTGCAGGTGACAAGCTTGCCTGTGTTTGTGTTGTGTAAGTGTGTGCGGTACAGCTGCTAATGTAGTGTCCGGAAACATCTTACAAAGTAAGCCTTCCCCTACATGTAGTTTTATGTGGGTATAAATTCATTTCAGTTCTTGACATGAACATTTGTACAGTGCTTCCAAGTGAGGCTTTGACTGCCTCACATCTGGAATCCTTCAAGTTTATCCTTCTTGGAGTCAGTGTCGTGAACGTTTTTCCCCCAGGTCAAGAGTCTGCTGTCAACATGATGTTCTCTAATTACATGGCTTTGTACAACTCCCAGCTCTGTGGACATATGTTTTTGTATTTAAGGCATTCCTTCTTTTACCTCTGTTTATAGATCATCCTTGACTCTGCTCTTTTCCCACTGCCTTTATCTCAGGTCCTTCCCAAGGTTTTGTGCTGGCTGACTTCTTTTAAGTAATGGAAGAAGAGGACGTGGGGTCAGTCAGCCCAGCTTCTGATCCCTTCTCCACCCATTACTTGGCAAATTAAAGCTGTGTTTAGGCTTCATTTGTTTCGTCCTGGATTTCTCAAGAGTTACAATTTTTAGATATATTAATTACAATTATAGAGTTGTTTAAAGATCAAACAAGGCAATGTATATTGATGTGTTTTGTAATCTTTAAAACTCAATAGAAATGTAAGATCTTGCTATTACTATATAATTGTAAAATCTTCCATTTCTTGCTTTTTCTTTGGTTGCTGGCCTAGAAATTGAATCAATTCTCTTCTCTTTTTATTTTTTAAAAAATAATCTTGAGCATATGAAATTGCTGATATTTTAATATATTGCTAATGTTTGATCTATTCAAATGGTAGCTTCCTGTGGTTTCTTCTAATAGTTAAAACTATGTCAGGTCAGGCATGGTGGCTCATGCCTACAATCCCAGCACTTTGGGAGATCAAGGCAGGCAGATCACCTGAGGTCAGGATTTCAAGACACGCCTGGCCAACATGGTGAAACCCCGTCTTTACTTAAAATACAAAAGTTGGCAGGAGAATCACTTGAACCCAAGAGACAGAGGTTGCAGTGAGCCAAGATCACACCACTGTACTCCAGCCTGGGTAACAGATTGAGACTCCGCCAAAAAAAAAAAAAATATATATATATATATGTGTGTGTGTGTGTGTGTGTGTGTGTCTGTGTGTGTGTGTGTGTGTGTGTATATGTATATATATATATATATATATATATATATATATATCAAAGTGATATATTTGTATAGTGAAACCCCAGACACTACCACTAAGTGAATGATGATATAAAACTCTTATTTCTTATTTTGCTACAATGTTAGGTTCTCAACAATCATTCTGCCTCCCAGTTTACCTTGGTCTTTTTTCCCATTGGGATTGGTTTCCCTGAAATGTCTGGTGATTCTTCATTGTTCACATTTAATAGTGACACATGAAGAAGGAGAATGAGTCTGTGTTATCATTAGTGAAAGGCTCATCTAGAGGTGATTCTTCACTGTTCACATTTAATAGTGACACATGAAGAAGGAGAATGAGTCTGTGTTATCATTAGTGAAAGGCTCATCTAGAGGTGATTCTTCACTGTTCACATTTAATAGTGACACATGAAGAAGGAGAATGAGTCTGTGTTATCATTAGTGAAAGGCTCGTCTAGAGGTGATTCTTCACTGTTCACATTTAATAGTGACACATGAAGAAGGAGAATGAGTCTGTGTTATCATTAGTGAAAGGCTCATCTAGAGGTGATTCTTCACTGTTCACCTTTAATAGTGACACATGAAGAAGGAGAATGAGTCTGTGTTATCATTACTGAAAGGCTCATCTAGAGGTGATTCTTCATTGTTCACCTTTAATAGTGACACATGAAGAAGGAGAATGAGTCTGTGTTATCATTAGTGAAAGGCTCATCTCGAGGTGATTCTTCACTGTTCACATTTAATAGTGACATGTGAAGAAGGAGAATGAGTCTGTGTTATCATTAGTGAAAGGCTCATCTAGAGGTTTTGCTTCAGGGAGTCGATGGGGTTTCCACATGTTAGTAAGTGATGCGTTTGGTCTCAATGGTTTCCTTTCTCTGGAGAAAACCTTCTCCTCTCCTCTCTGGAAGGCAGCTGCTTGCTTGTTGGTTGTTGGTGTTCTACTCACTGGTTACCCGAGGGGTGGGGTGCAGGCATCGGTGAGGGAGGATAATGAGGGTTGACTGTCAATGTACAGATTTTAATCGACCCTCCTGTTTTCTGACGCCTGCCTCACTTCTCCGCCCCTCACCCCCAGGAAGGTGCACAGATGATGCTCCTTCTCGCGGATGCGAGGCCACCAAATCAATTTTTGTCTTTGCTGTTCTCTCTCCATGATGGATAACCATCATGGTTTCTTGGGAGGGAAAGGAAACAACTGGGTCAGTATTTCATCTACCATCTTTAACTTGGAAGCTTCTTCTTCCAGCTAAAGCTAGAATAGCAAAGCTTGAGAAAGGGTTTTGAAAATATTTCATAACTCAACTTTTTGGGATGATTTGAACATCTTAAGGCACTAAGTTACTGGGTTTTCTGAAAATGGTGATGGGGAATCATTAATTATTAATTAATCTCTGCTTTGTTTTAAATATATTGCACCAGGTTTGTGTGTTATAATCCCCACTCAAAAAGTACAGATTTTTTGATATAATTTTTTTTTGAAGAAATATCTTAACTACTCTACAATGCCACACTTAGGATGTGGGCAAATCTTTATTTAAGACAAAATGTATTATTTCTCTTTATGTAAATTAAGATATTGTGCCTTGAAAAATCATTCATTTGGGAATTTTTAAATCTTTCTCAGTTTTCTTGAACCTTTTGTGTAAGAGAAATGACCTTATATTTGTCAATTATTTCTACTAAACACTTAGCTGTGAGCATGAAAGAAACGGGCAGTTCTGTTACAAGAAAAAGTGGAGAAGGTGGTATCACTATTACTCTTTCATGGACGGGCAAACAGTTCAGGAATTTCCCAGAACCGAGGTTTTCTGTCTTATAATTGGGTGTTCTTTGTCTCATAACGTGCGCTTCATCCTTCTGTATGAATTTCTTTGCTCAGCCTGACTATGAATGTCGGCTCTCACATGCTAAGCACACATTAATTTCTCTTATCCTTTATTCCCACCTAGTGTGCGGGTGGTTTTGAGAGGATTCTGTATGGCCTGGTCCTCAGGTGCTTGGCAAAATGGGTCCACCCCCTCCCGGGTAACCCTGGCTCTAGGCCCTCTTCCATGTCCTGGCCTTCCCCAGTAGTCCCCTGGAGCCCTCTGGTGACCAAAACTCCACAGTGAAGCGCCTCCAGGAATGGTGGCCGGTGAAGGGTTCCCAGTTCAGGACACGTTATTCCTTTTCTGTAAAAACGGCACCACTTTCAGCTAGACTCTCAGGCAAAGGCACAGAAAATTATCTGATTAGACTCATGATCTTTTAGAGGTTTCCTATCGCTGAGGTCATCTGAGCCAGTAGTTTTCGAAATGAGTTGAGGGCTTCATATCCTAAAATGTTGCATTTAAATTCTAGTTAAAAATAGTTTAACTACTGCATTTTTCCATTCTAAGACACATTTTTTTCATGTTTTGCTTTTTCTGGAGTTAGCATGCGTCTTATAATTGATATACTTCATTTAATATGATGAGATCTCTTCTATTCTTCTAAAAAATTATCAATACATTCATGATTAATATTGATTTAATAGCATCTCAGAATGTAAAACATCCAGGTTGCGATCATTAATTCTTCTACAATATTTAGATGCAAGAAGGTCATATTTCTTTCTTTCTTTCTTTTTTTTTTTTTTGAGATGGCGTCTCGCTCTGTCGCCCAGGCTGGAGTGCAGTGGCGCGATCTCGGCTCACTGCAAGCTCCGCTTCCCGGGTTCACACCATTCTCCTGCCTCAGCCTCCCGAGTAGCTGGGACTACAGGCGCCCGCCACCACACCCGGCTAATTTTTTGTATTTTTAGTAGAGATGGGGTTTCACCGTGTTAGCCAGGATGGTCTCGATCTCCTGACCTCGTGATCCGTCCCCCTCGGCCTCCCAAATTGCTGGGATTACAGGTGTGAGCCACCGCACCTGGCCATATTTCTTTCTTTTTATAAGTCAAATTATATCTAACAGAAACTCCCATGTATCAAGATGTGGAAGATTCCAATTCACGGAGGTTCCTCGTCAGATTCTGTGCCAGACACTGGAGGCTGGTATGGTGGGACTTCATGCTCCTCACCTTCCTGTCTCACTACTTTTCTTGTGACTGCCAATTGCTGGCCCTTTACTCTGAAGTGGGTGAGAGGACCACTGCCCCTGCTACTGGGGAGGGGATGCTCCTCACAGCACGAGAAGTGCCAAGAAGGCAGCAGTCAAACACTGGAACCTTGGCCACACCAACCACATCTGGGGAATTGCATGTGACTAGGGCCTAGCCCAATAGGAATGCTCCTCTTCTGGGAACATCTCCCCAGTATCTTCATTTTGTTTTCCCATTGGCTAGTCCAGCTTAACCCCTTAGACGATTCTAGATCTCCCCAGAAAATACCTAGGTGAGAGTTATCCAGGCAAATTCTCTCCCTCCTTTAAACCCCTAAAGGCTATAATGTGTGTGTGTGTGTGTGTGTGTGTGCGCGTGTGCGTGTGTGTGTGTGTTACAGAGGTCTAATCTGCAGAAGCACAGCTTGGCCTTCAGGAAATAGATGGGAAAAGGGAAAAGGGCCGCTTTATTATTTCCTCGTGCCTTCAAAGCACACACAAAGAAGGTATCAGTACTTTGTCTAATAATTCCTCTGTAACATTGAGCATTTAAAAGTTATTATAATACATTTAAATACCTTGCCCATACAAGTGCATTATAAAATGTAGCAGTAATGAAACAATTAAATGTCCCAACTTAACCTGTCTTCTGGTAAGCCATGAAATAAATTTCTCCCACGACCTCTATGTATATGTTTACCATTTGTGCAAATATACCACCAAATAGTGATTGCAGACAATTTTTATTTTGTCAACAGTCCACTCGTGTAAAATTACACACAAAAATACTACTATAACCCATGTTCATTGCCAGATCCAATTCAATGTAAACCAAGGCCCATTTGTTCACGCATGTGTTTTTATTCTTTTGTCTGTTCCTTTTCTGACTTACATATTTATAATACAGAATGTGAGAACAGTTAGTTCTTTGTGATTATTTAGCTTTAAGACATAGAAAACTGTTCTAGAACCTTTAAAGAGAAATTGCAGGAATTTTTTTAAAGTCCCTTGAAATTACAAGTCAAGATTTTTAAAATTATTATTCTTTGAAACTAATTTTCTGTGTACATCAAGATTTATCAATAGCATGTGAACAAAATAGGAAAGTATGGCCACCTCATGTTGCTTATTTCTTTTATAATAACTAAGTCCTATAAATTGAGCTCACAAAATATTTATATTAATAAAATTATAATTTATCATTTGTAATGTTTGGGTTTTTCTTGTACATTTTTATGTAACAAGAAACAAGTTTTTACTGTTAAAAATGGTTTTAAAAAAATCGGAGCAAGCCTAAGCCCCTTCATTTTATGAATACAATAACCTGAGGCTCATCAGGGCTGGTGACTCACACAGGCGCACACTCAGCATTGCTGGATGTCAGCTCAGGATCCAGAATGCATTTGGACATTTCATGCTAAATTAATAAATGCACTTTAAAATAGGCCCATATTAATCCCAAAGTAACTAAACCTGTGGAATTTGTAAAAGAAGATGTGTATGAATGAGGACATGGCATTTCGACATTAGATCTGATTCTCCCCTTTCTAAAAGCAGAATTGACAGTCTCTATTTTCCCGTTGTGAGATTTCAGAGGAGAGCCTGGTGGCACTTACAGCAGACATCACAGATGTCTCAGCATTTTGGATGAGAATGGTAAAGACCTTCTTTGTTTCATAAAACCTTCATTTTCCAGGGGAGAAAACACAGGTTGAGTCTAAAATCAAGCCTCCTATTGAAATATTTTAATGACGTTGAAAGAGGTTGTTGCATTTGGCAGGTGCACTTGGAGCCATGTGGTCCTGCACTGAAGCCTGACTTCTGAGCGGAGCTAGAGGAGAATTATGTTAATGTGTTTGCACTACTCGCTCAGTTGTAAAAAATTACAAATATATTTAAGCAATGTTTTTTAATGAGGATAAAAGAGTTTAACAATGTTTACACACCTGTTTTAGTTATTACATTCTCTAAGCTATTTTTATCCTCACAACCATGTAAGCATCCCACCCTCTCCATTTCAAAAAGTAGACAGTAACTGAACAAAGCTGTCTACTTT
Source organism: Homo sapiens (assembly GCF_000001405.40). NCBI lineage: Eukaryota > Metazoa > Chordata > Mammalia > Primates > Hominidae > Homo > Homo sapiens. The sequence continues at coordinate 169,241 of NC_000002.12, read as the reverse complement.
TTTAAAACATGATTTATTTCATTATGAAAGTTCATAGTTTATGTAATTATTATCTTTTTGTGGTCTGCATTCAATGGGTTTGGCATCTGCACACTGTCGTGGGTCCACCGTTGTGGTGAAATCGCACACAATGGTCTCACTGCCCTAAACATCCGGAACTCTCTGACCATCTATCCTTCCCTCTCCTCAACCCCTACCAACCACCGATCATTTTACTATCTGTGTAATTTTCCCTTTTCCAAAATGTCACATAATTGGAATCATACAGTATGTAGCCTTTTTGGCTTTTTTCGTTAGTAATGTGCATTTTGGGTCCCGGTATGCCTTTTCATGACTTGATAGGTCTTTTCTCACTGAATGATATTCCATTGTCTGTAGATATCAGAATTTATTTCTCCATTCACCTACTGAAGGACATGTTGATCACCTCCAGTTTCTGGTAATCCTGAATAAAGCTTTTATAAACATTTGTGTGCAAGTTTGTGTGTGGACATAACTCTTCAACTCCACTGGGTAAATAATGAAGAGCACAATTGCTAAATCTTATAATAAGACTATGTGAGCTTTGTAAAAAACTGCCAAACTGTCTTCCAAAGTGGCTGTGCCATTTTGCATTCCCACAGCAATGAATGAGAGTTCTTGTTGCTTCACATCCTCACCAGCATTTGGTGTTTTCAGACTTGTGGATTTTGGCCATTCTAATAGGTGTGTAGTGGTGTCTTATTGTTGTCTTAATTGGCAGTTCCTAATAACATACAGAGCATCTTTTCATATAGTTAGTTTCCATCTGCATATCTGTTCAGCTTTTGCCCATTTTTAATTGGGTTGTTTGTTTTCCTCTTGTTGAGTTTTAACAGTTCTTTGCATATTTCAGATACGAATCCTTAGATATATTTTGCAAATATTTTCTCACAGTTTGGGATTTGTCTTTTTATTCTCTTAATGGTATCTTTTGCAAAACAAAAGTTTTTCATGTTAATGAAATTCAGCTTACCAATTTTTGTCTTCGTGGATCATGCTTTTGGTGTTGTATCTTTAAAAAGTCACCAAATCCAAAGTTAACTAGATTTTTTCCTTATGTTATCTTCTAGAAGTTTGAAAATTTTACATTTTATATATTGGTCTAATATCTACTTTGCATTAATTTTTGTAAGAAGTATAAGGTCTGTTTTTAGATTCTTTTTTTTTTTCTTTTTTGCATATGGATGCCCACTTGTTCCGGCACCATTTGTTAAAAAGACTCTCCTTTCTCCATTGAATTGCTTTTGCTCCTTTGTCAGAGATTAGTCGGCTGTATTTCAGTCTGTTTCTGGGCTCTCTGTTGTGTTCCACTGATGTGTGTGTATGTGTCTTCTGTTTTGTCTTCGATTTTAAAAAATATCTAATTGCTACCTCAATTTGCTTATGAATTCTCATTTGTAAACAGAAAAGCATAAATTAATGCCTGAGTATCTTTTAGTGCAGATGTTGCATTGAATATAATGAGCAGAATGAGTTAAAATGTAAGAGTGAATATAAAAATTTGACCATAGTGGTAACAAATTTGCAAAGTAGTGATGTCAAAGACAGAGTCCATTGCAATATTGCTTCCTCCTTTGGCTCAGCTGTGCTTCACACCAGGCAAGGACCAATCCCTTTTGTGCTTCATTCAAGGATTTCTGTGGGGTGGAAAGCAGAAATATCATGAGATCAGTGGAGGGAAAGAAGACAGTTTTCCAGGCTGGGAGCAGTCAGATCTCCGGTGGGTCCCAACACTGCTCTGTAGCAATGCCTAGAGGGTGATGGAAACAGAGACAGAGTGAAAATGAGGTTGGTGCTGGCCTCAGGGTTCCCAGTGTTACCAGATTCACATGGTCTATAAGACCCCCGAAATGAGACCTTCTGGGCTTTGGGGGCCCCTGCGGAACTGGAAAATGGGGAAGTGAGCAGTGACAATCTAGACTGATTATTAGAGGTGTGTCTCCCACTTTTCAGAAACCAAGGAGCCTTTGATCAGTAGTGTAATTGTGGCACCCCAACAATGGTGGAGTGGAATGTCCTGCCATTCTTGAGGGTCGATGGCTCAGGGTCAAGAATGAACTGATCAGAAAAAAAAAAAAAAAAAGAAAAGGTTTTTCTTTTTTTGCGTATCTGATTTTGTGAATGAAGAGCTACACAGCTGTGAAATGTGCAAATCATTGGCTGTTGTTTCTTATGTGCACACCAGGAGTATCAAGTCCAAAAAGAAGCTCTTCAAACCATCTGGGAAGAGAAAACAGCATGACAAGGAAAGGTGTATTTGTCTGATTCTAGGAATCAATATAAACATCCATGATAACCCCATCTAATTTTTAAATGTATGATTTGGATGAAACAAGAGAAGACACTGATTGTTGCTGAGTCCCTGCTGTAGTCCTGACACAGCTGGAGATGCCCTGCTCTCCTTATTTTCTTGATGCTCATGAGGACCCTGATGTCTAAGGAAGAAGGTTCTCGTCCAGGTCTGCCCCTGGTGTGTCACGTGCCAGCCTTGTCAATGCACACGAGAACCTGACAGGGTGAGTGTTATAACCCAATCATAGGAAAGGAAACTGGCTCTAAAGAAAGTGTTTGGCATCTTGCCCAAGTTCTGACACTTAGCAGAGGCCTGAGTTTAAATGCAGCCTCGTCTTGCTCTTTGACAGCCTCAGCACCACATGCTCTGGGTGGCCCACGCAGTGAGTCACTGACAGCCCTCGTGGTTGGCCCGTGGCACAGCATAGAGCGAAATGGTCCAGTGACCTTTTCAGACACTTGGGCAATTCGTGGTATAGTGTATGCGGTCACTCCCAGTGAGTCCTATTGTTCAGTTTAATAGAATACCTAATTCTATGTTTATTCTGAATAAAGGGAGATTTCTTGTGGTTTTTAAGAATATGAAGCATATCTATTTTGCCTACAAGTTGGAAGTTCCGATACTATAGGAAGCATAAGTGCAGGTTTTAATGATGGGTCTTTTATAAGACTGAATTCACATCAAACTGAATCAGTAACTCCAGATGTATGAACAGGGTGAGACATTAAACATTTAATGAAGAAATTTCTTTCTTAGGCCACAGCAAAGACTAGATATAGCTAATTATCATGCCCACTAAGATGTATTGTGATATTTGCAGTTAATCACTCATTCAGTTCAAAAGGTATTTATTAATTGTCTGCTCTGGGCATAATATCAATTGGAAGCAGTGTGTTCACATGAAAAAAAACTTACCTGAGGCTCTAAGTCACAACTTTCCATGACCAGCACATGTTTCTAATTTGAAATACATATCTAAAGCTTAAAATGCATAAGTAGATATCACAATCTAGAACTAAATTAATAGTTGCTTTGAATTAATTGTTTAAATTATCCTGGGAATCAGAAAGGTATATCTACATGAAACAATAAAGTCTATATTAGAATAAGTAAATTTTAGAAGAGCATTTTAATCTTAATATATAAACATACTACCTAGGCACACTGTTTAAATACATCTGCAATGTACTATTTTTAGATTTAAGTAAATCATTAAACCTTAAAGTTGGAAAAGATTGCAGTGTTAGACCTCTAGACTATAAAACCTGAACGTTTTTCTAAAAGTTTTGAGTTTTTATCCAGAAATACAGATTTTCCTAGCACTGAGAACTGCAAGAAATTTCACTTGGAGTATCCACATAGTCAACCATGTGATGTCAACATCAGTGTAATAGATACTATCACAAGCATCCTGTGACTTTTATATTTCTTTTATTTATTATTATACTTCAAGTTCTGGGATACATGTGCAGAACGTGCAGGTTTGTTACACAGGTATACACGTGCCATGGTAGTTTGCTGCACCCATCAACCTGTCATCTACATTAGGTATTTCTTCTAATGGTATCCCTCCCCTAGACCCCTAACTCCCAACAGGCCCCAGTGTGTGATATTCCCCTCCCTGTTTCCACGTGTTCTCATTGTTCAACTCCCACTTATGAGTGAGAACATGTGATGTTTGATTTTCTGTTCCTGTGTTAGTTTTCTGAGAATGATGGTTTCTAGCTTCCTCCATGTCCCTGCAAAGGACATAAACTCATCCTTTTTTATGACTGCATAGTATTCCATGGTGTATATGTGCCATCTTTTCTTTATCCAGTCTATCATTGATGGGCATTTGGGTTGGTTCCAAGTCTTTGCTATTGTGAATAGTGCTGCAATAAACATATGTGTGCATGTGTCTTTATAGTAGAATGATTTATAATCCTTCAGGTATATACCCAGTAATGGGATTGCTGGGTCAAATGTATTTCTGGTTCTAGATCCTTGAGGAATCGCCACACTGACTTCCACAATGGTTTAACTAATCTACACTCCCACCAACAATGTAAAAGTGTTCCTATTTCTCCACATCCTCTCCAGCATCTGTTGTTTCCTGACTTTTTAATGATTGCCATTCTAACTGGCACGAGATGGTATCTCATTGTGGTTTTGATTTGCATTTCTCTAATGACCAGTGATGATGAGCTTTTTTACATATGTTTGTTGTCTGCATAAATGTCTTCTTTTGAGAAGTGGCTGTTCACATCCTTTGCCCACTTTTTGATGGGGTTGTTTTTTTCTTGTAAATTTGTTTAAGTTCCTTGTAAATTCTAGATATTAGCCCTTTGTCAAATAGATAGATTGCAAATATTTTCTCCCATGTAGGTTGCCTGTTGACTCTGATGATAGTTTCTTTTGCTGTGCAGAAGCTCTTTAGTTTAATTAGATCCCATTTGTCAATTTTGGCTTTCATTGCCATTGCTTTTCATGTTTTAGTCATGAAGTCATTGGCCATGCCTATGTCCTGAATGGTATTGTCTAGGTTTTCTTCTAGGGTTTTTATGGTTTTATGTTATATTTAAGTCTTTAACCCATCTTGAGTTAATTTTTATATAAGGTATAAGGAAGGGCTCCAGTTTCAGTTTTCTGCATATGGCTAGCCAGTTTTCCCAGCACCATTTATTAAATAGGGAGTCCTTTCCCAGTTGCTTGTTTTTGTCAGGTTTGTCAAAGATCAGACAGTTGCAGATGTGTGGCATTATTTCTGAGGCCTCTGCTCTGTTCCATTGGTCTATATGAAGATCAGTGATATGTCACTGGAACTTAATTTAATCCTTGCTTGAGGTTAACAAGTTAAGCTTCTCATTTGCAGCATACAGCTCAGGCTTTCCTGAAGAAATTTCAGAGGCAGAAAAAGCACAGCCCTTCAAGGCAGTTTGTACCTCCGCTAACCTAATTATTAGAAATGTTTCCTCGTATGAAGTTGAAGTTGGTCTCCCTCCAGCGTACATCCATTGACTCCAGGTTTCTCCACTGGAGCCACAGATGATGAGTCCATGTGATGCTTCCACAGGAAAGCCCTCCACACCTTGGGGTGGCCACTGCCCCATCCCCAGGAAGAAGAGCTGCTATTTTATGCTCCTGAAAAGTCAGATATTTAACTGCATTACCAAGCATCCATTTCATTGGGGGAAAATGTGGTGAAATCAGATTTAAACCACAGAAATAAAAATTTAACCTGTGGATGCATAGCTGTTTTCAAATTTTTACTTTAATATGCAATATCATTGGTCATATTTGTGGAGCTAAAACTAAAAATAAAAAATAATTGTTCTAAAATGCATGAAAATATGGAAAACAATTCCTCATCCCATCTAGATTTTTTGGTAGGGTTAGGAGTCCCAAGGTGGCAGAATCTGTGAGGAAACACAGTCTCTTCCAAATTTTCTTTTCATTTATCATTAAAAAAACAAGTCTATTATTCTTGCACAAATTAAATTTTGACTTACTTTCTTGTGTAGCCAAAAACTATAACTAATATATCCCAAACAGGTTTGTGAAAAACATGTAGCCCCCAAAGTCCTGTTTGTTAAACATTTTGGAAAGCCAAAGTACCAATTGGAAATAGCAGATTTATAGACCAGAGAAATTTCATTTGACCAGAATTCTCATCCCATCCTCCCGAGGTAGTAAATTATGTAGTGTTACAACTCTAACTTAAAACCATTTGTTTTTTGTCTTTGCTCTCCATTGCAGTTTTATGATTTTAGAACATAAGTTTTATGATTGTTAGTGCTGGGCAACAAAAAGGAGTCCAGAGGAACGGGAGAAAAAACAACAATAGCAATGATGTGAATGCAAAACATGAACCAGACTAAGCAGAGCAGAGGGCGGTGTGGAGCGGGAAGCAGAGACAGAAGCTTGTGATGTTTCAGTGATTGCTGGGAGTTATTCATCACCGGTAAGCCTCATGTTCCAAAGACTCATCAGGGCCAGGGGTTAGTTTTACGAGCTCTGTGTAAAAGATCATTACACAGGGCCAGTTAGAGTTCCCGCAGGAAGGAAGCGGCACACCCTATGGGGTGATTAGGAAGAGTGTCATGAAGGGTGCCACACTCACACCCTAGGAAAGAGGAAAGGGGCCCAAGGGGACTCACAGAGGGAGCAGAGGGTCTGTGGGCCACAGCCAGCCCAACCACAGAGTGGCCAGAGTGACATAGGCCCCCTCTCTGCAGGCTGGTCTCCTGCTTGGGTGTGCCCCAAGTCACCCACCCAGAAGTCAAAGGTCGAGCATGCTTTCCATGAAGTCTGGAGGTACAGAGCAAGGCAGACAGCCACGGGCGTGTCAGGAGGGCAGCGGGAAATGCTCATCCCCTTCTCCAAGAAGAGGGAATCCCACCATCCACAGGTTCTTCCTGCTCTGTCTCAAAGGCGGAGGCAGCTAGAATACTCTGTCAAAAAGCAACCACAGGAAGAACATAATGTCAATGCATGGCTTTATGTTAACATAATTACATTTATTCCAGACAAAGGTTTTTTGTAAATTAAAGATAGATTATGTTGCAACTTTTATACTCCTCTGCCTAATTTAGTGAGTATTTGATATATTCAGATTTATTTTAACCAATTAGTTTTTTTTAATAGAGGCAGGGTCTCAGTCTGTCACCTTGGCTGAAGTGCTGGTGTGATCACAGCTCACTACAGCCTTGACCTCCTGGGCTCAAATGATCCTCTCACCTCAATCTCTCAAGTAGCTGGGACTACGGACGAGCACCACCACAATCACCTAATTTTTTTTTTTAATTTTTAGTAGAGACCAGGTCTCACTAACTTGCCCGGGCTGGCCTTGAACTCCTGAGTCCAAATGATCCTCCTGCCTTAGCCTCCCAAAGTGCCTGCAATTACAGACATAAGCCACCGTGCCAGCCGGCTGATTAAATTAATTATATGTGTGCCTTAACTAAAAAATGAGATTGCTCAATATAGAGTAACTTGTTTTTCTTATAGAATTATCAGAAAGTAATGCTTTTTTGAAATGTTGTTTCACTAAAATATTTTTAATTTGTTTTCTTGGTATTTCGTTATGACAATTTTTTCCTTCTACCTCAACTGCCGTACTGTCAGCATTTCCTGAGGGTCCGATAAGTAGGGAAATGCACCAAGAAGCAACGTGGACCAAGCAATAAAAATAAACAAATAAAAGAAGAAAATCCCACTGCAAAAAAGTCTGAAACAGAATTCTTGACTCCCCGACATTCATCCCTGCCTCAGCCTGTCCCCCATTTCACCCTCCTTATTTCCACACAGGGCTGTGCATCCCTACTCGCTCAGATCTAAAACTCTACACCCTATGCCCAACTCCTCTTTCCTGCACACTTCCTACCAGCCCATCAGAAAGCCTGCTGACTCCTCTCCTGAAGCACTGCGTGAGGGTGACCCCTCCTCCCTGTGAGCACCGCAACAGCCCCAGTGGAACCACCATCCCGGCCCCGATGCAACTGTTTCCCCACAGGGTCCCCACACATAGCCATGGTGTATCCCCTCCAAAACACCCACTCTGCCTGAACACTTCCCCAGCTCTTTATATGACTGCCTTCATTGTATCATTCATCTCTTACCTCAATTGAACTTCCTCAAAGAAGTGTCCTCACTTATTCTACATATGACAACATGAGTAACATCACTCCTTTCCCCAGACTCACTCGTCATTCCATTGCATTTCCCATTTTCTACAGTGATCACAAAGTCTGTATCTAATTGGAAAATACTTATCTGCTTTACTTATCATCTGCTTTAATTTTTAAGTTTTCTTTTTTCTTCTGGACATCAACTTCCATGTTGATGGACGCTGTTGAGCATTTCCTAGGAAGTGTTTAGGTTTGAGCTGCAAGAGCTGCCTTGTCCAAGACTGATTTCCACAGGCTGGTCTCCTGCAAAGCCTCATGGCTATGGCCAAGTGCTTAAGCTCAGATGGGGTGGTGAATTGGTGAATTACACCAGAACCCTGCCATGCCATAGAAGCTACAACTGCAAGGTTAGAAGCTCAGTGCCGTGATCTGGCCAAGTGTTGAAACTCAGATGGGGTGGTGAATTGGTGAATCATGTCACGACCCTTCCATGCCGTAGAAGCCACAACTACAAGGCTAGGAACCCAGTGTCCTGTTGAGAGACAGGACTAGCTGGATTTCCTAGGCCAACTAAGAATCCCTAAGCCTAGCTGGGAAGGTGACCACATCCACCTTTAAACACGGGGCTTGCAACTTAGCTCACACCCGACCAATCAGGTAGTAAAGAGAGCTCACTAAAATGCTAATTAGGCAAAAACAGGAGGTAAAGAAATAGCCAATCATCTATCACCTGAGAGCACAGTGGGAGGGACAATGATTGGGATATAAACCCAGGCATTTGAGCCGGCAATGGCTACGCTCTCTGGGTCCCCTGCCTTTGTATGGGAGCTCTGTTTTCACTCTATTAAATCTTGCAACTGCACACTCTTCTGGTACATGTTTGTTACGGCTCGAGCTGAGCTTTCACTCACCATCCACCACGGCTGTTTGTCGCTGATGCAGACCTGCCACTGACTTCCACCCCTCCGGATCTGACAGGGTGTCTGCTGTGCTTCTGATCCAGTGAGGCACCCGTTGCTGCTCCGGATCAGGCTAAAGGCTTGCCATCGTTCCTGCACGGCTAAGTGCCCAGGTTCATCCTAATCGAGCTGAACACTAGTCGCTGTGTTCCACGGTTCTCTTCCATGACCCACAGTTTCTAATAGAGCTATAACACTCACCACATGGCCCAAGATTTTCCATTCCTTGGAATCCGTGAGGCCAAGAACCCCAGTTCAGAGAACAAGAGGCTTGCCGCCATCTTGGAAGTGGCCTGCCACCATCTTGGCAGCTCTGGGAGCAAGGAACCCTGGTAACATTCTGGTAACCATGAAGGGACCTCCAAAGTGGTGAGTAATATTGGACCACTTTTGCTTGCTATTCTGTCCTATCCTTCCTTAGATTGGAGGAAAATACCGGGCACCTGTCAGCCAGTTAAAAACAATTAGCATGGCTGCTGCTAAGACTCAGGTGTGAGGCTGTCTGGAGAAGGGCTTTCTAACAACCCCCAACCCTTCTGTGGTCTGCCTGGAACCAGCTTCCACTTTCAATTTTCTTGGGGAAGCCAAGGGCAGACTAGAGGCAGAAAGCTGTTGTTCCAAACTCCCTGAATTAGCTGGTTGAGATCATGGTGCAGCCAGAAGTCTCTATTCTACATGTGTGCACCCCTACCTTTCCTTCTGACCCATACTTCCTGGGTCCCAACCATGACTTTCTTGAAAGTGTAGCCCCAAAATTCTCCTTACCTCTGAATCTACTTCCTCCAATCCCTGCCTCCTAAGTACTAATGGTTCAGACTTTCCTTTTTCCTCTAGCAAGTTGTATCTCCAAAGGGATCTAGGGAAGCTCTACGCTGCATCCTCAGGCATCTAGGCTATAAACCCAGGGAGTCTTAGTGTCCCTCCTGATTTAGGTATACAGCTCTCAACATGGGCAGTTATGTGGGACCCATTCCCCACCACTCTTGCCAGGGTCCCAAGTTTGTAAACGGCAGAGAGAGATGGGGAGAGAGAGAGAGAGAGAGAAAGAGAGAGAAACAGAGAGAGACAGAGACAGAGAGACAGAGGAGAGAGACAAAGGAGAGAGATGGAGAGGAGAGAGACAGAGAGGAGAGAGAGAGACAGAGAGGAGAAAGAGGCAGAGAGACAAGCAGGGAGTCAAAGAGAGAAGGAGAAAGATAGAAATAGTAAAAAAAAAAAAGTGTGCCCTATTCCTTTAAAAGCTAGGGTAAATTTAAAACCTATAATTGATAATTGAAGGTCTTCTCCATGACTCTATAACACTCCAATACTACCTTGTTGTCAGTGTAAACAAGGGCGTAGCCTGAAAACACTGAGACCACTGACAACCCGTAGCCTTCCTATTAAAAATCCTTAACCCAGTAACCCGTGGATGGCCCAAATGCATTCAATCTGTAGCGGCAATTGCTTTGCCAACAGAAGAAAGTAGAAAAGTAACTTTTAGAGGAAACCTCATTGTGAGCACACCTCACCAGTTAAGAATTATTCTAAGTCAAAAACCAAAAAGGTAGCTTACTAACTCCAAAATCTTAAAGTATGGGGCTATTCTGTTAGAAAAAGGTGATTTAACATTAACCACTGAAAATTACCTTAACCAAGCAGATTTCCTAACAGGGGATTTAAATCTTAATTACCATACAAAGATCCAACCAGACATAGGAGGAACTCCCTTCAGGACAGGACCATAGATGGTTCCTCCCAAATGATTGAGGAAAAAAAACACAATGGGTATCAGTAATTGATAGGGAGATTCTTGTGGAAGCAGAGTTAGGAGAATTGCCTAAAAAATGGTCTGCTCAAATGTTGGAGCTGTTTGCACTCAGTCAAGCTTTAAAGTACTTACAGAATCAAAAAACTCTATCTCAATCCTGACTCAAAAAGTTAGCTACACCGTCTCTGGAATGAATTTGCATAAGATCTGTTGTTTATGGGGATGCATCTTGATGGGACAACTGGGTTGTTATGAAATACTCAGGAACCCAGCCCAGCTCTAGGACTCACCGCTGAGCACAAAGGCAATGTTGGGCACGCTGGTAAAGGACCACTAGAATCCAGCAGCCTGGACCCCTTTCTTTGTGGTCAAGAAAGGCGGGAAAAGGGGTGCAGGACTGCTATATCAGTAAGTATAACTAAGAATTCAGCCCAGCCAGAGTGCATGTACCTTTTTCTCTCTCAGACTTAAAGCACATTAAAATAGACCTAGGTAAATTCTCAGATAACCCTGATGGCTATATTGATGTTTTACAAGGGTTAGGACAATCCTTTGATCTGACATGGAGAGATATAATGTTACTGCTAGATCAGACACTTACCCCAAATGAGAGAAGTGCCACCATAACTGCAGCCCGAGAGTTTGGTGATCTCTGGTATCTCAGTCAGGTCAATGACAGGATGACAACAGAGGAAAGAGAGTGATTCCCCACAGGCCAGCAGGCAGTTCCCAGTGTAGACCCTCATTGGGACACAGAATCAGAACATGGAAATTGGTGTCACAGACATTTGCTAACTTGCGTGCTAGAAGGACTAAGGAAAACTAGAAAGAAGCCTATGAATTATTCAATGATGTCCACTATAACACAGGGAAAGGAAGAAAATCCTACTGCCTTTCTGGAGAGACTAAGGGAGGCATTGAGGAAGCATACCTCCCTGTCACCTGACTCTTTTGAAGGCCAACTAATCTTAAAGGATAAGTTTATCACTCAGTCAGCTGCAGACAAAAGAAAAAAACTTCAAAAGTCCCCCTTAGGCCCAGAGCAAACTTAAAAACCCTATTGAACTTAGGAACCTCAGTTTTTTATAATAGAGATCAGGAGGAACAGGTGCAAAAGGAAAAACGGGATTAACAAAAAGGCCACCTTAGTCATGGCCCTCAGGTGAGTGGACTTTGAAGGCTCTGGAAATGGGAAAAGCCGGGCAAATAGAATGCCTAATAGGGCTCGCTTTCAGTGCGATCTACAAGGACACTTTAAAAAAGATTGTCCAAGTATAAATAAGTTGCCCCCTTGTCCATGCCCCTTATGTCAGGGGAATCACTGGAAGGCCCACTGCCCCAGGAGACGAAGGTCCTCTTAGTCAGAAGCCACTAACCAGATTGATCCAGCAGAGCAGGACTGAGGGTGCCTGGGGCAAGCACCAGCCCATGCCAATCACCCTCACAGAGCCCCAGGTATGCTTGACCATGGAGGGCTAGGAGGTTAACTATCTCCTGGACACTGGTGCGGCCTTCTCAGTCTTACTCTCCTGTCCCGGACAACTGTCCTCCAGATCTGTCACTATCCGAGGGGTCCTAGGACAGCCAGTCACTGGATACTTCTCCCAGCCACTAAGTTGTGACTGGGGAACTTTATTCTTTTCACATGCTTTTCTAATTATGCCTGAAAGCCCCACTCCCTTGTTAGGGAGAGACATTCTAGCAAAAGCAGGGGCCATTATACACCTGAACATAGGAGAAGGAACACTGTTTGTTGTCCCCTGCTTGAGGAAGGAATTAATCCTGAAGTCTGGGCAACAGAAGGACAATATGGACAAGCAAAGAATGCCCGTCCTGTTCAAATTAAACTAAAGAATTCCACCTCCTTTCCCTACCAAAGGCAGTACCCCCTTAGACCCAAGGCCCAACAAGGACTCCAAAAGATTGTTAAGGACCTAAAAGCCCAAGGCCTAGTAAAACCATGCAGTAGCCCCTGTGAGTCTCTAATTTTAGGAGTACAGAAACCCAACGGACAGTGGAGGTTAGTGCAAGATCTCAGGATTATCAATGAGGCCGTTTTTCCTCTATACCCAGCTGTACCTAACCTTTATACTCTGCTTTCCCAAATACCAAAGGAAGCAGAGTGGTTTCCAGTCCTGGACCTTAAGGATGCCTTTTTCTGCATCCCTGTACATCCTGACTCTCAATTCTTGTTTGCCTTTGAAGATCCTTCAAACCCAACGTCTCAACTCAGCTGGACTGTTTTGCCCCAAGGGTTCAGAGATAGCCCCCATCTATTTGGCCAGGCATTAGCCAAGACTTGAGCCAGTTCTCATACCTGGATGCTCTTGTCCTTTGGTACGTGGATGATTTACTTTTAGCTGCCTGTTCAGAAACCTTGTGCCATCAAGCCACCCAAACACTCTTAAATTTCCTTGCCTCCTGTGGCTAAGGGGTTTCCAAACCAAAGGCACAGCTCTGCTCACAGCAGGTTAAATACTTAGGGCTAAAATTATCCAAAGGCACCAGGGCCCTCTGTGAGGAATGTATCCAGCCTATACTGGCTTATTCTCATCCCAAAACCCTAAAGCAACTAAGAGCATTCCTTGGCATAACAGGCTTCTGCTGAATATGGATTCCCAGGTACAGTGAAATAGCCAGGCCATTATATACACAAATTAAGGAAACTCAAAAAGCCAGCACCCATTTAGTAAGACGGACTCCTGAAGTAGAAGCGGCTTTCCAGGCCCTAAAGAAGGCCCTAATCCAAGCCCCAGTGTTAAGCTTGCCAACAGGGCAAGACTTTTCTTTATATGTCACAGAAAAAAACAGGAATAGCTCTAGGAGTCCTTACACAGGTCTGAGGGACCAGCTTGCAACCCATGGCATACCTGAGTAAGGAAATTGATGTAGTGGCAGAGGATTGGCCTCACTGTTTACAGGTAGTGGCAGCAGTAGCAGTCTTAGTATCTGAAGCAGTTAAAATAATACAAGGAAGAAATCTTACTGTGTGGATATCTCATGATGTGAATGGCATACTCACTGCTAAAGGAGACTTGTGGCTGTCAGACAACCGTTTACCTAAACATCAGGCTCTATTACTTGAAGGGCCAGTGCTGGGACTGCGTACTTGTGCAACTCTTAACCCAGCCACATTTCTTCCAGACAATGAAGAAAAGATAGAACATAACTGTCAACAGGTAATTGCTCAAGCCTATGCCACTCGAGGGGACCTTCTAGAGGTTCCCTTGACTGATCCTGACCTCAACTTGTATACTGATGGAAGTTCCTTTGTAGAAAAAGGACTTTGAAAAGCGGGGTATGCAGTGGTCAGTGATAATGGAATACTTGAAAGTAATCCCCTCACTCCAGGAACTAGTGCTCAGCTGGCAGAACTAATAGCCCTCACTCAGGCACTAAAATTAGGAGAAGAAAAAGAGAGAAGACTCTAAGTATGCTTACCTAGTCCTCCATGCCCACACAGCAATATGGAGAGAAAGGGAATTCCTAACTTCTGAGGGAACACCTATCAAACAACAGGAAGCCATTAGGAGATTATTATTGGCTGTACAGAAACCTAAAGAGGTGGCAGTCTTACACTGCTGGGGTCATCAGAAAGGAAAGGAAAGGGAAATAAAAGAGAATCACCAAGCGGATATTAAAGCAAAAACAGCCTCAAGGCAGGACGCTCCATTAGAAATGCTTATAGAAGGACCCCTAGCATGGGGTAATCCCCTCCGGGAAACCAAGCCCCAGTACTCAGCAGAAGAAATAGGATGGGGAAACTCACGAGGACATAGTTTCCTCCCCTCAGGAAGGCTAGCCACCAAAGAAGGAAAAATACTCCTGCCTGCAGCTAACCAGTGAAAATTACTTAAAACCCTTCACCAAACTTTTCACTTAGGCATTGATAGCACCCATCAGATGGCCAAATCATTATTTACAGGACCAGGCCTTTTCAAAACTATCAAGCAGATAGTCAGGACCTATGAAGTGTGCCAAAGAAAGAACCCCCTGCACTGCAGGTCATACATTTCAATTCCTGTATCTGTAACCTCCTTGTTAAGTTTGTCTGTTCCAGAACTGAAGATGTAAAACTACAAATGGTTCTTCAAATGGAGCCCCAGATGTAGTCCATGACTAAGATCTACCATGGACCCCTGGACTGGCCTGCTAGCCCATGCTCCAATGTTGATGACATCGAAGGCACCCCTCCCGAGGAAATCTCAACTGCATGACCCCTACTATGCCCCAATTCAACAGGAAGCAGTTAGAGCAGTTGTCAGCCAACCTCCCCAACAGCACTTGGGTTTTCCTGTTGAGAGGGGGCACTGAGAGACAGGACTAGCTGGATTTCCTAGGCCAACTAAGAATCCCTAAGCCCAGCTGGGAAGGTGACTGCATCCACCTTTAAACACGGGGCTTGCAACTTAGCTCACACCCGACCAATCAGGTAGTAAAGAGAGCTCACTAAAATGCTAATTAGGCAAAAACAGGAGGTAAAGAAATAGCCAATCATCTATCACCTGAGAGCACAGTGGGAGGGACAATGATTGGGATATAAACCCAGGCATTTGAGCCGGCCATGGTAACCCCCTTTGGGTCCCCTCCCATTTTATGGGAGCTCTGTTTTCACTCTATTAAATCTTGCAACTGCACACTCTTCTGGTCCGTGTTTGTTACGGCTCGAGCTGAGCTTTCGCTCACCGTCCACCAGTGCTGTTTGTCGCTGTTGCAGACCCACCACTGACTTCCACCCCTCCGGATCCAACAGGGTGTCTGCTGTGCTCCTGATCCAGTGAGGCACCCATTGCTGTGCTGGACTGGGCTAAAGGCTTGCCATTGTTCCTGCATGGCTAAGTGCCCAGGTTCATCCTAATCGAGCTGAACACTAGTCACTGGGTTCCACGGTTCTCTTCTGTGACCCATGGCTTCTTTTTTTTTTTTTTTTTTTTGAGATGGAGTCTTGCTCTGTTGCCCAGGCTGGAGTGCAGTGGTGCCATCTCAGCTTACTGCAAGCTCTGCCTCCCGGGTTCACGCCATACTCCTGGCCACCATGCCTGGCCTGACCCACAGCTTCTAATAGAGCTATAACACTCACCACATGGCCCAAGATTCCGTTCCTTGGAATCCATGAGGCCACGAACCCCAGGTCAGAGAACAAGAGGCTTGCCGCCATCTTGGAAGTGGCCCACAACCATCTTGGGAGCTCTGGGAGCAAGGACCCCCTGGTAAGACTGTCATATCAGGAGAGAGGCCGTTGCTTTTCTGATTCTGCAGTTTTATTGCCCAATATCTCCAGAGTTTGCCTCCTACCTAGAATCTTCCTACAGCTACCTGTGAACCACACCTGTAGCTGACTGCTGCTCCCAGGGGGCAAATTATCCCAACAAAACTTAGGAGTGCCTTTGTTTGACAATGTCTTTAACTAGATTTGGGATGCAATATCACATATAAAGATTTTGCAGCCACTCTACATATCACTATTATATTAAATTCTTATTGTTTTGTTGTTCTTATATGACTGAATTTCACCATTAGGGTGTCTTCTCTATTCCTGGTAACTTTGAAAGCAGTAATTTCTCAACAAATATTTGTGAAAAAAATGAAAGAATGAAAAACAAAGTATGGTGAGGGCACATTTTTATGGCTTTTGCCCCTTCAATTTTTTTTGTACATAAATAAGATAAAGTAAAACCATTTAAAACAATTTCAAAACATTAATAGACATGCACTCTTCAGTATATGAAAATTTACTGACATATTATTGAGTAAAGCAAGCATATCCAGGCATATTCAACTACACCCAGAGTAACATCTCATTAGGGTAAAGTAACATATAGATATATGCAAACAGAGATGTCTAGAAAACTGTTCACCAAAACTAACAGGGATATCTAGGGTGGTGGAATTTTAAGTGAGTTTTTCTTTGTGCTTGATTAAAGTTATTTGGGTTTTTTGCAATTATATGCAAAATTTTATTTTAAAAGAAAAGTTATTTACAGAGTTCCACCTCTGGTATGGAAAAGAAAGCTTTGAATATTCAATTGGAAACTCTAAATTCTGAATATATAAAAGCAACTACCTGAAAGGTCTGAAGAATAAAAAAATTGTTACTGGTAGAAGGTGTCCAGGTGCTTGGCATCTTGAAGCAAGAATTGGACAAAACACACAAACGAACTGTGGAAAGCAAAAGCAGGGATTTGTTGAGCGTGAAAGTACCCTCCACAGTGCGGGAGTGGGCGGGCATAGAGGCTCAAGAGCCCCACTTACAAAATTTTCTGGGGCTTCAATACTCTAGACGTTTCCCGTTGGTTACTTGGCGAATATTTTATGTAAATGAAGAGAGTGAAGTGAAGTCACAGAGTCTTTTACTCAGAATGTGCCCTATTGTAAATGGAAAGGATGTTACTTGGTGTGTGTGGTCTATGTAAATGGAGAGGATGAATCTGAAGTTACAAAGCCATTCACATTCCTGTCATTGCTGAAGTGCTTTCATTTGATTTAGTTCTAGGAAGTCAGCATGGATCAACCTTATGTTCCCTGCTGCCAGACCCTATTCTCCTACCTCAAAATGACAACAGATTTTGAAAGAGTAACAAAATATGAAAGAAGTTATCAGCACAATGTAAGCTTCCCATTTTTGTGGCTTTGTCCTGAGGGAAGGCCATGAATATAGTGTAATTCGGGGTTGCTAAAACTTCACTGAAAAGCACATTGCCTTTCTGGCCTGGGAAAGACCCAGGTGGCAGCAGCCACTGGGAATTGAAGGTGAATCTGGGAGAGGAGAGCGTTGGAGAGGTGAGCATTTGTTCATTTGTTCTGTTGTAAACTCTGCCAGTCTCTGGCTAACATGCAACGTGTGGGCAGGACAGGCTCAGGGCTAAGGGAGTAAACAGATATGTGAGTCACTATCCATTGCAGGTAAGAACAAGTTTGCAGTTGCAGATATAATATTTATATATATATATATAAAATACAGCAGAACCCAGAGTCTCCATGGCACAATGTCCAGGATTTGCTCTCAAATTACTCAAAATATGAACAGAAAAATAAACTCATTCTTTAGGGAAAAAAACTTATCAAGAAAAGGCCAGTCCAGGTGATGTCAGCAATATGGTGGAGCAGGAAACACAAGCCTTCATTTTCCAAAAAAACCAATAGTTAGACAGCTATGCACAAATTAAAATGGGCTTGGGAGGGCTTAAAGGTCTGATTAGAGCCTGAAACAAGGCAGTAGAGTAAAAAATGGAGAAAGGGTTGCTGGGGAGATCAGATTAATGGAGATTGCTGTAGATGGCTGGAAAAGAGAAGGGCAGAGGCTACCAGTGTCAGCCACATGGTGGGTGCCACAGAGGTCCCTGTGGCTGACTCTGCAGAAGACAATGACAACTTTTGCCACTGAGGCAACCAACAACTATCACTGACACAGACACCCCAGAGAAGAAGGCATTCCTTCCTCTGAATGTTTCTTGCTGTGCCCTCCCAGAAGGAGCCACTATTGTGTCACCTCAGGACCAAGGCCACCACCTCCTGAACGCTGCATGTGCCCTGGACTCTGAAGCTGAAGCTGTTCCACTCACACCCATGCTCCAGGTCCTAGCTCCATGGCCACACCATGCACAACCACACCTCAGACACCAGAGCCGCTGCCCTGTGAACCAGCCCCACTCCTGTCCCTCAGGAGGGACCTGTACCCTAAACTGCCGCTCCCGAGCACTTAGGTCTTGGACATAAGAACCACTGCCCCACAGTGGGGTGTCCCATCTCAGGCCCCACAGCTTCACTGATCTGCATGTGCTTGTGCTTCACATAAAGTGAGGCATCAAAAACAGAAAATGTACATGTTGGGGGCAAAAAGGAAGACTGTTTGCATGCAATTGAAGTTAAGTTGTTATCAGCTTAAAAGAGACTGTTATTACTAAGATATTATACATCAGCTTCCTGGTAACCACTGTGAACCCCGAAAATTTGAGACAGGTCTCAGTTAATTTAGAGTTTATTTTGCCAAGGTTGAGGACATGCCCATGACACAGCCTCAGGAGGTCCTGACATGTGCCCAGGTGGTTGGAGCACAGCTTAGTTTTATACATTTTAGGGAGACATGAGACATCAATCAATATGTGTAAGAAGTACATTGTTTCAGTCTGGAAAGGTGGGACAACTTAAAGCAAAGGCAGGAAGACTCAAAGGGAGGAAGGGGCTTGCTTCTAGGTCACAGATAGGTGAGGTTGCATTCTTTTGAGTTTCTGATTAGCCTTTCCTAAGGAGGCAAATCAGATATGCAACTATCTCAGTGAGCAGAGGGGTGACTTTGAATAGAATGAGAGGCAGGTTTGCTCTAACCAGCTCCCAGCTTGACTTTTCCCTTTAACTTAGTGATTTTGGGTCCCCAAGATTTATTTTCCTTTCACACCACAATGCAAAAACCTATAGTTGATACACAAAAGATAGAGAGAAAGGAGTCAAAGCTTATCACTGCAGAAAATCATCAAACCAAAAGGAAAACAGCAAGAGAGAAAACAGGCAGAAGAAATCTATAAAACAGCCAGGAAACAACACAATGTCAATATAATCGTCCTCAGGTTTTCATGGAGGATGCATTCTAAGACCACCAGTGAATGGCTGAAATCCTGGAAAATCCTGGAGCCAACTAAACACATTTCTGTTCCTCTCTTCCACCCACAAATTTAATGCCTTTTTCATCTTAACTAAGCACTTGTAATACTTATCACTGTGGCCACAACTTTTGCAATTTGAGGTGAGACAGCAAAACTAGCACAAATGTTTTTTCCTTCTTCACAATTTCATGACTAGAAGTGTGTAAATAAATGAAAATGACTGAGGCAAGTTTTAATCATTTTAGGAGGTTTGTTTGCCATTGTTGAGGAAGTGCACCTGGGAGGTAGGTCTATGTCTTTTTCCAGGGATTATTTTGAGGGCTTCAATATTTAAATGGGAAGGGGCAGATATTAGAAGAGAAATAATTTTTGAAGTATTGGTGGATAGAGAGAGAGAACGGTTGCATCTTTTTGAGTCTTTGATTAGACTTTTACTGAATACACAATTTTCATGTGAGATAGAGGCAGAGGAAATAGTCACTTATGCCTTCATCTGGCCCAGCGAAGCTGCATTTTTACATAAGCTAACACAGACAATAGGGCAGAAGAAGCAACCAGATATGCATTTGTCTCAGGTGAGCAGAAGGATGATTTTGAGTTCTGTCCTTTGTCCCACACCTGTGAAGATAAGCATCAACTTACATTGCCAGGGTGAAATTCAACAGAACTGTTGCAGAATAAAGATCTTGGGGCCTACAAGAAATTCCTGGTGGGCAAATTGTGAGGGAGGTATGTAGCTTTTAATCTTTATAGTCATCTTATTTAGGAACCAAAAGGGAGGCAGGTTTGCATGACCCAGTTCCCAACTTGACTTTTCTCTTTGGCTTTGTGAGTTTGGGGTCCCAAGATTTATTTTCCTTTCACAAAAGATTGTATGCGGAGGTTGCTAAGATTTCTTACCATAGATCTTAGCAACCTCAGCATACAATATTTTTTCCTCAGGAAGTTGAGAACTTTCTCACCTATTCACTTAAAGAAAAGACTTTAAGGCTTCTCTTTGGCATCTCTGAATTGCCAGCATCACTGCTCTCACAGTTTGGTGCCATTATTAAGTAAAATACAGGTTGCTTAAACATAAGCACTATGATATCATGACAGCTGATCTGATAACCAAGATGGCTACTAAGGAACTAACCGGTGGGTAGTGTATGGATTCACTGGACCTGCTGTAGCATGGATACATTGGACAAATCGATGATTCTCCTCCTGGGCAGGATGGTGCAAGATTTCATCACACTACCCAGAACAGCACACAATTTACAACTTAAATCATGTTTATTTTAAGAATTTCCCACTTAATATTTTCAGACTGCAGTTGACCATGCATAACTGAAACAGTGAAAACAAAACCACTAATTAGGGGGACTAATATAGTAAGTTATTAACTATTGATAATCACCTTGAATTTAAATGGATTAAATTTGCTAATCAAAGACATTGAGTGACAGAATGAATTTTTTAAAGACTCAACTATATGCTGTTTGTAAGGGACTTACTTTACCCTTGAGGACACACATAGACTGAAAGTTAAGGAATGGTAAAGATATTCCATGCACATGGAAACCAAAAAGGAGCAAGGGTTGCTATACTTAGATCAGATAAACTAGACTATAAGTTGAAAACTGTCATAAGATACAAAGAAGGGCATTGTATAATAATAAAGCAGTAAATTCATTGAGGGTATAACAATTGTAAATATATATGCACCATACATCTTTATAAATTAAGAACCTAAATATATAAAGCAAATATTAGTAATTCTGAAGGAAGAGACAGACAATAACATAATAGTAGTAGAAAATTTCAGTACCACTCTGAACAATGGGTAGATTATCCAGAATGATATGGTTTGGCTGCATCCCCACCCAAATCTCACTGTGCATTGTAATAATCCCTGTGTGTCAAGAGTGGAGCCAGGTGGAGATCATTAAATCATGGAAACAGTTTCCCCCATACTATTCTCGTGGTAGTGAGTAAGTCTCATGAGATCTGATGATTTTATAAATGGGAGTTTCCCTGTACCAGCTCTCTTGCCTGCACCATGTAAAACATGACTTTGTTCCTCATTCACATTCCGCCGTGATTGTGAAGCCTTCCCAGCCATGTGGAGCTGTGAGTGAATGAACCTCTTTCCTTTATAAATTCCCAGTCTCAGGTATGTCTTTCTTAGCAGCACAAGAACAGAATAATACACAGACAAAATTTAATAAGGAAATATTGGATTTCAGATATACTTTAGACAAAATAGACCTAATGGACATACACAGAATATTCCAAACAATGACAACAGACTACACATTCTTCTCAAGCTCATGTAAAATACTTTCCAGGATAGAGTATATATTAGACCATAAAACAAGTCTAAAATTTAAGAAGACTGAAATCATATCAAGCATCTTTTCTGACCACATTGGAACGAAACCAGAAATCAGTAACAGGAGAAAAAAAGAGAAATCCATGAATATGTGAAATGAAACAACACACTCCCAAACAACCAATGAGTGAAAGAAGAGTCAGAAAGTAAATTTTAACATGCCTTCAGACAAATAAAAATGGAAATCCAACATTCCAAGTCTTATAGAATGCAGTGAAAACAGTATGAGATTTTTATAGTGATAAACATCTACATTTAAAAAAATCACAAATAAACAACTTAATGATATATCACAAGGAATAGAAAAAGGAGAACAAATTAAGCCCAAATTAATAGAAAAAAATGAAGCAACAAAGATTATTAATAAAGAGCAGAAATAAATGAGACTAGAAAAATGATTTTAAAAATCAATGAACAGTTGGATTTTTAAAAAGATAAAATTTACAAACTTTATCTCAATTAATTAAGAAAAAAGAAGATTTAAATAAATAAAATCAGAAATAAAAGAAGAGGCATTACAACTAATACCACAATAGTACAGAAGTTCATAAGAGATTACATAAAAATATATGCCAATGAATTGAATAAACTAAAAGAAATTGTCAATTTTTTAGAAACAAACAACCTATCAAGACAGAATCATAGAAAACAGAAAATATGAACACACCAATAATGAGTAAGAAGATGAATCAGTAATCAAAAGTCTCCCATCAAAATAAATAAATAAATGAATGAATAATAAATAAAAGAGCTCAGGACCTAGTGGTTCCACTGGGGAAATCTACCAAACATTTTAAATGAGAATTACTACCAATTTTTCTAAAACTCTCCCCCAAAATTGAAGAGGATGGACCACTCCTAAACTTGTTTTACAAGGTCAGCATTACCCTGATTCAAAAGCCAGACAAGGACACCATAAGAAAAGAAAATACAGGCCAATATCGCTGTCAAACAAAGAAGCAAAAATCTTCAACAAAATGTTAGCAAACCTTATTTCACAGCACATTAAAGTATTATACATCCCAAACATTTATCCTTGGGATGCAAGAATGGTTCAACATATGCAAATAAATAAATGTGATACATCCTGTTAACAGAATGAAAAGAGACAAAAACCACATGATCATCTCAATAGTTACAGAGAAAATATTTGACAAAATTCAACATACTTTCATGATACAAACTCTCAATAAGTTACATAAAAGCCTTACATGGAAGCCCACAGCTACCATCATATTGATTAGTGAAATGCAGAAACCTTTTTCTTTAAGATTAGAGAAAAGAGAATGCCTACTATCACCACTTCTATTCAGCAGCATACTGGAAGTCCTAGCCAGAACAATTAGGCAAAAAAAAAAAAAAAAGAAAGAAAGAAGCAACCAGGCCAGGCGTGGTGGCTCACACCTGTAATCCCAGCACTTTGGGAGGCTGAGGCAGGCAAATCACCTGAGGTCAGGAGTTTGAGACCAGCCTGACCAACATGGAGGAACCCCATCTCTACTAAAAATACAAAATTAGCTGGGTGTGGTGGTGCATGCCTGTAATCCCAGCTACTTGGGAGGCTGAGGCAGGAGAATCACTTGAACCCGGGAGGCAGAGGTTGCAGTGAGCCAAGATCACACCATTGCACTCTAGCCCACAAGAGTGAAACTCCACCTAAAAAAAAAAAACAAAACAAAAAACAAAAAGAGGCAACCAAAGAGAAAAAGAAGTAAAAGTGTCTGCTTGGAGATGACAAGAACTTATATATACAAGCATACCTCAGAGATATTGCAGGTTTGTCTTCAGTCCCCTACAGTAAGGACATGTCATAATAAAGTGAGTTACACAAACTTTTTTTGTTTCCCAGTGCATATAAATGTTATGTTTACATTATCCTGTGGTCTATTAAGTGTGCAATACCATTATGTCTAAAACAATGTACATCCCTTAATTAAAATACTTTATTGCCAAGAAATGCTGATACAGGTACATGAAGTGAGTACATGCAGTTGGGAAAACAGTGCTAATAGACTTGCTCAATACAGGATTGCAACATGCCTGCAATTTGCAAAAACAAACAAACAAAAACCCACATTGTCTGCAAAGCACAATAAAGTGAAACTCAAAAAACAAAGTACACCTGTAGAGAGAGAAAAAAAGATACGACTGTGAACAGACTAATGGACAATAACAAAAGTTCTAAAATAATTAACACGTAGTTGAAGTTTCACCATAACAGAAGAGACAGAATGAACAAAAAACACTTGAAATAATAGTTGAAGCCTTCTCAAATTGTTGAAAGATAAATTCACTGATTCAAGAATCTCAGCAAAACACCATCAAGATGAATAAAAGAGAAACACGACTAGGCATATCATAATTATAAGGAATTAAGACATTTCGTTAAAAAGAGAACGTATTGCCAACATATTTGAACTACAATAGAAATAAATTGTCTTGGAATTTCCTAAAAAAACCATGATATTCATGCCACCATAACTATGAACATTCATTCAATTCTAAAATAACCCTTGAGTGCTTCCTCTGGGCCAGGCACTGTGATATGTTCTAGAAATACACGGCTCCTTTGGCTCATTACCTTCCCCACCTGGCAAACATCTATTCATCTTTTGGGTCTCAGCTCAAGCACTCTGTCCTTTGTAAGTCCTTTGCAAACTGCTCCAGATAATTTACCTTTTTCACATCAAGAGTGAAACTGATTAACAGGCTCATATTTTGAGCCAGGGCTTTCGTTCAGCTTGGGAGAGTGATGCAATTAAATGAAAAATGTCAAATATCAAATTTGAAGAAAGCCTTTGTAGCATAAAGGTCGAAAGAAGCAAACAGAAAAGAAACACAGAGATAACAAAGACAGGAGAAAATTTTTTTCTATTACATTTAGAAGGTGGTTTTATAATCAGCTATGAAGCTCTAACAGGGGCTCTTGAATGCAGGTTTCTGATAACTTTGGAGATTTTGACATCAGAATAGAGGAAAAACATTCAGGAATTTGAAGAGCTAAAATTTTCATTAATATCAAGCAGGACAGGAATTAACTGCATAAACTGAACCAATAGGAGACTGGAGTGATCCTTTTGGCATTTTGCTTAAAATATTGCCAATCCTTTGTTTTGCTTTTCAGAGTCAAGGAAACTTTTCTTTTGAGCTATTGACAGCTTTTTAACAACTTAGTATACTCCCATGAACAAAATTTGGAGTATATTTGTTTCTCTCTACTTGGTATTCTCCAGAATTTGGAAACTATTTGTGAGTATTCTCAAGTTACGGCAATATACTTATTTGTGTAAGTGTAGTAAGAATCTGTCTTCTTTTGTAACAGGACACAATTGGAAAAACTGGTTATTTTACCAAGGCTTTGACTGGAATTGTATTCTTTCCTTTTAGGAATCAAACTTAACTCATAAAGCCAATAAAGCCCTTGGGAAACTGGCCTCCTATTCCATGTACACAGTCCCTGTACAGGGTTTCTGATCTGTGGTAAGTAAAGAATGTCACTTTCTGACAGGCCAGGAACCCCAAGTTATCTTGGAACCTCAAAAGGAGAGGAATTCACCCAACTCATAGGTATTTGATGGTACAAATCCATGGCTGGGCTTGGCTTTAAAAAAGCCTTATCTCAGATTCCTTCTACAGAACAAAGTTCCATAAAAGCCAGTTTAAAAGGCTGATGTGAAAATAATTATTCTTGCTGCACTTTATACAGATAATCTGACCAATTATAATAAAGCAAATTAGTCCTACCATGATTTGTCTTTTAATAAAAATGGGAAACTGGAGAGATAAAAATTATGTTTCAGAAACTATAGTACACTTCTTGCTAAATTCTAGTCTTGCCTGATGTTTTCCAGTTTTTATTATTTTCTATGGTTGAGATTAAATTCTAATTTTTCTGGCTACAGGTCTCCAAAATAATGTTTTCAGTTTTTTCCTTTTTCCCCATTTTTCCTGATTGGAAATCACGGAAACCTAAGCTGTGCTTTCATAAAGCCCTGTGAACTGAAGACTAGACAACTTAAACCTCAGAAGAAAACAGCAACAACCTGTTTACATGTGTTACTGTTGCATACTATTACGTTTCAGCAGGCGCTGCCGCTAAGCTCCTGAAACAGAGAGTGCCGCTGGGAAGAAATCGACCTCTCCCACTCCAGTGCTGCACACAGTGCCCCATCACGACGACCCCCTCTCAGCAGGAAGCAGCCAGGAAGATTACAATGCCCCATCTCCCTACGATTCTCGTGATAAATAAATATACAAGCATGGTAGAAATCATGTGCAAATTGACAGTGGGGATTGTGGCGGGCCAGGTCTCACTAATGCAGGCCTCCTTCACAACTGTTTCAGTACTGACTGAGTGGTTAAGTTAAATATTAAAAGCTAAAAAAGCCAGTGCCCTTTCACAAAGGCTGGAATGTAACAAAAGCCCACCCAGAGTTTTGCCTAAGCTTTTCATGGGCCTTAAAGCATGACAAAATAAGGAAGGAATTCTGAACAGGACTCGTTTAGGATTAAACAAGTTTTATTATCTGTATTTAATAAATGTATTCATATAATAAATATAAATTTGTTTTAAATGTATTTATAAAGATATTTAAAGCCAAAGAATATAAACTTTTCAATAGTTCAAATCTATATTGCTGCTTTGCTTTTCTGATAGATTGTTCCAGTTTATGGTTTATCATTAAACTATTTACAGGATGCTGTCTCATTTTTAAAACTCATAATCTGAAAGATATTTAATGCTTATTTTTATTAGTTTTCATAACTAGATTCTATGTTTTTCAGTGTACCCCTTGTTTTATAGTATTGTGATTATTCTTAGTTATAAACCCTTGACCTGGACGTTACTGTCTGGGGATTCAACCTCGAGTCCTTACCAGGAGTCACGGCCATTTCAGTCACAGGTGCGGTCACAGGCGAAGCTCTCGTGAAGCCGAGCTTCTCCTTCACTGTGATGGTGGGCGAGTTATCAGCAACACCTGGCGGGGTCTTTCTTTTTTTGGTTTTGAGACGGAGTATCACTCTGTCATCCAGGCTGGACTGCAGTGGCGCTATCTCGGCTCACTGCAAGCTCCGCCTCCCAGGTTCACGCCATTCTCCTGCCTCAGCCTCCTGAGTAGCTGGGATTACAGGTGCCCACCACCAGGCCCGGCTAATTTTTTTTGTATTTTTAGCAGAGACGGGGTTTCACCGTGTTAGCCAGGATGGTCTCGATCTCCTGACCTCCTGATCCACCCCTGGCGGGGTCTTTCTTAGCACAATGATCATCCAGTCTTGTCACTGGAACTCTATGTAGCTTTTTTCTGGTCAAAATTGATAGCACGTCTCCTTGGGGACTTTTCCAGCATCTGCCACGTGATGGCAGAATAAGCCTAGAAAGATGGCAACCCAGTTAAGTAGTACATCTATGGTGTTTTCCTTTATAGGTAAGCAGTGAACTTAAATCCTGAATTCATAGGTCACTAGATGTTAACTCCAAAGGCGAAATAGCATGCTTGCTAGGAGTTGATCTTATTTTTAACAGGACCAGTAACAACACTCGAATAAGCCATTGGTTTGGTGTAAGTTAACCAAATAATTCTTTAGGGTGTGTGATATGGTTTGGATTTGTGTCCCCGTCCAAATCTCATGTCAAATTGTAATTCCCAGTGTTGGACGAGGGGCCTGGTGGGAGGCAATTGGATCATGAAGGTGAATTTCCCCCTGGCTGTTGTCATGGTAGTGTGTGAGTGCTCACGAGATCTGGTTGTTTAAAAGTGTGTAGCACCTCATGCTTCCCTTTCTTCCTCCTTCTCCAGCGTGTGTAGCACCTCATGCTTCCCTTTCTTCCTCCTTCTCCAGCCAAGTAAGATGTTCCAGCTTGCCCTTCGCCTTCTGACATGATTGTGAGCTTCCTGAGGCCTCCCCCTCAGCATGCTTCCTGTACAGCCTGAAGAACCATGAGCCAATTAAACCTATTTTCTTTATAAATTGCCCAGTCTCAGGTAGTTCTTTATTGCAATGTGAGAATGGACTAATACACTGTGGTTTAGTCATTCTACCAGCCCAGGAGCTTGGTGATAATAAAGAGTATAATAATTTAAAGACCTCTGTAGTGTTTTAAAGAGCCCCTAAATTAGCCCCGTAGAAACCAAATGGCTTATCTACTGGATTTTACATGTTCTGGAATCCCAAAGGTTAGAATGATAAAATTCAGTAATGATATGATCATTGTTTGAGCATTTGCTTTAGCACGTGAACGCCCTCCGGCCATCCAGGCATCATACACATCCCTGCTAAACAATAATTCTTAACTTCCGAGGGCACAACTTCTGTAAAGTCCATGTTTGTCCAGTTCTCAGATCATGTTGGCCTCAGCGGGCTTCTTCGACTTAACTTGGGTGTTTCCCACAAATAACTTTGCTGACAAACAGCACACCTTTGTGTCATTTCCTGAACTATTTGACCCTATAGCAAATGTAGTAGAATTCCAAGGTTTTCAGAGTATTCTTTTGTTCAAATGAGCTTGCTGATGGCATGAAAAATCCACTCAATCGTACAACTGGGGGACAGGAATAATCCTATTGAGGACACCCCATTTTCTTTCTTTCTTATTTTCTAAGTCTTGGAGGGTTGTTTGTTGCTGAAACAGCGAATAGGAGTTCCTCTGCAGCAGTAACGGGGCTTCGACTTCCGCAGTTCAAACTTTATTAGCCCTTTTTACTTCCTTTATATGTTTCATCTTGTTAGGTCTGTAATGCAGTCTACAGTGCATTACAGAAATCTGTAAAGACAATGGCAGTGACTCTAGTAAGACAGCAGTTCGTTTCCCAAGTGATATTTTAGTTCTCATTGATATTAGAAAGCCTCTATTCTTCCAAATTTGGCCCGTGACACGACAGACCCCCAATGCATATTAGCCATCAATTAGACATTCTCCCTTCGTAAGACAATGGCCAATTATGCAGTTTGCATAACAGCTTCGGGTTCTGGCACCTGAGCTGATTTTACATTTGAGAGAACTTAAACCTCCCCATGTGTCTCGCACGAGACCAGTCACTGAGCACTGTTGAGTCAGCATTGGGACCAGGAATATCAGCCGAATCAGACCCAGACTGAGCACCTTGTGCTGTAGCAAAACGTGGCCAGCATCCGGCAACAGAAAGGTCAGATTCAAACAGTTCCTTCTGCCTGGAGTGCAATTCGATAGACTAGTGCATAACTAGTCTGGCGGTGCACCGGTGAGTATGGTGTCTTACAGACTTGCAAGGACTCGTAAAGTAGCAGTAGCCCTTTGCGTTAAGTGTAAGCTAAATATCCTAGAGTCCAAGTAAGAGCCTTTGCAGTCTGGAGGCAGCTGCTGTTACAGCTCATCGACACTCTGGTGTCCCCAGAGCAACAGAGAAGGGCCTGTGGTCAGGGTCTGATTCAAAGTAGCCACACCTCTAGCCTCTCCCTTGTTCTCTAACAGAAAAGACGTTTGAAATGTCATCTCGGGTAGGCACCCAGCACAGATGGGGAAACAAGGCTTCCTTAGGATCTGGAAGACTTCTTCAGCTTATTTAGACCACAGTAAAGTTCTGGTGAACTCCTCATGTGACATCATAGCAAGAGGCTTAGCTTTTTCAGAATAGGAAAGGACCCGTAGTCTGAACCCCCAAACAACCCCCAAACTGGCAGAGTTTGTGTATATGTGTTAGATAGTGTGTGCTTAAGATAGGCTGACTTCAGGATAGAACCGGTTTTCATCTGCCAGCCTAAAACAAATGTCCCAAATTCCTGACTTCACTTTGATAATACTGCAATTTATTTAGAGAAGCAAAATTTTTATTAAATTGAAAGTATCTTGTTTGTAAGCACATACAGTGTTAACAGCTATTAATAAATCGCTCACATGTTGAATTAGTATGAATTAAAGGTGGGGAAAAGTTCTCTTAGTTCTCTTGTGAATGTCTAGAAAGTATAGCAGGCAAATCTGAGGATCCGTCACCACAAATGCGGAAGAAAGAAGATTCCAGGGGCACTCAAAGAAGAGCCTGGTACCTCAGTGAAAAGTACAGAAAAGACGCAGAATGCAGCCCCATATGGAACAATAGGAATCAGAGCAGCCTCAACCTCACGTATTTCTCGCAGAGCTTGTACAAATCTACGGGCAATTTCTTGCCCAGTTTTCATTCTTTTTCCCAGGTAATTTGGGAATATAAAAAGGAAAATGCGCCTCTCTTGACTATGCTCTGTTTTTCTAACTCTCTGAGTTTTTTATTCCTTGTATTTGAGCTAGAATGAGAGGATGTTGATTTACACATGTCCATAATGTTTTTGTTTTGTTTTAAGCTGTGAAAAGGGGATGATCTCCATCTGTTTGTGCTGCTATAACCAAATACCTGAACCTTGGTAATTTATAAATAGTAGGAATTTATTTCTCACAGTCCTGGAGACTGGGAGTCTGAGATCAAGGCTTGGCAAGGTCAGAACCTGGTGAAACTGCTCTCTGCTTCCAAGGTGGCACCATGACAAGCGCTGTGTCCTCAGAGGGGACGAGTGCTTCATCCTCACATGGTGGTAGGGCCAGAAGGGCAAAAAGGTGGAATGCTGTGTGAAGCTTCTTTCACAAGGGCCTTAATTCTATCGTGAGGGAGGAGCCTTATCACCTCATCACCTCCTAAAGGTCCCGCCTCTTAAAACCTCGACATCGGAAATGAAGCTTCAACACACATTTTGAAGGGGACACAAACATTCAAACCAGAGCAGGATTCAATTTCTTTTACTAACCCATATTATTTGTTCCTTGAGCCCTTCTAATTTGAGATGCTTTTATTTTATTTTAATTTTTAAAATAAATTTTATTGTGTATATTTAAGATGTAAAACATGATGCTTTAAGATACATATATATACATATATACAGTAAAATGGTTATTATAGTGAAGCAGATTAACACATCCATCATCTCACATAGTTACCCATTTTTGTTTTTGTTTTTGTTTTGTGGTAATAGCAACTAAAATCAACTCATTTATCAGGAATTCCAAATACAGCACAATTTTTTTTAACACTAGTCCTCATGTTGTACATGAGATCTCTGGACTTGTTTATCCCACACACCTGCTACTTTGTACCTTCTGACCTATATCTTCCCATCCCCCACCCTCTCCAGTCCCCCTGGTAACCCTGTTTCATTCGCTGTCTTTGTTTACCTGTTTTTTTAAAAGATTCAATATGTAAGTGAGATCATGGAATATTTTTCATTCTTTGTCTGGCTTGTTTCACTTTGCATAGTGTCCTCCAGGTTCATGCATGTTGTGGCAAATGGCAAGATCTCCTTCTTTTTAAAGGCTGAACAGCAAAAAACACAATCAACAAAATAAAATGGCAACCTACAGATTTGGAAACAAAATCCAATATTTATAAAGAACTCATACAATTCCATATTAAAAAAACAAACAACCGAATTAAAAAAATGGACAAGGGACCTACATAGCCACTTCTCCAAAGAAGACGTTAAAAGTGGCCAACAGGTATATGAAAATGTGCTCAATGTTATCAGTCACCAGGAAAATGTGAATTAAAGCCACTGTGAAATGTCTCACATCTGTAAGCATGGCTACTATCAAAAAGTCAGGAGATAATAAGTGTTGGTGAGGGTATGTAGAAAAGGGGATGCTTGTACTCTGTTAGTGGAAATGTAGATTGCCACAGCCATTATGCAAAACAGTATGGAGGCTCCTAAGGAAATTTTAAAAAGAACTACATTATGGCCTAGCAATCTCTCCTCTGGGCATATAGTCAGAGAAAGTGACCTTGTGAAAATGTCGGCAGTCTCAGTTCATTGCAGCATTATTCACAATAGTCAAGATATGGGAAAAACCTAAGTATCTATTTGATGAACAAATAGATAATGATAGTTCTTTTATTTTAGAAAGTGCTTATTTACCAACTCCTTGCCTCCTGGGAGCTCTGAAAACACTCCATCTACAGTATGGAGAATCTACTTGTTGAGAAACCTCAGAGAAGAAAGAACAGGGAGAAGGTTGTCTAGAGGTACCCAAAAGTTGGATGTTTTCCTAGGTTGACGTAAAATGATAACCGTCTGTAGAAATTGTGGAGTGTGTGCCTTCAGTGTTCACAAGAAAGATCAGGACAAGCTTAAAGTGGGAAAAGAAAGAGACACATAAATGCCTCCCACCCTCAGCTCTGAGGTTACTTTCCACAATTTTCCAATTACTTTTTGTCCAATTTCCTTAGGCAAAAATCTCTTGGAGATGACGGTAAAGCTTTAGAGTTAGCTTGTATCTCTCAACTCTTCTTGACCCTCGTTTAGCATTCATTTTTCCTCCACTGTCCTGATTTCTTACAACAGTAACATATTGACTTTCCATTACGGGGTTCCTTCTTGTCTGGTGGTGGCCCCAGATAAGGGTTTATTCCCTTTGTGAATAATTCTAACTGGGAAATCTTAAGGGCTATTTTTTTGTCTTCTTTATCTTTCTCCATATTTTCCCAAACTTGGGCTACTTCCCTCAAAACGTGAGAAATTATTCTTGCCACCCAACTACATTTTCCCTTATTTGCTCTCTTGAATTCTCTGCAACAAAGCTGCCACAGAAGTGGAGAGGATCAGGAGCCCGGACCCCCTGAGACATGCCTTGGACTTAGGAAAGGTGAACAGCTGGTGAAAACTCACGGGCCTCATGTGGCTAAGAAGCGTGGCACTGTGGCTTCTCCCAGTCCACCTTCAGTGGAGAGGCTTCAGGAACTGCCCTCGGTGGCCCCTCATGCTGAGCATTCCAGGCACAGCAAGCAGCCTGAGTTGCTGGAGCAGCAAGCAGTTATCCTCCTGGAGCCCGGCATGGCAGAGTGAAGCACGCCTTCCAGGAGAGGGACCCGCTGACAGCATTCCAGAGTTTTCAGAACATTTTACCATTAAAGCCAACAGCAAACCACACAGGGCCTTTCAGCCACATTACCAATTTTACTCAATGGTAACTCAAAACTTCTAGTGAGAGTTTGGGATTTTCCCTGGGAACCCAATTCCACTGAACCAAAGTAGTTGAAGAAACACTTTTTAGCAAATAGTCCCTTATTTGATTAAAGATGGCTACAAATACTCCAAGAAATGTGCCCAGTGGAGGGCTTAGTTGAGGGATCCCATCCTTATAACCAAATTTTTGGGAGGAAAAAAAGGGAAATCTCTACCCAGAGGAACATACCACTTTGTGTAGAATAACCTTTTTTCTTTTTAGTAGACTATTAGTCCATGCTCACATTGCTATAAAGAAATACCTGAAACTGGGTAATTTATAAAGAAGATTTTTTTTCTTTTTTTTGAAACAGTCTAGCTGTGTTGCCCAGGCTGGAGTTCAGTGGTGTGATCTCAGCATCATAGCTCACTGCAGCCTTCACTTCCCAGGTTCAAGAGATTCTCATGCCTCAGCCACTCAAATAGCTAAAGGCGTGCGCCACTACACCTGGTTAATTTTAGTGTTTTTAGTAGAGACGGGGTTTTGCCATGATGTCCAGGCTGGTCTTGAACTCCTGGCCTCAAGTGATTCGCCTGCCTCAGCCTCCCAAAGTGCTGGGATTACAGGTGTGAGCCACCACGCCCAGTCTGTAAAGAAGAGATTTAATTGGCTCACGGTTCTGCAGGCTGTACAGGAAGCACAGTGGCATCTGGGGAGGACTCAAGAAGCTTCTAGTCATGGCAGAAGGTGAAGAGGAAGCAGGCACATCTACATGGCAGAGCAGGAGGAAGGGAGGAGGGTGCTAAACACTTTTAAATAACCAGATCTCATGAGAACTCACTCACTGTACAGTACCAAGGGGATGTACTAAACCATTCATGAGAACGCCGTCCCCATGATCCGATCACCTTCCACCAGGCCCTACCTCCCACACTGGGGATTACAATTCAATGTGAGTTTTGGGTGGGGACAGAGATTCAAACCATATCAGTAGGCTTTATTTCTTAGAGCAGTTTTAGGTTCACAGCAAAATTGAGCAGAAGGTACAGAGATGTCCCATATACTCTTAGCCCCACCTGTGTGTAACACTCCCACCCCCATTATCAACATCACCCACTAGAGTGGTGCATTTTCTTACAATTGATGAGCCTGCATTGCCACCTCATTAATCACCTAAAGTCCATAGTTTATATTAGTGCTCATTCTTGTTACTGTGTATTCTATGTGTTTTGACACATGTACGATGACACGTTTCCACCATCATAGCATCATATGGAATAGTTTCACTGCCCTAAAAATCCTCTGCACTCGGCCTATTCATCCCCGCCTTCACCCAATTTCTAGAAACCACTGATATTTTCACAGTCTCCATAGTTTTGCATTTTCCAGAGTGTCACAGAGTTGGAATTCTACAACATGTAGCCTTTTCAGATTGGCTTCTTTCATGTAGTAGCATGTAAGTTTCCTCCATAGCTCGATAGCTCCTTCCTTTTTACTGATGAACAATATTCCATTGTCTGGATGTACCACAGTATATTTATCCATTAATCTACTGAAGGACATCTTGGTTCCATCTAAGTTTTGGTGATTATGAGTAAAAGTTTTTATTATTGGGGAAAAAAATCCCTGAATGTATGCAGTTATCCAGCAAGTAGTTACAAAGCTACTGTGAATTTTCAGCTCATTTATATGAATAAAACCTACGGTTGTTATACATCACCCTTCTTTTAGTAAACAGTCAGAAGATATTCAGTTTGCACCAATAATTCCATTGAGCTTACTTTGCAATTATTTTCCAACTAATTCTTTACTAGTACTTCCAATGAGTGATTTAGCACATACGATTAATCACACCCTTTAACATGCCTCAGCAATATTAGATTAAATTCACTTTCCCACGTTTCCTAGAAATCTTTTTTTTATGTAGAATTACTGCATCTTTACGTACTGGCTTTACACTTTTTTCTCATCCTTTCCATCTGTTTGCACTGCTTTCTGGATAATCTTTCCTCTCAACCAAAATCTTTCAGGTTACTAATCACTCTCTATATCCAATCAGTTGTGCTGTTCAGAGTTGTGTTTTTTAAATGCTATTTTTATTGAAGTATAATATACACATATGACACGCACAAATCATATTACGCTGAGTGTACAGCTCAGTGAAATATCACTAAGTGAAACATCTTTAAGTACAACCAAGATCAAGAAACAGAATATTTCCCAGTACCCAGAAACCCTATTTTTCCTCTTCACAGTTACCTCCCACACTTCCAGTTTCCTGAAGACAATACCATTCCGGTTAGAATATATTAGTGCTGCCAAGTTTTTGCACTGTGTATAAATGGAATCATAATTGTCCTTTCTTTCCTGACTGGTTTCCCTCAATCTTACTTTTGTGAGATTCAGCCACGTTGTTGTGTGTGGTAGTAGTTTACACTGGCTACTTTTATGTTGTGGTTGGGTTCCTCCAGCCCTAAGGGGGACTCCTCAGGCTCTAGCTGGAGACAACCATGGTAGAGACTTTTCCCATTGGCAAGCATGCTCACTCCTCCAGTAACTCACCCTGCAGTAGACTTTGCCCATTACAATTATAAAAAACACACCCCTAGGTGGAGGTTTTAAATGCTAATGAGACATTTCATGTGTGTACTAGCATGTACAGCCATAGAGCATGTGGAACCACCTAATACATGATTGCAAGTGACAGCCCCTCACATCCCTTCATGAATAATCATGTAAGATCCTCATAAAGAGAGTCCCCAGCACTGGCTGCTGCTGGCTCACTCCCTCTCTCCAGCAACCTGCTCTGCCTTGTCATTCAGTGTGTGCTCTCCCTTTAAATAAACCTCGCTGCTGCCGCTGCTTTCCAGTCAGGCCAGCCCACTCCCTTCTTGAACTGTCCTCTATCTTCCCTCAAGAAACTCTGCTGCTTAACCCTTGCTGTGCATCTCTTGGCTGAATTCTTTCTTCCAAGAAGGCAAGAGCCACAGACCCTGCACCCCTCCCAGTAACATTTGTACGGTATTCTACTGTGCAAATTTATAATAATTTTTCCATTCCACTGTTAATGGACATTTGAATGGTTTCTATTTTTGCTGTTTCTAATAATAGAGCCATCAGCATATGTGCTTTTCTTGTAGGTATATCTAAGAGTAGGAATCCTTGGATCACAAGATACATCCATTTTGTTTAGTTGTTCTTTCCTTACACTATATTTCTTTTAAAATCAAATGCTGTGTGCTTTTTATCTTTCAGAAATTCTTCTAATTTTTTGCTGATTACATTCTTTCTTGTCTTTTTTTTTTTTCCTTTTTTGTGACAGTGTCTCACCCTGTTGCCCAGGCTGGAGTGCACTGAGTGATCTCAGCTCACTGCATCCACCACCTCCTGAGTTCAGTGGATCCTCCCACCTAAGCCTCCTGTGCGGTTGGGACTACAGGCATACGCCACCATGCCAGGATAATTTTTAAAACTTTTTGGAGAAACAAGGTCTCACTGTATTGCCCAAGCTGGTCTCAAAGTCCTGGGCTCAAGTGATCCTCCTGCCTTAGCCTCCTAAAGTCCTGGGGTTACAGATGTGAGTCATCATGCCCAGCCATTAATTATTATCATTTTATTACATCTTTTCTATAATTTCAAGGACTTGGAAGTAGAAAGAGTTAAGAATAGGAATGTTAAATCTTCTGTTTTTATATCAAATCCAAACCACTTTAGATTTCCACCAAAATGAGAAGGCATGGAATTATTACTCTGATTGGCTCAGGAATGAGATGGAGTTTCACTCTTGTTGCCCAGGCTGGAGTGCAATGGGGCGATCTTGGCTCACTGCAACCTCTGACTCCTGGGTTCGTGTGATTCACCTGCCTCAGCCTCCTGAGTAGCTGGGATTACAGACATGTGCCACCATGCCCAGCTAATTTTGTAGTTTTAGTAGAGATGAGGTTTCTCCATGTTGGTCAGGCTGGTCTCGAACTCCTGATTTCAGGTGATCCCCTCGCCTTGGCCTCCCAAAGTGCTGGGATTACAGGCACGAGCCACCGCGCCTGGCAGATTTGGTTTTCTAATGAGCTAAAAGTCTCTCCCTGGCATCTCTCTTGAGTAAAGTCTGTTCATTGGGTTGTGAGTCTCCTTGTAGATTTCTTTACTTCCACACTGTGCTGGCTGGCACCATGGCTGGCTGTGTGAATGAAGGTGCTGCCCCCAGCTGTGTCTCTCTATCCCAAGCACGTTCCATCCACTCTCCTCAAGGCTCGCTTTTTCTCTGTAGGGTTACTGCTCCCCTTTCTGTGGGAAATCTTGCTAACCAAGATTGAAATGGACTCCTCCATTGTTCGGCACCATCAAGTTTGCCCCAAACAGCTAATAAGTAACAGTAGGATTTTCCTATTCATGTATTTTATGTTTTGTGTATTTTAGACATAAAATACATGAATAGGAAACTTGAGATTTTACAACATTATGAATATTGAAAGTTTCAACTCCCTCACTTCCTCAAAAGACTAAAGAAACTGCAACGCTTTACTGTGATAATTACAATGAGGACAAAGCATCATGGCTGTCATAATCAACTAAAAACCCCTGCTGCCGCTTTGCACTTCTCAGTGTGAGGCACAATTTCTGCTTGCTGTCCTCATCTCAGGGGTCCCTAGTCTAACAATGCCTCAATCCAGTTGACACCCATTTATCTTCCTCAACAAGATAAACATAGTGAGATGTTCAGTCCAGGCAGACTAGGTGCATTGCCCAAGGGAGAGGCATTCAGTGGTGGAAGTGAGACCACTGTGTGCTTCTCATTGAGAATTCCCCCTGCAATGTCACCATATACAACCTGGCAGGCTTGGTGCAGGGCTTGCTTTGTAATTCTATGGCCCAGCCCTAGGAAAATTGAGTAAACAATGGCACAGGGTTCGTCTTGATACCATTTATTCCAAGTGCAAATTCTATTGAAAACTTAATGTGAAACAGATCGCCTCTTCTCTTAAATATTATCCATTGTAGTGTCCAACTGAGCAAGTCCTGACCCTAGCATCACATTGTCAGAGTAAGATGCAAAGTGTTAAGAACAGATAATGGTCATGTATCAAGAGTGGATCCCAGTGGGAACATTCCATTTCATGCGTAGTTGTTGACACGTCTGCAGCTTTAAGCTACACAGTTCCAGATGCATTTTTTTAACATGAATACCTCAGCAAATAACTTTAATTTCTATTCACAGATGTCTGTGCATCAGTGTGATTCCAGGTGAATAGAAGCATAGGATCCCTGTGATAGAAAAACATGTTTTAGAGCATTAATGAAAACAGAAATATTACAATGCAGTGGAAACAACAAATGGCTAAGCAAGTGTTACTATGGTCATA
Source organism: Homo sapiens (assembly GCF_000001405.40). Classification (NCBI taxonomy): domain Eukaryota; kingdom Metazoa; phylum Chordata; class Mammalia; order Primates; family Hominidae; genus Homo; species Homo sapiens. The sequence continues at coordinate 131,336 of NC_000002.12, read as the reverse complement.
TGAGCACTATTGTCCCTGAAACTTGCCTCTCTCCAGCCATCAGATTGATTTAGTATTACCAGTCCCTGATCCAGATTACTCTTCTAAACTAAAAACAAAAGGTGGCCATGCACTGTAGCTCACGCCTTTAACCGCAACATTTTGGGAGGCCATGGAGGGAAAATTGCTTGATCCCAGGAGTTCAAGACTAGCCTGGGCAACATAGAGAGATTCCATCTCTACAAAAAAATCTAAAAATTAGCCAGGTGTAGTCGCATATGCCTGTGGTCCCAGCTACTTGGGAGGCTGAGGTGGGAGGATCAGATGAGCCTGAGAGTTTGAGGCTGCAGTGAGCTGGATTATGCCACTACACTCCAGCCTTGGCAACAGAGCAAGACCCTATCTCAAAAAAAAAAAAAAAAAAAAAAAAAAAAAAGAGCAAGAGGAGACTCAGAAAATACAAATTACATTGTAGATTTTGACTAAAATATAACATGTTGACTGGATGCCTCTCATTGCCTTTGAAAAGTAGTTTCTGTAACACATAGACCAATGGTTCTCAAATTGGCTGCATATTAGAATCACACTAAAGCTTTAAAAAACACTAATGCTTAGACTCCTTCTTCAGATACTCTGATGTAGTTATTTTGGGGTGGGTCCTGAGTATTGACACTTTTTTTAAACTCCGAAGGCAAATCATTGATTTAGGTGAAACTCAACACTGCAACTTGCAGGAAACCTAAGACTTCAGAGTTCTAAGTGTTTGGATGACTCCCTGAGCAATCCTCGGCAAAGCTTTGTTCTGCCCACAATATGCAGAAATGTAAGCAGCATCTAGCTAACCATCCATATTGCTCTATATAGCACTCACAAATAACAGCACTAAAGAGTTTAGAACAATTTATTAATTATTCTCCTAAAAAATGAAATGGACATAGACCAAGTAAAACCCTCCCATATCCCAACCCTCGATTGCAACTGTGCCTGCCTACTTCTCCTGATTTTCATTTGAAGATAAGAGGTCTTATGATTTTGAAATGATTTTCCTGTCTACAAAAAAGTTATCTAACCTTAACTTTTAGCCACAGATTCATATCCTCCAAGAAGGTAAAAACATGTCCTGTTCATAGGTATTTTCTGTTTCCTTAAATGAATCTCCTAAGTCTTGCATCAGTCTCCTCCTAAAGACGTCTGTGGACTCTTTGTTCTTGGTGCTGTGCCTTCACTTACTGTGGCATTGTGACCTAGAATACCTTTCATTTTCTTGATAAAAGGTCAATCCTTAAAAGTCTAGCTGAAATCCTACCATCTTTATAACCATTTATTTATTTGTTCATTATCCATTTATTCATTTATTCAGTTGATAAAGAAACATTTATTGAGTGTTTAGTGCAAGACTAGAATTGATATATCTACTCCAATTTAATATGTTTTTTTTAATTTTCTGGTTCTTAGCCATATATTGGTCTATATTAGTGAAGAACAGAAAATGAAGTATAGAGAAAAATTTAAATCAAGGCTAACTTCCGGAAGCCCTAGGCAGAGCAATCAGGCAAGAGAAAGAAATAAAGGGGATCCAAATTGGAAAGAAGGAAGTCAAACTATCTGCTTGCCAACGATATGATCATATACCTAGAAAACCCTACAGACTCCTCCAAAGACTCCTAGGCTTGATAAATAAATTCTTTAAAGTCTCAGGTTACAAAATTAATATACACAAATGAGTAGCACTGCTATGCATCAACAGTGACCAAGCTGAGAATCTCATCAAGAACTCAATCCCTTTTACAGCAGCTGCAAAACAAATAAAACCTAGAAATATACTCAACAAAGGAGGTGACAAAGCTCTACAAAGACAGCTACAAAACACTTCTGAAAGAAATCAGAGATGACACAAACAAATGGAAATATATCCCATGCTCATGCATTGAAACAAATGGAAATATATCCCATGCTCATGCATTGAAAGAATCAATATCATGGAAATGACCTTACTTCCAAAGCAATCTACAGATTCGATGCAATTCCTATCAAAATACTAACGTCATTTTTTCATAGAATTAGAAAAAACAATCCCAAAATTCATATGGAACCAAGAAAAAGCCCAAATAGTCAAAGCAAACCTAAGTAAAAATAACAAATCTGGAGGCATCACATTATCTGACTTCAAATTATACTATAAGGCTATAGTAACCAAAACAGCATGGTACTGGTGTGAAAGTAGATACATAAATCAATGGAACAGAAATAGACTCCCCAGAAATAAAGCCAAAAACTTTGAACCAACTGATCCTCAACAAAGCATACATAGAAATAATTGGAAAAAGGACACCCTCATTCAATAAATGGTGCTAGGAAAACTAGATAGCCACATGTAGAAGAATGAAACTTGATCTCTATCTCTCACCACACACAAAAATCAACTCAAACTGCTTTAAAGACTTAAGTCTAAGACCTGACACCGTAAAAATTCTAGAAGAAAACCTAGGAAAAAGTCTTCTGGACATTGGCCTAGGCAAATAATTTACAAGAAGGAAAAATCCAATTTGTATACTGTAAATGAAATAACATAAGTAAAAATATTTTGTATATACAAACATTAATTAAATATAAGAGATTGTTATTATTATGACTCTTAGGACTTCAGGGAGTTACATCAAAATCATCTTTTTATACTGTTATGAGTTGCTGTTGAAGGCAACTAATATTAATGTGCCAAGATTGTTTGTGGAATATCACATAATTAAATGCCCCCAGTATCAAAGCAGGTAAGGTAATGTGTGGGTTGTCCAGGGGAAGAAGAGAAAAAGATTGGTGGGGCCCCTGGCAAAGGGGAGAGTGAACATTCAGCTTAAGGAGATTCAAATGTTAAAAGCTGTACGTTCATAGTGTATGGCCACGACAATCACATCTCTGGGTCCTAGCCTTTGGGATGCTAATTTGTGACCCCGATCAATATTATTCAGATTTTCTCTAATTCTCAGCATGCACTTTCTGGATCCACGCCAATGCGTTTACCACTCTGGAACTGCTAGACTGAGCCCTCCTCCTTGCTCCTGAGGAGCCCGTGGTCTGCCTCTGCTCCCCTGTCCACATCGCACATGGGCTTGAGGTCTAGCCTCACTCCTCTGTGGAGCCCCCAGGGCCTCTGCTGCCCCTGTGACGTGATTTCCTCAAAATTAAATTTCACCGGATTCTTCATTATATTCTACCACCCATGTTTATTTAACATTCGACTATATTTATCTATCTTCTTCCAGGCTATTTTAAAGTTGCACCAAGAAAATTACCATGCCACATACTTGTTTGCATCCCTGACTCTAAGGGGTGTCTAAGTCCTAGCTGGCAGCATGGGGAATGAAAGAAAACCCAGACTTGGGAACCTGACATTTCTAGATGAGCATCCACGTGCTGTCTCCTGATGGCTGCCATGTGACCTCAGAAAAGTCTGTCAATCAGCTGGAGCCTCAGCAGTAAAAGGGAACAACTCTACTCATACCACAGTGTTGTTGTGAAAGGTACACAGGCAACACAGGGAAAGCACTTTGTGCATAATTCAACAGATATTCGATTTTCAAAAAAATTGTAGCTATTATGTGGTTGAATAAATAAATGAAAGTTAGATCTAGTAATTTTTAAAAATCAAGATTATGAGTCTTTTGCAGGCATTCTTGAAATATAAACATCACTGATAACATAGTATCAATATTTTTTTTTTTTTTTTTTTTTTTTATTGATCATTCTTGGGTGTTTCTCGCAGAAGGGGATTTGGCAGGGTCATAGGACAATAGTGGAGGGAAGGTCAGCAGATAAACAAGTGAACAAAGGTCTCTGGTTTTCCTAGGCAGAGGACCCTGCGGCCTTCCGCAGTGTTTGTGTCCCTGGGTACTTAAGATTAGGGAGTGGTGATGACTCTTAACGAGCATGCTGCCTTCAAGCATCTGTTTAACAAAGCACATCTTGCACCGCCCTTAATCCATTTAACCCTGAGTGGACACAGCACATGTTTCAGAGAGCACAGGGTTGGGGGTAAGGTCATAGATCAACAGGATCCCAAGGCAGAAGAATTTTTCTTAGTACAGAACAAAATGAAAAGTCTCCCATGTCTACTTCTATCCACACAGACCCGGCAACCATCCGATTTCTCAATTTTTTCCCCACCCTTCCCGCCTTTCTATTCCACAAAACCGCCATTGTCATCATGGCCCATCCCCAGTGAGCCGCTGGGCACACCTCCCAGACAGGGTCGTGGCCGGGCAGAGGGGCTCCTCACTTCCCAGTAGGGGCGGCCGGGCAGAAGCGCCCCTCACCTCCCGGACGGGGCGGCTGGCCGGGCGGGGGGCTGATCCCCCACCTCCCTCCTGGACGGGGCGGCTGGCCGGGCAGAGGGGTCCTCACCTCCCAGTAGGGGCGGCCGGGCAGAGGAGCCCCTCACCTCCCGGACGGGGCGGCTGGCCGGGCGGGGGGCTGACCCCCCCACCTCCCTCCCGGACGGGGTGGCTGCCGGGCGGAGACGCTCCTCACTTCCCAGACGGGGCGGTTGCCAGGCAGAGGTGCTCCCCACCTCTCAGACGATGGGCGGCCGGGCAGAGATGCTCCTCACTTCCTAGATGGGATGGCGGCCGGGCAGAGACGCTCCTCACTTTCCAGACTGGGCAGCCAGGCAGAGGGGCTCCTCACGTCCCAGACGATGGGCGGCCAGGCAGAGACGCTCCTCACTTCCCAGACGGGGTGGCGGCCGGGCAGAGGCTGCAATCTCGGCACTTTGGGAGGCCAAGGCAGGCGGCTGGGAGGTGGAGGTTGTAGCGAGCCGAGATCACGCCACTGCACTCCAGCCTGGGCACCATTGAGCACTGAGTGAACGCGACTCCGTCTGCAATCCCGGCACCTCGGGAGGCCAAGGCTGGCGGATCACTCGCGGTTAGGAGCTGGAGACCAGCCCGGCCAACACAGCGAAACCCCGTCTCCACCAAAAAAAAACGAAAACCAGTCAGGCGTGGCGACGCGCGCCTGCAATCACAGGCACTCGGCAGGCTGAGGCAGGAGAATCAGGCAGGGAGGTTGCAGTGAGCCGAGATCGCAGCAGTACAGTCCAGCTTCGGCTCCGCATGAGAGGGAAACTGTGGAAGGAGACCGTGGGGAGAGGGAGAGGGAGATGAGGGAGAGGGAGAGGGAGAGGGAGAGGGAGAGGGAGAGCCATAGTATCAATATTTTAAAAATCATTTCACTTCAATAAAGGTCTCCTTCCTCCTCATATTCTTAGTTGTAAGCTATTAACAATATTAACCAAAAATCAGAAGAAGTGAACATTTTATTGATATGAAAGGTGAAGACTAGAAAGATAAGTCAATGTCTCTTTCTCAAAGGAACTATCCCTGAAAACTTTCTTTCAGTTAGGAACTCTCTCTTTAAAAATAGCAATAAAATCACCAATAGAAAATATAGCCTTCCTAGTTAAATTCTATTGATAGCCAAGTCACAACAACCTGTGGTCATTTCATATTTTATTGCTGTCAATGTACACTAATGGGAGCAACCTAAGTCAGCTGGTCCACAATTGTAAACTCTTCCAGGATAATATTTAATATCTTGTTATCCTCTCTGTAGTTCATACTGTCTAACTCAATGCCCAACACATAATAAATCTCAGTTTGGCAATTTATCGTCCCTCTTATGCATGACTTTATCACAGGTTTTCATGGTAAAAATATAAGACATTATCCTTGATCTCGAGGAGGTTAGAGTCTAGTATACTCATTAAACAATTGTTGACTCAAAGGAATTTCATTTCACCTTATATGCCAGGTAGTAGAGTGGTTAAGAGAACTCTCTGGAGTTGGACTGCCTAGGGTTTAAATTCCTACGCTTCCATGTCTTACCAACATTACTTTGGGCAAGTCATGTAAATGGCCTCAGCTTCCATGTTCCTGTAACCCATAACAGCTAATGGGAATTTTCCAAGTCTTTTTTTATTTTTACTAATTCTTCACATCAATGAGATAGGGGCTATTATTACCTGCATCTTACAGGTGAGAAAACTGAGGACCCGAGATTTTAGGCAAGTAAAAGGGGTAGAATTTGAATGCTCTGCTCATATATACTTTTCAGTTCTGTTATACTGCCTCATATAGGTATATTCAGAGAGCTACAGAAGGTGGCTGATGATGAGAAATAAATAGTTATATCAAATGCACTGTGCCTAGTTATGTGGTAAGCAGTCAATAACATTAATGATGATGATGATTATGATGATTATGGAAGACTTTGGTGTTAATTGGACAATTTGAAAGAATAAAGGGGTCTTCCCACATTCCAGAAACCTAGAACTGTCCATAAAATTTGAATTATTTAAATGTTCGCAGGTGAACCTTCTTTTTATCAGAATAGATGATGTGATCCTTCTCCTCTGTTTGTAATGCAGATAATATTTCTAAGTCACCAGAATTTTCCCATAAAATCTTATGTCATTTATTCTGAAAAACATTTCACCCTTAGTTTTGACCACTTTTCATCAGAATATCCCCTCCTCTCTCATTGCTTAATTTTGTGGTATCCTATTTCAGTCATTATGGTAACTAGCATGGGACGTTCCAGGACATTCTTCAAAGAAAACTGTCAGAGTTGGCACTTGCTAAATGATGTTTCTGCTCAAAACAAAATAAGGGAGTTTAACTTGTGTGCCAAGATCCTTACTCATGCATTGCAGTCATGAACATTGCCCAACACATTTCTCTTGCTTATTTTAACATGATTCTCCCTTAGTTTCAGACTAAAATTACCTGTGCTCTAGAGGAGCGCCACCTGGATCTTCTTCTTTTTAGGGCTAATAAACTTCTCTTCACACTGTTCTGGGCCAGTGTTAAACTCTTTCTATACAGTCACCACTCACCCTGGGTCAGCCTTTGACCTCATGCTGTCTCTGTGTCCTGTGGCTCTGACGGTCTTAGGGCCTTTGAAGCCCTCACAGCCTCAGGCAGGCTGTCTCTTCAGGTAGATATGTATTGTCCTGAGTCATGAAACTGAAGGCATCTCAAGGCATTATCCTGCCAATCCTTTATTTTAAAGCTTACCTTTTAGAAGTGACAATAGTAACATTCTTATGGGCTAGTGCTCAGATATCAACCAAATGCCGTTAGGCAAACATTGCTATAGAACACCTTGCACTGGGGAGTGTGATCATAACTGGGAAATGTCGTTCTCTGAATTTAACTCTTCTCATTTTAATGAGTGTTTGAACTAATATGTATTTTGTAGCTATTTTTAAGGCTCAGTTCAATTAATACTTTATGCATTTCCTTCATCTTCTTGTTCTCTTAGCGCAGTCAGTGACATCAAATATTTGTGGAATTAAAAACATATGTAGTTGACATTCAAGGGGGTGCAAAACTTAAGAAATGCATGTATTGATTATAATTTAATCCTTAAAATATCACTGAGTCCTGTAGTCTCAGGTCTCACAAGTTGCAATTGGTGCTGTTTGGTAAACAGTTTTGCACTGACCTCATGTGAGTATTTAATTGACCATCTAGGTGACAAATGTGTTATTTGTATGCATTTTCTGCCACTGCAGCTATAAAAGCCCTAATTTTGACCACTAAAGGCCCTTGTGTGGGGAACACTCATCAGGAAAGATCTAGCTCTTTCTCTTCTTATTAGCAGCACATTTCTATATACAAATGGGGGCAGGGGATTTCTATGTAGTTCATGGGCCATAAGCAGGTGGATTTTCCAGAAATAATCCATAGATTCTGAATTTCGGAGCGTCCTAACATGGTTAGGTCTTCCATTTAGTTATTAGGAGCCGTTGGTGTAAAAGTTTTCCTCCCTGAGAAAAAGATGGGGTTATCTGTCTTCTGAAATGTCAAGGATGTCATGGGTTTGTTTACAGAACCCTCAACCATCATAGGGCAGTAGTTGATTTAGGGCTTCAACATTTAAATCCATTAAATAATTTGACATTTATTTTTGAATGGATTGGAATTAAGTCCTGGGGTGAAGATTCTGATGATTCTTCTCCATAATTTTGTATTTCCAACTATCATTGAGTTTAAAGAAAGTGGATGCAATAAAAGAGCAAATAAAGACAATCAAATGTCTGCTTTCCAAAATAATCAGCAATATAAACGCACTGACATAAAATTAATACTCTCAGCAATTTGCACATAGTAAATCACTTAAGAGAGACTAATAGAAATAGATTGTCATTTAGTTTGAATCTTCTAGTGCCCTGATCAATGTTAAGTGTATTAATTCACTGAAATAATGAACTAATACTTTTTAAGTAATCATAACAAAAACAAGAATGTTGAAAGCAGAGATGATCCATCAATAGCTAAGACTGAAAGATGCCTGCTATGCACCAATCATCATGCTGAACAGTTTGAATCCCAAGCCTTATTTCATTTGCACCACAACCCTGTTTCTTACACCAGTGAGGAATATAGGGGGAGAGACAGTTAGAAACTGGCTCAGGTTCACATAAGGGAGGAACAGCATCTTGTCCAAAACACAAACTAAACCACTAGTGGATGTGCAAAGGCCAACAAGAGGATCCAACAGGAGACTTGTCTATTTTTAGGAGCAGAGAATATGGAGAAAAAGAAAATAATTATCTCTCTCCTCATTCTGGAATTCTCTATTATCAGGTATTTTAGAGGAGTTTTAGAGAAATTTTTATAAAACTGGCAGAGATTTGGCAGAAGTAATTTTTTAAAATGAAGCCTGACTACAGCAGGCTCCTAACCATGTAAAGTGTTTTTTGCATTGTCTTTGCCCTGACCAAGTGTTCTCTCTTAGTTTATGCACCTTTCAAGTTTGGAGGCTTATGATCCAAGATTTGAGCACAGTTTCTGAAAATGTATTCAATTATCATTTCAGTAGTTCATTCATTCATTCATTCATTCATCAAACTTTCCTTGAAATACTGTTAAACACCACACAGTGTTCTAGGTGTGGGCATTGCAAACATGAGCATGCAGTGGTGCAGTGGGCACACGCTGTCTGATACATTGCCCCCCTTACCACCGTCTGATGCAGGCACACTTCTCTGCAGCAGCTCTCCTCAGAGCCTGGCCCTCTTATACCTCTAGATTCTGATGGTCCTGGGTTATTGAATGTGCTTCCTTCTCTTTTCTACTGGTTAACTTCTACTGATTGTCCTCACTCTGCTGACACAGGGACTCCTCCAGGTAACCTTCCATGACAGCCTCCTCACTGCTCCCCCTCCTTGGAGGATGTGTCGCCTTCCCTCTGCGATAACCTTTCTCAGCACTCACTACCCTCCTCTGTGATTGTTTCTATGGCTGGCTGTTCACAGAGCCCCCTCGACTGCAGAGACTGTGCCTTCCTTAGACACAGCCCTAGAACCTAGCAGAACTTCTGGAACATAGTAAAAACCACACAAATGTTCATTGAATAAACGTTGAGATCCCCAACAGTGCCCTGATTTCTGTTCTTTCTGATGCTTAGTTGTTCAACTTTAATTCCTGTGACCTACCCAATTTTCCAACTGTCTCTGTCTCTTCAAATCTCAACTCTATCGCTTGCCAGCTCTGTGACTCAAGGCAAGTTACTTCTCTGAGCCTCATTTCCTCACATGTGAAATGGGAACTATAAAAGAATCTACCTCAGGATTGCTGTCAGGGTTGAATAAAGCCACGTATGTAGAGTACTCACTGAGTGACCTGCGACAAGTGCGAATAAATGTGAGCTATCAATATCAGTTACTATTTATTCTGGAGGAATACAACAAGCACTTATTTCGGGAGTCTAGCTCGAGTGTTGTAGCTCTACTGAACAGAAAAGCATTCCCCCTACCTCAGGAAATTGTCTTTTTCATCCAAGCACATCATTCCAGGAGAATTCTCATGGAACAAGCAGCCCGAGGAAGTCCGTCTGCCCAGTCCTGATGTCAGAATGAGTTCTGGCATCGACAGGGTGAAGCTGCCACCACCTGGCTCACCTCATGGCTAATCTTCAGGCTGCCTGAGAGTCTTATATGCCTAGACCTGTCAACTGTGCTGAATTCTTTGAAATATTCAAATATCCCATTAATAGTGTGATCAAATGATTTATTATCCAAATCTGGAGACTTCTGAGACTGAAAGAGGGTCCTACTGATAATTACACTCAGACATTTTTTCTGGACAAACCAGGATATATGGTCATCCTACCTTTAGTAATCAGCTTTTTGTTGGCACAGTGCTGTGTCTCTACAATGCCCAAGTGATTTTTTTCAAGTGAACTAAAAATAATAGTTCACTATTATTATTTTAACAATAATAATAGCTTAAAAAACTAACTTAGCTATTAGGTTTTTTCGAAATGTTTTTGTCTTCCAGTTTGTAAGCCACACTGATCAGGACTCCAGAGTTGAATTATTGGGAATGATAAAGGAGAGATAATGCTTATCTTTCGAAAACATGAATTACCTGTTTAATGGGCACGAACAAGTTTTGTTCTATTCATCAGGTAATAAACAAAACTTTACACAAAAAGCGGGTGTCAGAAAATGTAGAGAACACAACAGACTTCATGGCAGGAAGATTCTGAGTGCTAATTCAATGTTACTACTCATTAGCTGCAAAATATAATTGTATTTGAAATTTTTATCATGGACACTAACCATCATTATGGACACAAGGATGGTCACTGGCCAAGGAGAAAAGATGGTGGTCATAACAACCAGCAGCGCCCATGGCACATCAGCCAGTATGCAGTGACTCTCAGCCCCAACTGATCTGATGTCTTAGCAGCTTCACCTGTGAGTGGCAGGATTGCCTTGTGTCAATGGCTCTCAAACCTGGGTGCTTGCTTGAATCTCTTGAAGAAGTTTCAAAAATACGTTCATTGCTAATTCATAGTTATACTGTTTAAGAATTATGAACTAGACAATATCTGAGTTCTGATTCAAGCCTAAAATGCTGTGAATCCTAACAGGTGAGATAAGTAATAGAAAAAAAGACCACTCTACCCGAAGCTGAAATATCCTTCCTAATTATGGTGTTAGAAATAAGTAAAGGTTATTTCTAGCAGCCTGACTTGCCAGATACTTCAAGACTTGAAATCACATCTCAACTTTGAATTAATTTTCACTGTAGCAAATTTTGGAAATGGTAACATCACAGTAGAAGGTAAGGGCAAGAAAGAGAAAGAGAATTCTACTACCAGAGGGCTCCATTCAGCTTATGTGAACCATGAAAATTCACATCTAAAAGCAGTCATATAAACCAAAAGCTTCGGGAAGGTAAAATGAACTGAAGTTTAAGATTTCAGAAGTTCAGAAATCTTTGCCTTCCTCCTCTAACAAATTCTTCTACATCATGTTTCTTTGCAGTAAAACAACGAATAAGCCAATTGGCTAAAGAAGAATTCTGCCTGGACATGGAGGATCAAGTTGATGATGACCACATCATGAGAAAAACAGAAATAAAGTAGCTTCTTTGCAAGAAAACCATTAGTTAATAATCAGAAGCCATTTTCCAATGGATGGAATTGGATTTTGTGTATCCTTTGTACATATATTCAAGAAAACCTCACAATATGACCCCATCTGGATATGCAGAATCCCAATCAGCTTTTTAATTGCTCCCTTTCTTGTGAATACAAAAAGCTAAGGAACACTAGACTTTTTTTTTTTCTGAGACGGAGTCTCACTCTCTCGCCCAGGCTGGAGTGCAAGTGGTGTGATCTTGGATCACTGCAGCCTCCACCTCCCGGGTGCAAGCAATTCTCCCACCTCAGCCTCCCAAGTAGCTGGGATTACAGGCTCCCACCATCACGCCCGGCTGATTTTTTAAATATTTTTAGTAGGGATGGGGTTTTACCAAGTTGGCCATGCTGCTCTTGACCTCAGGTGATCCACCCGCCTTGGCCTCTGAAATTGCTGGGATTGCAGGCATGAGCCACCGCGCCCAGCTGATGACTAGACTCTTTAAGGAAAGCTCAAACATGAAAGAAACACAACCACAAAAGTAGAAAAACAAAGGAATTCCAAGGATATACAAATTAAAGTAGAAAAAAATTCATTTCTGTTTCTTCTTGTAAATTTAACATTCAATAAAGAAAAAACCATAAAGAAGAAGATAAAATACATTATTCATGTTAAAATAGCTATTAAATTTGGATAATTTTATTTAAATCAGAGAGAGAAAGATAGTGTGTGTGTGTGTCTGTTTGTGTATATTCGTTAACCGAAATTATATTATTTATACTGTGCATTTTACATAGAGATTACATGATGTTTTCATGGTTTTTGACCCCCATGAGCAAGACTCAACAGGGAGTCCAGGGATCCTGTTCTTTGAAAATAAGAAGTCCACCTTCATCAGTCTCCACTCACTTGTAGGAGGAGTGAAGAGAGACCCCAGGATTTTGTTGGATCCAGGTAAGGACCTCCCTTCCCAACATTTTCAGTCTCTCACCACTATCTGCCAATCATATCAAGCCTAATCTTAACAGTCACTGCAAGAGGTCCTCATCACCTCATCACCCAGATTACAGTGTAACCCTCTCTTCTGGTTCTATTGCCCAATCCTCCCCAGCTTCTGATACCTTCCACTCTGCTGCCTGGAACTCAAAGAGCATCACCAGCAAAACACTTCACCTTCTCAACCTGCTCTCTGAATGCTCCCCTCACCTTTTCACTGTAACATAGGGGTTTCCTAGACAACTTTGCAGTCCAGCAAAGCTTACAGACTCCTTCTCAGAAAACAGAACTTTTAACTGTTTAAAATAAAATAAATAAATTTACAAAGATAAAGTATTATATTAAAATAAAGTTATCAAAATATTTTAAAAATACAAATTTGTGACATGGTAATAAATTTGTATATTTATACTAATACAGTAGATAGCAAGAGCTAGTGTGGGAACCTCAAAATTATCATTTTTTTTTTTTTTAGATGGAGTCTCGCACTGTCATCTGGGCTGGAGTGCAGTGGCGAGATCTCAGCTCACTTCAATCTCTGTTTCTGTTTTTTTTTCAAACGATTTTCCTGCCTAAGCCTCCCAAGTAGCTGGGATTACAGGTGCCCACCACCACACCCAGCTAAATTTTTGTATTTTTAGTAGAGATGGGGTTTCACTATGTTGGCCAGGCTGGTGTCAAACTCCTGACCTCACGATCCGCCTGCCTCGGCCTCCCAAAGTGCTGGGATTACAGGCGTGAGCCACTGCCCCCAGCCAATTATCATAATGTTAAGGTAATGATAAACATCAATTTTATTTTAATATATCTACAATAATTGTATTCTGTGATGTGAAAATCACATATGTGATTTTTACTGGTGACAAGCTTATAGGTAGTACTAATACTATTGTAGTTTGTTGCCTATATACATAATCAAAGGAAACATTAAATTTCAGTTTGAGTCTGGTGAAATAAAGTTGTAAATAAAGATGTGTAGCTTGGACCTCTGTCCTGAATTCCGGAATTATGAAACTAACCATCATAGGGCCAGCTTCATGAGCAGGCAACTTGTATGATGGGACCTGGACTTAGAAAGGCCCGTACTTGGTTTAGTGCTCTCCTATTTCTGTCTCAAGACTCTTAATACTTTTATCTTTACATTTGCTCCATATACTTGTAGTTCAGTGGGACATGGAGTGTGTGCATGAACAGAAGAGACACAGACAATATGAGTGTCTGCCACCAGCCCTGTCACACACGGTGGCTGAGACCCCATGAGTACAGAATCCCAGCAGACCCGTGATGCCTGCAAGGTTCAACATCAGTACAAGTTTGGTCTGTTATGTCCTTGGCTGAGTAAGCCAGGAAATGACAGGCCCAGGGTTCGTGCTTTCTGTCTGAACCAGAATTTGCTTCAAAGGCAGACAGAGGCAGTGGTGTTCTAAGAAATATCAATGACCAAGGAATCCTATCATAGACTGTCTTACTTGTGTTACTTCCCTGTACTAGTCAACACTTATGCAGAAAATGACACATACAGAAGGAAAGACAGAGTAACCCATAGTGCCTTTTCCTTTTAGTACTTCCTTACCCATCAGTAAACTGAAGGTAGAGAGGGCTGGTAGGGCGAGCGTGTATTAAAGTGAAATTAAAACCATTGAGTTCATTTTTGTGCAGCATTTCCACTGTTCTACTAAGATTGAAATATGTATGTTTATGTAAGCTATTAATATGAATGATTTAATTTTGATTATTCCACATATGAGTTAAATTTTTTATATTTGTATTTTAATCTGGTATTGCACAATATAAAGATAAACAGTAAAATCATGATAATAATTTAAAATTTTCATTTTTCTTCAAATAATGTTAAATAGACAATAAAAGATATCTCCATTATGTCCTACCTGGGGATTGTTGCAGGAGCTGCCAGCTGATGCCCCTGCTCTGCCCTTGTTCCCAGACCATCCACACAGCAGAACAGCCAGAGAAATCCTTTGACAATTAAGACATGGATGTCTTTTGCTCAACTGCCCTATAGCTCCTTTAACTCAACATAAAAGCCAGAATTTGTACAATTTCCCTGAAGGCTCTGTGGGATACGTACCACCCCCAGGTCCCCAAAGACACAGGGCTCTTAGATCCATCTCCTTCCTTCCCTGTCTGGTCCCGTGTCAGCCATGCAAGCATCCCAGCGATTCTTCAGGAACAAACACAAGCTTCAGCCTCAGAGTCTTCACCTGGAATCTCGAGGGAGTGCTGTCTAGTGTATGATGGGTATAGACTTGAGTCTCTCAGAGAAACCACCTGCTAGTGGGGATGGGAAGAAGAGGTCAGTTTACAAAGATTCTGACTTTGTCTTTTTTTTTTTTTTTTAGATGGAGTCTTGCTCTGTTGCCCAGGCTGGAGTGCAGTGGCGCAATCTCGGCTCACTGCAACTTCCACCACCCAGGTTCAAGCGATTCCCCTGCCTCAGCCTACTGAGTAGCTGGGACTATAGGCACACACCACCACACCCGGCTAATTTTTTGTATTTTAGTAGAGACGGGTTTTCACCATGTTGGCCAGGATGGTCTCGATCTCCTGACCTCATGATCCGCCAGCCTCGGCCTCCCAGAGTGCTGGGATTACAGGCATGAGCCACCGCACCTGGCCTCTGACTTCATTTTTTCAGGTGGCTTCCACCCCCTCAAACTTGTCCCCAGCTGACTCTGCAGTCTTCAGAGAATCCCATCCCCACCCCTGGATAGAAGATTTTCTCTAACTCTCATTATGTTTTGTTTAGGTGCAATACACCGAGGTTTATTTAAGTTATCCAAATTGACAATGACATGAAATTTCACTTTTTTCTTCTACATTTATGTTTTGATCTATCTATCCATTCATCTATAGCTGTCTATATCTCTATATAAAAGCTGCATGGGGGTGTTATTTATTGTAAAAGGCTGCATTAGAATCTGCTTGCTGGATTACCATCTTCTTTATTTAGTCACTTCATTGGCCTTTAACTCAGGGTCTTTACCCTGTAAGGAACCAGACACAAGCGTGGTAGATCTCCCACTCTAATTAATTCATTCACCTCCAAATATTTATTGAGTGCCTCCCCAGGGCCAGGTGAAAGTGATGAAGACACACCCTGCCCTGAAGCAGATCACACTGTAGTTGTAGAGGCTGACACTGTAGTCTTCATTACACCAAATAAACAAGTAATACACCATGTTTCCTGCATTTGATTTCCCACCAATCCAATAAGCACAGCTCCGTCTACCTTCTGCATTGTAAACTGCTTTTTTTCCAAGCTCTTCTTTGTTTCCAGGGCCAACCAGTACTAGACATTAGCTGTAACTACTGTGTGATGACTTCGACGTGGTCTAACCATAATCCTTAAATTCATGACACATTGGAATGCAGAGTGAGTTCCACCAACATTCCCCTGAGCATGTCAACACCTCTCCAGTGACAGGAAGTCAAAACATTTCAAGAGCTGCACCAGGAGGAGGCAGCATGTTTATCTTGCTTCATAAGCAGCAGACAAGGGGAACCAAGGCTATGGGATCCCTAGTCATAAATCATTTCCATCTGGGAATTCAACCATGGGTACTGTCTTCTTTGGGGTGGGAAGGGGCCACACATCTTCAGTTGGCAAATATTCTATCTAAAATAAATAATAAAGGAGAAGTCCCCTTGCCTGAATGTAAACAGCATAGATCTGCTTTAGGTTCATTAAAGTGCAAAACCTGTTCTAGCTTTCAACCAAAAGTAGCCCTCACTACCTAAATAAATCTTAAGCCAGAGAACAGTCTCATTTAAGCAGGTGAAACATATACCAATCCAGGGGGACTAGAAAAGATTAGGCAAGTACAAAATAAATATAGTTGTTTAAACATTTTAAACCATGAGAAGTTAGGAGTCTGTCTACATCTACTAAATTTGAATATCTATGAGCAGGCAGTTAGCAGAGTGTGACAAAAAATGTACTTATACTTCAGTGCAGTGGTATAAAAATGGAGCCTGCATGATGATTCCCCTGCCAAACTCTTTCCCAGGGTAGCTGAGACTGTGAGGGCAAAGCTGTCACGTTTTGTGCTCTCTCCCCTAACCCACTCGGGCCTCAGGGCATGTGATAAGCTGCCTCCAGGACCACCCAGCTGAGGAGTCTGTAAACATTTACAACTCATCAGGGCCTTGGAGCTCAGCTGAGAACACACCACAGGCGTGTTTAGGTCCCTGCGTTTGACTTTTGCGTGGCATGTGCACGTGCGTGATTAACAGACCTATCAGTAGCACTGTAATTCAGATTCAAATTCTATCAAGTACCTGCATTCGTCCACCTCTGTTCTTCTCAGAAGCTGAAAATCTTTGTTTGAACAGTGTTGAAAACATGAGATTTAGAACTTCACAGACCCTAGTTTGGATCCTGGTTTACCATGTAAGAGCTGAGTGATTTTAGTTACCAAAAATAATATTGTGAAAGTATCAGTGATGTTTAAGAGATCTTATACTAAAAATAAATCAACAATACATAAAGAAAAGCAAAGAAAATTTCATCTTACGCTGCAGTGTCAAAAGTTTAATCACCAGAGTCTGAAACTAATGTATAGTGACTGTTTTATTGCCTTTGTGTCAGGCACTATGCTAGCCACAAGAGATTTTTAAAAATATGAACAAAATCCAACATGATCCTTTCCCTCCTGTGTTTTACTGTCTAGTGTGAGAAATGTGTACTAATCAAATAATCACAAACACAAATAAATAAATTTTCTTTTTTTTTTTTTTTTTGAGACAGAGTCTCACTCTGTCACCCGGGCTGGAGAGCAGTGGTGTGATCTCAGCTCACTGCAGCCTCGCCTCCTGGGTTTCAGCAATTCTCCAGCCTCAGCCTCCCAGGTAGCTGAGATTACAGGCACATGCCACCAAGCCCAGCTAATTTTTGTATTTTTAGTACAGACGGGGTTTCACCATGTTGGCCAGGCTGATCTGGAACTCCTGACCTCAGGTGATCTGCCTGCCTTGGCCTCCCAAAGTGCTAGGATTACAGGTGTGAGCCACTGTGCCTGGCCTGAATTTTCTATGATAATATGATCAAAGGATAAGTGCAGGGAGCCATGGGGTATTTGAGAGGATCTGAATTAATCCACAGTGTGAGGATGATAATCACTAAAGGCTGAGGAGGAAAGTCTTCATGGCAGAGAAAATAACAGCCCCATGGGAAGGGAAAGGGCTGGACCAAATGAAGAGAGATAGAACTCTGTATGTGGAGTGCTGGCATCTTCGGCTGTGGGTGCAACTTTCAAGGACATTGGCAACCTGGAGTGTACCCTGAAGATGACAAGCAGGATGGGAGAAGCTTGTCCATCGGAAGCAGAAGCTATTCCATTTTAGGAGTGGTTGAAGGGACCAGGAGACACCTGGAGAAAAGAGACAGGATGCCTTAAGCTCTCCAAAGTGCTCTGCGAGTGGAGAATCAACACCGCTTCAAGCTGCTTCCTGTCGCAGCTGAAGAACAAGGGGTGGCTATGAATGCAGACTGGGTTTTCAATTCCATGCGGGATTACACTTAGGACAAGTCTGATGAAAATTTGTCAGTGTTCCCATATACAGAATTCTTGGTAATGCCAGGAAATAGTATTGTGTTTCTTTTAGGAGAGTTTTTAAACATCTTTATTCCAAAATTTGATTATGTTAACTTTCACAGAACATATGATCTTTTCTCTGAAATCCACACCTACTTATTTTTCCATACCTTTCCTCAAAAGGGTAGAATCTCAAGGTCCTATTCTTGGGAGCAAAATTTAAATAAAGACATGCATTAAACTCATTTATTTGTTTATTTATTCTTTTGTTTTTACAAATGAGTGCCTGCCCTATGCTGGGTGCTATGCCAAGTGCTGAGGATAGAGTGGCAAATGAGGCTAATACTCTTCAGTATAATAATGATGTACCCACTTACTATCCTCAGACTTCAGGCCCAAGGCTCTAGTAGAGCTGCTATACTTTTCTCTAAGCACTCAGAACTAATTTCTTCCTGGCTGTATTACACTTGATTTGATGCAGCCTCTATTTTAAATGGCCCTCTGGAAGGTAAGTCAGTCAGTATCCACTGCAATCCCACCTCTTGGTGCCCACATATCAACACAAGATTGTACCAGGTACCGTGGTGTTGCTCAGCCACACTACCAAGTTGGTGAATGCCTGAATGCAGGCAGCAAATTGTTTACTGTCTTTTGTAGAGAAAAAGAAGCTGAAGTTCTGGTATATTCTTAAAACTCTGATCTTTGGGTTGTTATGTTAGTATCTCAAAAATGAAAAAAAAAAAAATCTCAGTGACCAAATCGTATTAGCTTTCTCTTCAGTAAAATGGTAAAGAATATTTTTAATACTTTGCTTCACTCTCCAAATAAATATAATTGCAATCTAATCTAGTTTTGTGCTGATCTTAATTATAAGCTGCCTCCTTTCCCTGAAAACCTCGAGAAAGTGCAGTGGTGTTTGTCCAGCATGTGCCCACATTTTAGCATATAAGGAATTACAATTTTGGGTTTCTATTAAAAAGTTAAAGTTAAGGGCTGGGCGCAGTGGCTCATGCCTGTAATCCCAGCACTTTGGGAGGCTGAGATGGGCAGATCACCCGAGATCAGGAGTTCAAGACCAGCCTGGCCAACATGGTGAAAACCCATCTCTACTAAAAACACAAAAATTAGCCAGGCATGGTGGTGCGCGCCTGTAATTCCAGCTACTCGGGAGGCTGAGGCAGGAGAATCACTTGAACCCAGGAGGCGGAGGGTGCGGCAAACCGAGATTGCGCCACTGCACTCCCGCCTCGGCAACAGAGCAAGACTCTGTCTCAAAAAAAAAAAAAAAAAAGTTAAAAAGCTTTCTTAAACATAGGAAATTGATTAATACTATACTTATTCATGTCCTAATGAATATTCGTTAATTTGATGTAAAAATGAACAAGATAGTCGTTCAGGGATGTGAGAGCTCGCAAGAGGAGTGGACCAGCACCATGAGGCTGTCCTCCTGAAACTCTGAGATGTTATCCACTCTGTAAAGCTTGTCACTCTCTGAAATTCGTAGCAAAGCAAATAATCAAAAATAACTTTTTGAAAAGATAACAACATATTCATTTCACATATAATACTTAGTGATAAGTTAGAATTAGAAAAAATGTATTCATCTATACTTTATTTTGGATCTTCTACCCAGATTCTAGAGCAAGTGCTGTCACAGTGCAGGGATCCTGGGCTTGAAGTCAGGGAGACTTAAGCTTGGTGCCCCACTTTCCACGCACTAGCCATATGACCACAGGCAGTGACAGACTCTCTAAGTTTGTTTTCTTATCTGAAAATTGAAAAATATAATGCCTACCAAACTATTGTTGTGGAATTGAATGAGATAAAGGATGCAAGCTGTCTAGCACATAATAAATGCTCAATAAGTGATATGTTAATTACTATTGATACTGACACATTTTAACAATTTTTATTCTGTATGATGTTGATGATGCCTCACTAATTTACCTACAGCTATATCTTAGGTTTATTTTGCTCTTCCTGGCCTAGAATATATATGAAATAAAACTTGTCTTAGGATTGTTTGCTCTTTGTTGTCCATGTTTACCAGGATAAAAACATGATGACAAAGTTCAGAAAAAATAGTTCTTAAATATGCTTAGCCCAAATCAAAGTAATTTATATTGAATAATATCTAACATTCCATTCAGGAGAATCAGGATTATGTCTCAACTCTTAAAACTGACTCAAAAGTTAGTAAGTACGTAGACTACAGTGTTCTAAGATCAGATAAAACACAAATAAGCAAAGATTTCCAATTCTGGGAGCCTTCATGGGGATTCCCAGTTGGGTAAAGAATTCTTGCAGTACACATTAGCAACTTATCTAATATTTCTAAACTGGGAATATATTTGCTTTTCCTATTTGAAAAATAAAATGCCCTTGTAAAAAAATAAATACATAAAATACAAATATAAGCCCCACATAATCCCACTCCATGAAAAAACTGTTCCAAATTTGGTTTAAAAATTCACATAATTTTAATAGTATATATGTGTATGCATAGAGAGACAGACTTCTGTTAAAAATGAAATGAAATTGGACATACTGTTTTACGTCTTGCTTATTTTGCTCAGCATTATATTATGAACATGGTTTTCAAAGACAATTGAAATTTTCCAAAATATTAAAATTAACTGAATTTGATATTTGTTCTTGGCATCTATTATAGGGCAAAATCTCTTTCAGCAGGTCTAAAGCATAAGTCCTTTACAATTCTGGGACTTAAAAAAACACTATTTCCCTACCACAAATACAAAGTTGGAAATGTTTTAAAATCAGATATCTAGATGTTTTTACCATATAAATTTAAACAGTTAACAATTTGAAAACCTGTCTTTGACTGAGGGAATTAATTTTTTATTTTTATTTTTTAGTGTTTAATACCATTGGGTTCTTTGGGTTAATGCAGACATAATAAATGATTAAGAACAGAAAAGAAACATTTTAAATCTTGGGCCTGCTTTACCAGGTGGTGCCAATTTCTGTAGCACATCAGATATGCTTTCAGGCAACAATAAAAAATTATCAGTTTTGCAATTTCCTAGCAGTTCCAAACTAAGCCTAAATGTCAAGATAGATTAAGATTGGAGAATCTCTCCATATTTGGATAAGTTGACAGTCAATATGTAACTCATTACTTTAAAGTACACACCAATTACATGTGTGTATAATCAGCTTTTTAAACAAACACAGCCTCTACCCTTTCCTCTGATTGTAGGAATTTCTGTTTGTGTTAGATCTTGGCACAGCTAGCATTGGTTTTTGTCAGCTCATAAGTAACCTTTACGTTGAAAAGTTTATACTACTCCTCTGTGGACTCTCTCTAATCAAAAAATAAAATAAAGAAAGAAAGAAAACAAAACAAAACTTCTTAAAATGTCATATGGCCAATCAAATCATCAACCAAACACTTACAATGGTTTCCCTAATAAATTATAGCCAGATGGTTCAATTCACTACTTAACAGGACCATAAACATATCAGCATTATTCAAATACCTTGCAAAGAAAATCAGACAATATACAGTTTATGTTTAGTTCACAGGTTTCTAGTTTGTTTCACTACTCTGTGTTAACACAAAAGCAAAAGACAATAATAAAAGAAACATGTTTGTTTTGCAGAAATAAAATGCTAGATTAAGAGAACTAAGTAGTTCCTTCCTTCCTTCCTTCCTTCCTTCCTCCCTTTCCCCTTCCTTCTTTTTATCAAGTTCTTTCTCCTTTGGCCCTCACTGACTAATATTTATTTGAACTATGAATCAATAATGACATGTAGCACAAGCTGCCTACAGTGCCCAAACACAAAGAAATGGAGTTAACAGTTAGGAGAAGTTTTGCTTTAAAATTCCCTAAAAAGTGTCAAAACAGCTTAGATGGCAAGTATGGGACTGATAGGTTAGTTTATGGAGACACTTTGCTGTCAGTACTAAATGAAATATGATAATACAATTTGTATAAAGAGGTGACTTCCCAATGCAGGGAAAAGGGGAGTGAAAGACTTCCATTGGCCCACATCCCCACCATGGAATTGTGCAATCCTGGCCACAGGAGAGCCTCTCAACCCTCATAACGCCTGAAACTAACACAGGAAGATGCCAAGAGACTGAGGTAGACCTGCTCCGAGGAGGGAGGGTGTGCTGGGTCCTGCACCCTTTCTGAGACCTAAGTGGCTACAACATTGTGCCATTTTCAAACCTAGCCTTTGGCAGACTGGCCGTCCTGGGTGGGACCCAGCAGTGGCAGATCTGAGGTGTTATGGCTGTCACTGCTTAAACTAAGGAGAGGGCTGGAAGCTTTCCCACAGCTGGGAATAACAAGCAAATGAGGCATGAGCCGTAGCTGCTGGTGCTGGGAAGCAAAAGCCACTGGAACACAGACTGGGACACCACTGAGGTACAAGTTGCTGCTGGAATTTGGTCATCGGCTGGGTGGGGACTCCTGCAGACAGGGTAAGGACATGAGCTAGACTCAGGCTACTCTGCCACGGTTGAGGGGCAAGCCCCACCAGAACTGGAGCATGAGAGGAATGTGCATTTTTCATCACAAGCCCACCCAGCCCAGCTTTGCCTCTCTCTCCAAGACAGCACACAATGAGGTCCTGGGGATTGCCCAACCCAATCCACCATTGTGGGCACCTAAGTACTCCTCCTGGTGCCTTGAGGTTGGGCATAAATTCCTGGCTGCTACCACCTCAGCTGGCACCCACTTGCAAGTGCCACCTTAGGCCAGGAGACTGACCCACTCAGCCCATTTTAGTCACCACCACCATTAAGGCACACAGATTGAGAACCACGGAATCATCCTACCACTGCTACTGCCATCAACCACACCACGCCAAGTGCCCAGGAGCCTGAAAACACGTCCAACTGCCTGGCCACTACTGCCACTACCCATGTCTGAGCAAGCCACCTGGAGGCCCAAGTATCAACTTGCCAGTAACTTCCAACACAAGTGCTAGTGCACTCTGCTCTGGCACAAAGATAGGCATGCTCAGCCCACCTCTGCCAGCACTGGGGCTGAAGACTGGCCCACGTGTCCTCTCAATCCCCAGGACAACTTCACTATGGCTTTCATTAATAACCACACTCTAATCCATGAAGGAAATCACAGATGCTACTAACACTGTTTACAGCCAAAGAAATCATATGGAGACTACACTACTGGATGCACCCAGAATCAAAGCCAAAGTGCTCTACCCAACTGATACCAGAGATACATCTTCAGGAAAAAGTCCTCCCCTATAAAAGCAAATTCAAAAATAGAAGGTGACTATTATGCCAGATGCACAGATATCAACATAAGGACACAGAAAGCAGGAAAAGCAAGGAAATATGACTCCTTCAAAGGAACACAATAATTTTTCAGCATTAGATCTTAATCAGAAAGAACTTACATAACATCCCAGATAAATAATTCAAAATAATGATTTTAAAGAAACTCAGTAAAATACAAGAAAATTCTGAAAAACAATAGAAAGAAATTAGAAAATCAATTCAGAATATAAATGAGAAATTTACACAGAAATAGACATTTTTAAATGAACCAAATAGAAATTCTGGAACTGAAGAATTCATTGAAGGAAATAAAAAAAACACATTTGAAAGCATCAACAATAGATTAGATCAGGTAGAATAAAGAATCTCAGAACTTGAAGACAGATCTTTTTAAATACTCCAATCAGACAATTAAAAAAAAAAAGAGAATACAAAAGAATTAACAAAGCATTCATGACATTTGGGACAACGTAAGACAAATATACAAATTATTGGGATCCGGCTGGGCGCGGTGGCTCAGGCCTGTAATCCCAGCACTTTGAGAAGCTGAGGGGGTGGATCACCTGAGGTCAGGAGTTCATGACCAGCCTGGCCAACATGGTGAAACCCTGTCTCTACTAAAAATACAAAAATTATCCAGGAGTGGTGGCACACACCTGTAGTTCCAGCTACTGGGGAGGCTGAGGCATGAAAATAGCTTGAACCCAGTAGGCAGAGGTCACAGTGAGCTGAGAATGTGCCACTGCACTCCAGTCTGGGCGATAGAGTGAGACTCCATCTCAAAAACAAAGATTAATAACAAATTATTTGGATCCCTGAGGGTGAAGAAACAAACAAAAGGTTTAAAAACCTATATAATGAAATAATAGATAAAACTGTCCAAGTCGAGCAACAGATTTAGATATTCAGAAGCAGGAGGCTTAGCGATCCCCAGGAAGATAAGTGCAAAAAGGTCTTCTCCGTGGCACATTATGTTCAGACAATCTAACATCAAACATAAAGAGTGAATCCTAAAAACAGGAAGATAAAGACATCTAGTCACCTATAACGGAAACCTCATCAGAATAACAGTGGATTTTTCAATCAAAAGAGAATAGGATGACATATTCAAGTGCTGAAAGAAAAATACTGCCAGTCAAGAATACTATATTCATCAAATTATCCTTTATAAATGAAGGAGAACTAAAGTCATTCCCAGACAAGCAAATGCTGTGGAAATGTGTTTCCACTAGAATGGCCCTACAAGATATGCTGAAGGGAGTTGTAAACTAGAAAGTGAAACAACATTTACCCTAATGAAAACACATGAAAGTATAAAACTCACCAGTAAAGTAATTCACACAAAGGAGGAAGAGAAAAGACTCAAATGGTACCAGTACAGATATCCACCAAACCATGACGATAATCAATAAGAGAAAAAAAAGAAACAAATAACATATAAAACAGCCAGAAAACAATTAGCAATATGATGGAAACAAAGCCTAAGATATCAATAATAACCTTGAACATAAATGAATTAAATTATCTACTTAAAAGATTAAAAAAAGGCTGAATGGATTAAAAAGCATGATCCAATTTTGTGCTGCTTACAAGAAACTCACTTCATCAGTAAAGACACATAAAGACTGAAAATAAAGAGATGGAAAAAGATATTCCACACAAGTGGAAACCAAAAGCAAGTAGAAATAGCTAAGTTTACGAGGGCTTGCCTGTCGTGTACATGTCTCTGTGACTCCCAGGAGGGGAAGGGCTGCTCAGTTCAAGGTGTTCTGTTTGGTAGAGCATGTGTCCTCTGACAACCATGTCTCTGGACTTTTCAGACACTCTTGGGGATGGCACTCCACACACAATGAAGATGCAGGGGCCGGGGAACCCCAGCACTCGGTACCCTTTGTCCAAGATTAAAATCGGCCTGTGGGATGTAGTGAGAAGGCAGGTTGCATGGGTGTAACTGATGTATCTTTTCCTTAACGTTATTATAATAATGGGTAATTTCTCAATAAAGCATTCTTTTTGGAGAAAAAAAGAAATAGCTAAGTTTATATGAGATAAAACAGACTTTAAAGGTAGAACAGTTAAAAAAAAAGACAAAGAAGGTCATTATATAATGAAAAAGAGATTAATCCAGCAATAAGATATAACAATTCTAAATATATATGTTCTTAACACTGGAACACCCAAATTTGCAAAGCAAATATTACTAGATCTAAAGAGAGAGATAGAGTGAAATAAAATAATCATGGAAGACTTCAATATCCCATTCTCAACAATAGACAGAGTATGTAGAAAAAAAATCAACAAAGACACATTGGATTTAAACTGTACTTTAGACCAAATGAACCTAACAGACATTTACAGAACATTTTACCTAACAACTGCAGAATATACATTCTTTCCATCAGCACATGGAAACTTCTCCACAATAGACTATATTCTAGGCCACAAAACAAGTCTCAACAAATTTTTAAAACTCAAAATTAAATCAAGTGTTTTCTCAGACCACAAGAGACTAAAACTAGAAATAAATACCAAGAGGACCTTTGGAAACTATACAAATACATGGAAATTCAACAACATGTTCCTGAACGGCTATTGGGTCAGTGAAGAAATTCAGATGAAAATCAAACATGTTTTGAAACAAATGAAAGTGAAAATACAACATAGCAAACCTTGTTGGATAAAGGAAAAGTAATGTTAAAAGGGACATTTATATCAATAAATTCTTATATCAAAAAAGGAGAAATATTACAAATTAACAATCTAACAATTCACCTCAAGGAACTCAAAAAGCAAGAGCAAACCAAACCAAAAATTAGAAGAAGAGAAATAATAAAATTGAGCGGAATTAAATGAAATAGAGACTAAAGATACAAGGGATCAAAAGATGAAAAGTTGATTCTTCAAAAAAACAAACAGAATTAATAAACCTCCAGCTAGACTAACAAAGAAAAGAAGAGAGAAGACCCAAATAAACAAAGTCAGAAACGAAAAAGGAGACTTACAACAGATAACACAGAAATACAAAAAGATTGCTGGAGACTATTATGAACAACTATACGCCATCAAACTGGAAAACCCAGAGAAAACAGATAAATGCCTGGAAACATATAATATTGAATCAGAAAGAAACAGAAAACCCGAACAGATCAATTATAAGTAGTAATACTGAATCAGTAATAAAAGCATCATATCCAACAAAGAAAAGCCCAAGATTGAATGCCTTCACTGCCAAATTCTACCAAACTTACAGAGAAGAAATAATACTATCCTCCTGAAACTATTCCACAAAATGAAAGAGAAGGGAATTCTCCATAACTCATTCTATGAGGCCAGCATTACCCTGATATCAAAATCAGACAAAAACCCAACACAAAAGGAAAACTACAAGCCAATATTTCTGGTGAGTTTAGACACAAAAATTTTCAACAAAATAATAGCAGCTTGAATCCAACAGTACATCAAAAAGATAATACACCATGATCGAGTGGAATTTATCCCAGGGATGCAAGGATGTTTCAAAATATGCAAATTGGTAAACATGATACCTTACATCAACAGAATGAATGACCAAAACCATACGATCATCTCTAATAGATGCAGAAACAGCATTTGATAAAATGCAGTATCTCTTCATGAAAAATACTCTCGACAAACTAGTCATAGAAATAATATACCTCAAAATAATAAAGACCATTTATTACAAATCCATAGCTACTTCATACCGAATGGGGAAAAGTTGAAACCTTTTCTCTAAGAACTTGAACAAGACAAGGATGCCCCCTTTCACCACTCCTATTCAGCATAGTACTGAAGTACTAGCCAGAGCAATCAGACAAGAGAAAGAAATAAAAAGCATCTAAATTGAAAAGGAGGAAGTCAAGGTGTCCCTCTTTGCTGATAATATAATCTTATATCTAGAAAAACCTAGACTCCACCAAAAATGTCTTAGATTTGATAAATGAATTCAGTAAAGTTGGTTGATACAAAACCAATGTACAAAATTCAGTAGCATTTCTATACACCTATAGTGATCCAGGCAAGAAAGAGGTTAAGAAGGCAATCCCATTTACAATAACTACAAAAAAATACCTAGGAATAAATTTAACCACCAAAAAAAAAAAAAACTAGGCAACATGAATGAAATAAATTGAAGATGGGACAAACAAATGGAAAAACATCCCATGTTCAGGGATCAGGAGAATTAATATCATTAAGATGACAATGTTGACCAAAGCAATCCACAGATTCAAAGCAATCCCTATTAAAATATCAATGTCATTCTTCACAGAATTAGGAAAAACAATCCTAAAATTCACAAGGAGCCAACAAAAGAACCAGAATAACCAAAGCAATTCTAAAGGAAAAAACAAACAAAACACACCAAAGCTGGAGGCATCACATTACCTGACTTCAAAATGTATTACCAGCCTGTAGTAATCAAAACATCATGGTATTTGTATAAAAACAGACACATAGACTAATGGACAGAATAAAGAACCCAGAAAAAAAGTTACATCCCTAAAGCCCTCTGATCTTCTACAAAGTTTCCAAAAAACTTACACTGGGGAAAGGACTCCCTCTTCAATCAACAGTTCTGGGAAAATAATCAACAAAACGAAGAAACATTTTGTTGAATGGAAAAAATATTTACAAACTTCATTGAACAGGTGACTAATATCCAGAATATACAAGAAACTGAAACAACTAAATAGGAAAAAAATATTAAAAATTGGACAAAGGACATGAAGAGACATTTCTCAAAAAGAAGACATACAAATAGCCAAGAGGTATATGATAAAAATGCTCAACATCATGAATTATCAGAAAAATGCAAATCAAAACCACAATATTATCTTACTCCACTTAGAATGTCATTATTAAAAGACAAAAATAGCACATGTTGGTGAGGATGCAGAGAAAAGGGAATTCTTATACACTATTGCTGCAAATGTAAACTAATACAACTACTATGAAAATAGTATGGAGATTTCTCACCATACTAAAAATAGAATCACCAGTTGATCCAGCAGTCCCACTACTGGCTATCTATTCAAAGGAATAGAGATCAATATGTAAAAGATATACCTAAACTTGAATGTTTATTGCAGCACTATTCACAATAGCAAAGATATAGAATCAACCTGTTTTAATCAACAAATGAATGAATAAAGAAAATATCACATATATATATATACACACACACACAAAGGAATTCTATTCAGTCATAAAAAGAAAGAAAACATGTCATTTGTGGCAACATGGATGAAATTGGAGAGAATTATCATAAGTGAAATAATCCAAGCACAAAGAAATAAATATTGGATGTTCTCACTTATGTGTGGGAACTAAAATATTTGATCGCATGGAGGTCAAGAGGGGAAAAATAAATAACAGAGACTGGAAAGGGTGAGTGTGGGAGAAAAGGGAGGTAGAGGAGGACTGGGTTAAAAGGTACAAACATATGGTAAGACAGAAGCAATAAATTCAATATTTGATAGTGGAGTAGGGGGACTGTACTTAACAAAAATTGACTGTACTTGGGTGATGGCCGTCCTCAATACCTTGACTTGACCACTATGCATTATATACATGTAACAGAATTTCTAATGTATCCCATAAATTTATATAAATAAAAAACAGGAAAATTGTATAAATAATGTTCAGTTATCTATTTTTATTTTATTTAGAAGCAATCATCTAGGTAAAAGACCAGTGGGAACAACCCTAATATAGCTAGTTATAGCATGCCTACTATGATACAGAAACCTGGCTAAGTGTCGGTCAGGCAAAATCTCACTTCATCCTACCAATGACCCTATAAGGTCGGTATTATTATTATCCCTATATTTTAAATATGTAAAGGTAGTAGTAGCCTGATCAATGTAATGCCAAATGGCAGAATTGAGACTTAGGCCTAATGTACCTGACTGAAGAAGGAGTAACTTAATCTCTTCCTCCACCTCTTTATATGGACCAAGGTGAAGTAAATTTTGTGTTTGCAAGTACCTTTAATTCTTTCTGTCCATCCTAAATATTCTAACCCCCAATCCCATGCCATGAGTGGACTTTTAGGGAAAGAATTAAGACTATGTTGTAAAATCTTGTAAGTTGCAGTTTGCAGGATTAGTATTGGACCAACAATGTCCTCCCACTCAAGTGGCATAACGGTAGAAAACACTGTTACTAGGTAGAAAGAGAATCTCAGGGGAGAAGCCCATAGTCTAAACTACAGAACCCAGATTAAAATAGAAAAATTCTGTACTTTTCCTTAAAATAATTTTACTAAATAGTTTTTAAAAATTATTTCTGAAAATAAACAGTATTATAAAATGGTATATTTAAACAAATAAATATCTAGCTACAACGTAATTCTTTTTTATCTAATCTTGAACCAGTGGTTCTGGCTCCGTCTTAGCTTGTCATAATCTTTGTAACTCATCTTGAATGCTTTTTTGGAGTTGCACCTGTTCCTTGGTTTATATATGCTCCAGGGATTTCTTGTCAGCTGGCCATAAGACATGATTTGGCAATTTGTCATTCCATTGACTGCATTCATTTAGCTGCTTAAAATTGACACTTACGGATAGTTTAGTTTCAAGAATCCTTCTTATAACAGTGGGCTTTCACAATATCCTTCCTATATCGTGCAGAAATAATCCTCCACAACCTAAGCACAAAAGAAAAATTAGATTGGTGGAGAACAAGTAAAGAATAGGAGGAGCGGGTAGG
Organism: Homo sapiens; assembly: GCF_000001405.40. NCBI lineage: Eukaryota > Metazoa > Chordata > Mammalia > Primates > Hominidae > Homo > Homo sapiens. The sequence goes on along the minus strand of NC_000002.12, from coordinate 101,371 downwards.
CGAGATGGAGGAGGAGGAAAGGGAGGGCCTGAGAAAAGCAAAGGTGAGAAAAGTATCTGCTGCCGTAGAGCCTGGAGCAGCACGACCGGCTTGGCCTTCTCCAGCCCCAGACAGCACTGCAGAGGACACCGCAGGGACTCCCCAAGTGTCCGCACCCCCGGGCCTGCCAGGGGCCTCCGCCTGCTGGGCTGCCCTCCCTGTGTGCAAGGTGTGAGGAGATTCTTAGAGAGAGTGTTCCCCTGGGTTGCAGAGTCCTGATGGAATCTCACAGCAAAATTGCATGACCCCCAATGTCCTAGGTGTAGCGTTCCTTTCAGTTTTTCCATTAGAAATGTCTCCCTGAAGGCTCATATCCGTGCCCTGAGAAAAGAGAAAGCCATGGTCACAATAACCCTCCATTCTGACCAGGATGGAGTTGGGGTTCCTATTGCTCCAGAACCTTCTGCTCCCAGAGTAAACCCAGAACCCTTGCCTGACCCAGAAGCCCCTTGAGAATCTGTCTCACAGCCCACCACACCGACGGCTCTTCTCTCTCCCAGGCCCTTGCTAATGGCCCCCTCACTGCACTGAGCTCTACTCTTCAGACCTGCCCATCACTCCTGCCTCAGCGCCTCCATCTTTCTGTTCCCTCTACCAGAAATCCCTACACACAACTTTGTCTTTTTTTTTTTTTTTTTGAGAGAGAGTCTTGCTCTGTCACCCAGGCTGGAGTGCGATCTTGGCTCACTGCAGCCTCCACCTCCTGGGTTCAAGTGATCCCCCGGCCTCAGTCTCCCGAGTTGCTGGGACTACAGGCACCCACCACCATGCCCGGCTATTTTTTTTTTTTTTTAAGTAGAGACAGGGTTTCACTATGTTGCCAGGCTGGTGTCGAACTCCTGACCTCAAGTGATTCGCCCACATCGGCCTTGTCTTGTCTTTTTCTGCAGGTCTCTGTTCAAATGGAGTCTCATCCAAGTGGCCTTTTCTAACTACTCTACCTAAAACAGCAGCTTAGATCATCAGTATCTGTCCCTTACTCTGCTCGATTCCCGTCCATCGTACTCCATGCTGTCAGTGTTGTATGCCTATTTTCTTTCTTCCCCCCATGGAAGTGAGCCTTGTGCTTATAAGGGCTTTATCTTGATTTGCTCGGTGTGGTGTCCCCGTGCCTGTAGCAGTTCCTAATACAGAAAGGATGCACATCAAGCATTTCATGAATAACTATAGAAATTACTGGACTAATATGTGTGTTAGGTTTTTTATTTGTTTGTGTTTTCACTCAGAATGATTCCTTCCTGGGGGATTCTGAGTCTCCTCCCTACCCCATTGTCTAGCCCTTTAAATACATTTGACAATGAAGTTCTGTCTGTTCACCAGACATATTTGGACATGTCGGAATCCCAGCAAGAGAAGCAGTTTGTTATTTCCCCTGAAGGCTTCCAGCTGTGTGCAAGCAGACTTCCACAGATGCCACACCATCTCCTTAGCAGATGTGTTCCGATATTTCTAACTCCACCTAATTACAAGCTGAAAATTCTCAATTGTGTTAAAAAATTTTAAATTTGTAACTTTTTTTTTTTTTGAGGCGGAGTCTCGCTCTGTCGCCCAGGCTGGACTGCAGTGGCGCATCTCGGCTCACTGCAAGCTCCTCCTCCCGGGTTCACGCCATTCTCCTGCCTCAGCCTCCCGAGTAACTGGGACTACAGCCGCCCGCCACCACGCCAGGCTAATTTTTGGTATTTTTTTAGTGGAGACAGGGTTTAACCATGTTAGCCAGGATGGTCTCGATCTCCAGACCTCATGATCCGCCCTCCTCGGCCTCCCGAACTGCCGTGTAACTATTTTTATTTCCAATGTAGTTACCATTTCACTCAACTTTTAAGCAACATTCTTTTGCACTAGATTTCTAATTGAAAGTTGTTAAGAATTACTTGACATCCTAAACTTTTATTTTTTTGGGGGGGGGTTTTATTATTATCTGTTCTGCTTCTGGGTTTTTTTTTTATTATTATTATACTTTAAGTTCTGGGACACATGTGCAGAATGTGCAGGTTTGTTACATAGGTATACACGTGCCATGCTGGTATGCTGCACCCAACAGCCCATCATCTAAATTAGGTATTTCTCCTAGTGTTATCTCTCTCCCCGCCCCCACCCCTCTACAGGCCCCAGTATGTGATGTTCCCCTCCCTGTGTCCATGTGTTCTCATTGTTCAACTACCACTTGTGAGTGAGAACATGTGGTGTTTGGTTTTCTGTTCTTGTGTTACTTGGCTGAGAATGTTGATTTCCATCTTCATCCATGTCTCTGCAAAGGACACGAACTCATCCTTTTTTATGGCCGCATAGTATTCCATGGTGTACATGTGCTACATTTTCTTTATCCATTCTATCATTAATGGGCATTTGGTTTGGTTCCAAGTCTTTGCTATTGTGAATAGTGCTGCAATAAAGATACGTGTGCATGTTTCTTTATAGTAGAATGATTTATAATCCTTTGGGTATATACCCAGTAATGGGATTGCTGGGTCAAATGGTATTTCTAGTTCTAGATCCTTGAGGAATCGCCACACTGTCTTCCATAATGGTTGAACTAATTTACACTCCCACCAACAGTGTAAAAGTGTTCCTATTTCTCCACATCCTCTCCAGCATCTGTTGTTTCCTGACTTTTTAATGATTGCCATTCTAACTGGCGTGAGATGGTATCTCATTGTGGTTTTGATTTCCATTTCTCTAGTGATCAGAAATGATGAGCTTTTTATGTTTGTTGGTTGCATAAATGTCTTCTTTTGAGAAGTGTCTGTTCATATCCTTTGCACACTTTTTGATGGTGTTGTTTGTTTTTTTTCTTGTAAATTTAAGTTCTTTGTAGGTTCTGGATAGTAGCCCTTTGTCGGATAGATTGCAAAAATTTTCTCCCCTTCTGTAGGTTGCCTGTTCACTCTGATGATAGTTTCTTTTGCTGTGCAGAAGCTCTTTAGTTTAATTAGGTCTCATTTGTCAATTTTGGCTTTTGTTGCCATTGCTTTTTGTGTTTTAGTCATGAAGTCTTTTGCCATGCCCATGTCCTGAATGGTATTGCCTAGGTTTTCTTTTAGGGTTTTTATGGTTTTAGGTCTTACTTTTAAGTTTTTAAACCATCTTGAGTTAATTTTTGTAGAAGGTGTAAGGAAGAGCTCCAGTTTCAGTTTTCTGCATATGGCTAGCCAGTTTTCCCTATACCATTTATTAAATAGGGGATCATTTCCTCATTATTTGTTTTTGTCAGGTTTGTCAAAGATCAGATGGTTGTAGATGTGTGCTGTTATTTCTGAGGCCTCTGTTCTGTTCCATTGGTCTATATATCTCTTTTGGTACTAGTACCATGCTGTTTTGGTTACCATAGCCTTGTAGTATAGTTCGAAGTCAGGTAACATGATGCCTCCAGCTTTGTTCTTTTTGCTTAGGATTGTTTTGGCTATGGGGACTCTTTTTTGGTTCCATAGGAAATTTAAAGGTTTTTTTTTTCTAATTATTTGAAGAAAGTCAGTGGTAGCTTAATGGGGATAGCATTGAATCTATAAATTACCTCTGGCAGTATGGCCATTTTCACAATATTGATTCTTCCTATCCATGAGCATGAAATGTTTATCCATTTGTTTATGTCCTCTCTTATTTCCTTGACCAGTGGTTTGTAGTTCTCCTTGAAGGGGTCCTTCACATCCCTTGTAAGTTGTATTCCTATGTGTTTTATTCTCTTTGTAGCAATTGTGAATGGGAGTTCACATGATTTGGCTCTCTGTTTGTCTATTATTGATGTGTAGGAATGCTTGTGACTTTTGCACATTGATTTTGCATCCTGAGACTTTGCTGAAGTTGCTTATCTGCTTAAGGAGATTTTGGGCTGAGATGATGGGGTTTTCTAAATAAACAATCATGTCAACTGCAAACAGAGACAGTTTAACTTCCTGTCTCCCTATTTGAATATGTTTTATTTCTTTCCCTTGCCTGGTTGCCCTGGCCAGAACTTCCAATACTATGTTGAATAGGAGTGGTGAGAGAAGGCATCCTTGTCTTGTGCTGATTTTCAAAGGGAATGCTTCCAGTTTTTGCCCAGTCAGTATGATATTGGCTGTGGGTTTGTCATAAATAGCTCTTATTATTTTGAGATACGTTCCATCAATACCTAGTTTATTGAGAGTTTTTAGCATGAAGAGGTGTTAAATTTTATCAAAGGCCTTTTCTGCATCTATTGAGACAATCACGTGGTTTTTGTCATTGGTTCTGTTTATGTGATGGATTTCGTTTATTGCTTTGCGTGTGTTGAAGCAGTCTTGCATCCCAGGGATGAAGCCAACTTGATCATGGTGGATAAGCTTTTTGACGTGCTGCTAGATTCAGTTTGCCAGTATTTTATTGAGAATTTTTGCATCAATGTTCATCAGGGATATTGGCCTGAAATTTTCTTTTTTTATTATGTCTCTGCCAGGTTTTGGTGTTGGGATGATGCTGGCCTCATAAAATGAGTTAGGGAGGAATCTCTCTTTTTCTATTGTTTGGAATAGTTTCAGAAGGAATGGTACCAGCTCCTCTTTGTACCTCTGGTAGAATTCGGCTGTGAATCCATCTGGTCCTGGACTTTTTTTGGTTGATAGGCTATTAATTACTGCCTCAATTTCAGAACTTGTTATTGGTCTATTCAGGGATTCAGCTTTCTCCTGGTTTCGTCTTGGGAGGGCGTATGTGTCCAGGAATGTATCCATTGCTTCTAGATTTTCTAGTTTATTTGCATAGAGGTGTTTATTGTATTCTCTGATGGTAGTTTGTATTTCTGTTGGATCAGTGGTGATGTCCACTTCATCATTTTTTATTGTGTCTATTTGATTATTCTCTCTTTTCTTCTTTATTAGTCTGGCTAGTGGTCTATATACTTTGTTGATCTTTTCAAAACACCAGCTCCTGCCTTCATTGATTTTTCAAAGGGTTTTTCGTGTCTCTATCTCTTTCAGTTCTGCTCTGATCTTAGTTATTTCTTGTTGTCTGCTAGCTTTTGAATTTGTTTGCTCTTGCTTCTCTAGCTCTTTTGATTGCGATGTTTGGGTATCGATTTTAGATCTTTCCTGCTTTCTCCTGTGGGCAGTTAGTGCTATAAATTTTCCTCTAAACACTGCCTTAGCTGTGTCCCAGAGATCCTGGTACATTGTGTCTTTTTTCTCATTTGTTTCCAAGAACTTCTTTATTTCTGTCCTTATTTCCTTATTTACCCAGTAATCATTCAGGAACAGGTTGTTCAGTTTCCATGTAGTTGTGTGGCTTTGAGAGAGTTTCTTAATCCTGAGTTCTAATTTGATTGCACTGTGGTCTGAGAGACTGTTTGTTATCATTTCCATTCTTTTCATTTGCTGAGGAGTGTTTCACTTCCAATTATGTGGTCAATTTTAGAATAAGTGTGATGTGGTGCTCAGAAGAATATATTTTGTTGATTTGGGGTGGAGAGTTCTGTAGATGTCTATTAGGGCTGCTTGGTCCAGAGCTGGGTTCAAGTCCTAAATATCCTTGTTAATTTTCTGTCTTGTTGATCTGTCCAATATCAACAGTTGGTGTTAAAGTTTCCCACTATTATTGTGTGGGAGTCTATCTCTTTTTTGGTCTGTAAGAACTTGCTTTATGAATCTGGCTGCTACTATATTGGGTGCATATATATTTAGGATAGTTAGCTCTTCTTGTTGCGTTGATCCCTTTACTATTATGTAATGCCTTTCTTTGTCTCTTTTGATCTTTGTTGATTTAAAGTGTGTTTTATCAGAGACTAGGATTGCAACCCCTCCTGGTTTTTTTTTTTTTTTTTTTGCTTCCTGTTTCTTGGTAAATATTTCTCCATCCCTTTGTTTTGAGCCTATGTGTGTCTTTTAATTGGGGTATTTAGCCCATTTACATTTAAGGTTAATATTGTTATGTGTGAATTTGATCCTGTCATTATGTTGCTAGCTGATTATTTTGCCCATCAGTTGATGCAGTTTCTTCACAGTGTTGACGGTCTTTACAATTTGGTGTTTTTGCAGTGGCTGGTACGAGTTGTTCCTTTCCATGTTTAGTGCTTCCTTCAGGACCTCTTGTAAGGCAGGCCTGGTGGTGACAAAATCTCTCAGCATTTGCTTTTCTGTAAAGGATTTTATTTCTCCTTCACTTATGAAGCTTAGTTTGGCTGCATATGAAATTCTGGGTTGAAAATTCTTCTCTTCAAGAATGTTGAATATTGGCCCCCACTCTCTTCTGGCTTGTAGAGTTTCTGCAGAGAGATCCACTGTTAGTCTGATGGGCTTCTCTTTGTGGGTAACCCAAACTTTCTCTCTGAAGGGGTGGCCTGCCCCTCCACACCTGTGGGTATTTCTAGTCAGGTAGGACGAGAGACTGAGAAAAGAAATAAGACACAGAGACAAAGTATAGAGAAACAACAGTGGGCCCAGGGGACCAGTGCTCAGCATACCAAGGACCTGCACTGGCACTGGCCTCTCTCAGTTTTTATTGATTATTATTTCCATTATTTCAGCAAAAAGGAATGTAGTAGGAGAGAAGGGTGATAATAAGGAGAAGGTCAGCAAAAAAACATGTGAGCAAAAGAATCTATGTCATAATTAAGTTCAAGGGAAGGTACTATGACTGGACATGCACGTAAGCCAGATTTATGTTTCTCTCCACCCAAACATCTCAGCGGAGTAAAGAATAACAAAGCAGCATTACTGCAAACATGTCTCGCCTCCCACCATAGGACAGTTTTTCTCCTATCTCAGAATTGAACAAATGTACAATCGGGTTTTATACTGAGACATTCAGTTCCCAGGGGCAGGTGGGAGATAGTGGCCTTCCTCTATCTCAACTGCAAGAGGCTTTCCTCTTTTACTAATCAACCTCAGCACAGACCCTTTACAGGTGTCGGGCTGGGGGACGGTCAGGTCTTTCTCATCCCACGAAGCCATATTTCAGACTATCACATGGGGAGAAACCTTGGACAATACCCCGCTTTCAAGGACAGAGGTCCCTGTGGCTTTCCACAGTGCATTATGCCCCTGGTTTATTGAGACTAGAGAATGGCGATGACTTTTACCAAGTATACTGCTTGTAAATATTTTGTTAGCAAGGCACGTCCTGCACAGCCCTGGATCCCTTAAACCTTGATTTCATACAACACATGTTTTTGTGAGCTCCAGGTTGGGTCAAAGTGGCTGGAGCAAAGCTACAAATTAACAACATCTCAGCAAAGCAATTGTTCAAAGTACGGGTCTTTTTCAAAATGGAGTCTCTTATGTCTTCCCTTTCTACATAGACACAGTGACAGTCTGATCTCTCTGTCTTTTCCCTACATCTCTCTGGCTGCCCTTAACATTTTTTCCTTTATTTCAACCTTGATGAATCTGACAATTATGTGTCTTGGGGCTGCTCTTCTCCAGGAGTATCTTTGTGGTGTTCTCCATTACTTCCTGAATTTGAATGTCAGCCTGCCTTGCTAGGTTGGAGAAGTTCTCCTAGATAATATCCTGAAGAGTGTTTTCTAACTTGGTTCCATTCTCCCTGTCACTTTCAGGTACACCAATCAAACGTAGATTTGGTCTTTTCACATAGTCCCATATTTCTTGGAGGCTTTGTTCATTCCTTTTCATTCTTTTTTCTCTGATCTTATCTTCATGCTCTATTTCATTAAGTTGATCTTCAATCTCTGATATCCTTTCTTCCACTTGATCGATTCGGCTATTGATATTTGTGTATGCTTCATGAAGTGCTGACGCTGTGTTTTCAGCTCCATCATGTCATTTATGTTCTTCTCTAAACTGGTTATTCTAGTTAGCAATTCATCCAACCTTTTTTCAAGGTTCTTAGCTTCCTTGTATTGGGTTAGAACATGCTCCTTTAGCTCAGAGGAGTTTGTTATTACCCACCTTCTGAAGCCTACTTCAGTCAATTCATCAAACTCATTCTCCATCCAGTTTTGTTCCCTTGCTGGCGAGGAGTTGTGATTCTTTGGAGGAGAAGAGATGTTCTGTTTTTTGGAATTTTCAGCCTTTTTCCACTGGTTTCTCCCCATCTTCGTGGATTTATCTACCTGTAGTCTTTGATGTTGGTGGCCTTTAGATGGGGTTTCTGTATGGACATCCTTTTTGTTGATGTTGATGCTTTTCCTTTCTATTTGTTAGTTTTCCTTCTAAGAGTCAGACCCCTCTGCTGCAGGTCTGTTGGAGTTTGCTGGAGGTCCACTCCAGACCCTGTTTGCCTGGGTATCACCAGCAGAGGCTGCAGAACAGCAAATATTGCTGCCTGTTCCTTCCTCTGGAAGCTTCATCCCAGAGGGGCACTCACCAGATGCTGGCTGGAGCTCTCCTGTATGAGGTGTCTGTTGACCCCTGCTGAGATTCGTCTCCCCATCAGGAGGCAAGGGGGTCAGGGACCCACTTGAGAAGGCAGTCTGTCCCTTAGCAGAGCTCAAGCGCTGTGCTGGGGGATCTGCTGCTCTCTTTAGAGCTGACAGGCAGGAACATTTAAGTCTGCTGAAGCTGTGCCCACAGCCGCCCCTTCCCCTAGGTGCTCTGTCCCAGGGAGTTGGGGGTTTTATCTATAAGTCCCTGACTGGGGCTGCTGCCTTTTTTTCAGAGATGCCCTGCCCAGAGAAGAGGAATCTAGAGAGGCAGTCTGGCTATGGAGGCTTTGCTGAGCTGTGGAGGTCTCTGCCTGGTTGGAATTTCCTGCGGTTTTATTTACACTGTGAGGGGAAAACCACCTACTCAAGCCTCAATAATGGCAGCTGCCCCTGCCCCCACCAAGCTCTAGTGTCCCAGGTGCCGCCCGTGAGAATTTCAAGCCAGTGGATCTTAGCTTGCTGGGCTCTGTGGGGGTGGGATCCACTGAGCTACACCACTTGACTCCCTGGCTTCAGCTCCCTTTCCAGGGGAGTGAACAGTTCTGTCTCACTGGCATTCCAGTGCCATTGGGGTATGAACAAAAAAGCCTCCTGCAGCTAGTTTGGTGTTGGCCCAAATGGCCACCCAGTTTTGCACTTGAAACCCAGGGCCCTGGTGGTGTAGGTACCCAAGGAAATCTCCTGGCCTGTGGGTTGCGAAGACCATTGGGAAAAGCAGAGTATCTGGGCCAGAGTGCACTGTTCCTCACGGTATGTCCGGAATTGGTGGGTTTTTGGTCTCACTGACTTCAAGAATAAAGCTGTAGACCCTTGCGGTGAGTGCTACAGTTCTTAAAGATGGTGTGTCCAGAGTTTGTTCCTTTTGATGTTTGGACATATTTGGAGTTTCTTCCTTCTGGTGGGTTCGTGGTCTCGCTGGTTTCAGGATTGAAGCTGCAGACCTTTGTGGTGAGTATTACAGCTCTTAAGGTGGTGCATCTGGAGTTGTTCATTCCTCCCGTCTGGAGTTGTTCATTCCTCTTGGTGGGTTTGTGGTCTTGCTGGCCTCAGCAGTGAAGCTGCAGACCTTCCTGGTGAGTGTTACAGCTCATAAAGGCAGTGTGGACCCAAAGAGTGAGCAGCAGCAAGATTTATTGCAAAGAGCAAAAGAACAAATCCTTCACAGTGTGGAAGGGGACCCCAGCAGGTTGCCACTGCTGGCTCGGGCAGCCAGCCTTTATTCCCTTATCTGGCCCCACCCACATCCTGCTGATTGATCCATTTTACAGAGAGCTGATTGGTCTGTTTTACAGACAGCTGATTGGTCCGTTTTGACAGGGTGCTGATTGGTGCATTTACTATCCCTGAGCTAGACACAAAAGTTCTCCAAGTCCCCACTAGATTAGCTAGATACAGAGTGCTGATTGGTGTATTTATAAACCCTAAGCTAGACACAGAGTGCTGATTGGTGCATTTACAAAACCTGAGCTAGGCACAGGGTGCTGATTGGTGCATATACAATCCTCCAACTAGACATAAAAGTTCTCCAAGTTCCCACTAGACTCAGGATCCCAGCTGGCTTCACCCAGTGGTACCCACACTGGGGCAGCAGGTGGAGCTGCCTGTCAGTCCCCCACTGTGCACCCACACTCCTCAGCCATTGGGTGGTCAATGGGACTGGGTGCCGCGGAACAGGGGGTGGCGCTCATTGGGAAGGCTTGGGCTGTGCAGGAGCCCACAGCATTGGGGAGGCTCAGGCATGGCAGGCTGCAGGTCCCCAGCCCTGCCCCGCGGGGAGGCAGCTGAGGCCCAGTGAGAATTTGAGAGCAGTGCCGGCGGGCCGGCACTGCTGTGGGACCTGGCGCACGCTCCACAGCTGCTGGCCCAGGTGCTAAGCTCCTCACGGCCTGGGCCAGCAGCACCGGCTGGCCACTCTGAGTGCGGGGCCCGCCAAGCCCACGCCCACCCAGAACTCACGCTGGCCCACAAGCATCCTGCGCAGCCCGGGTTCCCGCCTGCGCCTCTCCCTCCACACCTCCCTGCAAGCTGAGGGAGCTGGCTCCGTCCTCGGCCAGCCCATAAAGGGGCTCCCACAGTGCAGCGGCAGGCTGAAGTGCTCCTCAAGCACAGCCAGAGTGGGTGCCAAGGCTGAGGAGGTGCCGAGAGTGAGCGAGGGCTGCGAGGGCTGCCAGCACGCTGTCACCTCTCAATGGCACAATCCCTCACAGCTTCTCTTGGCTAGGGGAGGGAGTACCCTGATCCCTCATGTTTCCCTGGTGAGGTGACACCCCAGCCTACTTTGGCTCACCCTCCGTGGGCTGCACCCACTGTCTAACTAGTCCCAGTGAGATGAGTTATGTACCTCAGTTGTAAATGCAGAAATCACCCGCCTTCTGCATTGATCTCGCCGGGGGCTACAGATCGGAGCTGTTCCTGTTCGGCCATCTTGGTAAGCCCTCTTTTGACCTTATGTTGTTAGATGCATACACATTAAGAACTTGCAAGTCTTCTTTGAGAATCATCATCATATAAAGGCACTCTTTATCCCTAGTAATTTTCCTTGCTCTGAAGTCTCCTTTGCCTGAAATTAGTATAACCACTCCAGCTTTCTTTTGGTTACTGTTAATATGACATATTTTTCATCATCTTTTTAAAATAATCTGTTTTTTCTGGCTTTCTGATAGGCAACATATAATTGTGTTTTTTAAAAAAATCCACTCTGATAGTCTCTCTCTTTTGACTGTATACATAGACCATTCATGTTAAATATACAGCTTTTAGGTTTACTTTGTTCTTCATTTTCTCCAATCATTAATTTCTCCTCTTGTCTTTATTAATATCTTCCTTTCACTTTCTTTTGATTTGTCTTCTGCTCTCTTTGTAGCTTTTTAACTTGATGAGTTAATATATTTTATTGATGTATTTATTGCTACAAAATTTCTTCTGATAACTTTCAGTTGATTCTACAGCTCTCAAATTTATAGAATGTTATTGTTACTTTCAAGAAACTATTCACTTCCTGTTTTTTAATAGCTTTTTTTGCCATATCCAGTGAATAGGCCTTTTAACACACTAATTTTGTTACTAATTTCTAGTTTTAGCACATTACTATCAGAGAATGCTAATATTTGCATTTGCCTTTTTAATTTATTGCGATGGTGTGTCCTGTACTAAATCAGTTTGCATAAGTGTTTCATTGTACTTGAGAGTATAGTTTACATCATCAGAGGTCTGAATTTAATATATATTTATAGAATCTACATTATTAATGATATTGATTGATCTTAATCTATCTTAGACCAAAAGAGGTTTAGTATGATATTTCTATAGTTGTTTTATTATGTTTCTATTTATCTGTGCATCTCTTGTATAATGAAAATCATTATTATTGAGTGGTAACGGAATAATTGTTACATTTTCATTTGAAAATTTCCTTCCTTTGACTCTTTTAATACTTTTTGGCCTAAATTCTACCTTGATAGATATCTAGATCTCAACCCCTCATTTCATTATGTTCATATTTTTTCTCTTTTCATTTAAAAACTGTCTGATTACCTTTATTTTAGATATGTTTCATATATTTATATTTTTAGAAAATTTGAAAATATTCTATTTTAATTATTTCTATCATTGATGTCATTGATATATTCGAATTCTTTTATTCCATATTCATATTTCATTTTATATAAATTTATGTGTATGTATATATGTATACATACATAAAGTGTATCATTATAAAGATACATATTGATATATAGTAAATGTTTGTGTATATTACACACATATTTAATCTTTCATTTGTGTTCTATTTAAATTTCTCTTTTATTAACATATTTTTATACATGGGAATATTTGAATTCCAACTTTACACTAATACCTCAGTACAATATTTCAGTTACCTCTTTTTGTGGGTAGATGCAGTCAATGGTTATCTATTTTGAGCTCTCTTGAAATTAGCTAGCAACAACTTCTCTTTGTCTCTCCCTCGGATACTATTTTGAAGTAATAGCCTTTAAATATCAACTAATAGAAGATAAATGACAAGGTTATTCTTATTCCCATGTGCTATTCTATTTCTTCCCTCAATTTTGATTCTCCCATTGTATCTACATTTTCATGGTATGAGGCCATTCCATGTGAAGCTGCTTTCTGATCTCCATTATTAGCCTTCATTCTACATGTGTTTATATATTCAGGGTCCACCAGCTGCTGTGCAATGTCAGAGCCAAATTTAGGGCATTGGGAGGTGAGTCGTAGTGAAGGAGGATTGTTTACTTACATGTGAATATTATAATATGTATATACATTAGGAATAATAGGAGTCTGCTTTCTCTCAATGAAAGGAATGATTTACAAAGTTAGAAGGGGAAAATGTCAGAATGAGTCCTGTGTTGTTGAATTTCAATTGAAGGTATCAGTGTGAACTCACAGTTTTCAAAACATATAGACATAGAAATAAATATAGGTGTGTGTGTGTGTGTGTGTGTGTGTGTGTGTGTGTGTCTTCCCCAGCTCTATACATGGAGAGGACCAGGGAGCAGCCACACCACCACAGCAGTGAGCACACCTATCACCACCACAGCACGGAGCACACCTAACACCCAGCTCTGGAGATGAGGTCTCACTCTTTGCCCAGGCTGGAGTGAAGTGATGCAAACACAGCTTCCTGCAGTCCCAGTCTCCTGGGTTCAAGCAATCCTCCCGCCTCAACCTCCACAGTAGCTGGGACCACAGGTGCACGCCACTGCACTCAGCTAATTTTTTTAGATTTGTCGTAGAGATAGGTTTTCATTGTGTTGCCCAGGCGGATCTCAAACTCCTGGATTCAAGCAATTCCCTTGCCTCTGCCTCCCAAAGTGGTGGGATTACAGGCTTGAGCCACTGCACCCAGCCCCAGCTCTTGGTTTCTAAATATCAACCTAGATTGAAAGTTACCAGAGCTCATTGAAGAAATTACTAACTTCAGGGCAGAGCCAGGGGAAAAAAATGAGCCTGAGATTCTTTATCATGCCAGAGAGCAAAGAATTATTCAAAAAATGATGGATACCCGTCAGAAAGATGTCAGAGGCAGATTAAAAGGTCTCCTACTGGCCAAACCTGGGGTAATTTGAGTTGAAAAATAAATAATGATGGTAACAGATTATAATCTATTGAATAAAGTAGGAAACCATGAATTCATATTTACGTAGATGACTAGAAAAATAAACTGAAAGATTTGATGAGTAATGAGATATTTATATATGTAAAGTATTAAAAATGCTTATTTCTTTAAAGAAAAAAATACTGTAGTTACTATTTTTTACAGAAACCTAGTAGATATTACCTTCAACAAGCACAAGCAACTGAAGTTAACATAATATGATACTCCAAGAAGAACACAGCATTGCTTCTATGACATCCTTGCTGGAGATGTACAACCTAAAATCAAGTTAGGAAGAAACATAAGATAAATCCAAATTGAGGGGTGTGCTACAAAGTAATTGGCTTATAATCTTGAAAACTGTCATTATTATATAAAAAAACAAGGAAAGTTTGAAATTCTTGATATTTATAAAAATATATATCTACTTTAAAAATAAACTTCCTCTTTATTTAGTCACTATATATAAGCAAACATATTCCAACTGAATACAGGTGTTTACTAAAGTAATGTATTGGGGATTTTATTTTATTTTATTTATTTTTTTGAGGCAAGGCCTTACTCTGTTGCCTAGGCTGGAGTGCAGTGGTTGAATCACAGCTCACTGTAGCCTTGACCTCCTGGGCTGAAGCGATCCTCCCACCTCAACCTCTCAGATAGCTGGGACCACAGGCACACACCACTATGCCCGGGTAATTTAAAAAAAAAATTGTAGAAACGGGGTCTCTTTATGTTGCTCAGGCTAGTCTTGAACTCCTGGGCTCAAATGATCTTCCTCTTCAGCCTCCCAAAGTTCTGGGATTACAGGCATGAGCCACTGTGCCCAGCTGAATTTTATTTTAGAATAGAAAATAGCCTGAAAACATATGCATGTTTAATAAGTATTTTAACTTCATAAAAATGTTTAAATTCTTTCTTTTCATACAACTGTAGAATTTTTTATCTGAAGATGCAATATTTAGCCACAGATGTTCATATAGAGATGTCTTCATCCTGTACACATAGGAAATATCCTGCAGAATTTAGGCTTTCTGTTCTATAATTAACACAAATATAAAATAAATCATTTGGCTTCAAGAAGAAACTGTTTGTTATCACTAATAAAAGGGGTGAAGATGATAGAAAACACATATGCCTGCTCACCTTTTCCAAAAGCCAGCAGTTGCCAACATCATTTTAAGACGCAAGAATTTTCAGATTGTTTTGGTGTCAGATAAAGAATGTTAATTGCTATGTTGTGGCTTAAGTTTCCCCAGCTTCTAAAATAATACATTTAATCACAATTAAGTATGTGATTTTTCTTGCTTCTTGGCTCCCTTAAATCCAAGTAGCCTTGGATTTCAAGGTCTCTCTACTTGAAAATCTTTCTCAGATGAGCACACTCATTTCACATTGCTCTGCTCATTCATTTTATCAACTTGGCCTTTAGCCCTGCCTCTCACAGAGCAACTTGTGAGCAAAGTGGCTGAAACTGAATACAATACAAAGGCAAATGACCCACGGAATATGTAATAGAGCTATAGGCTGGAACCCAGGTACTCCCCACTGGAACTGTCCTGGGCCACTGCACTCCAATGCTATATTTTACCTTACACATCGGCTGCTTTGGGACCTGTTCCTGTTGATTTGGGTTTCCCCACAATTTCCCTCTGCTGGGCCCTGGCTTTGGTGACCCAACTCTTCCTCAAGTTACAGTTTGGGGTTGGTAGTTTGTCAATGACTGCCCAGGCATTTGGCCTGTGAGCTACTGTCCCCTTCCTCAGGCTAATTCTATTCATGAACCTAACCATTAGCCTTGTCTGGTATCTTCTGGTACATCTGGTACTTTCTGCTCCACTACCGGGCTCCTTCCTTGGGCATCCAAACCCAGGTGATGGGAACTCTGTGACATTCTTTCTCTGCCCACTCACTGAGCAATCTTTCTTGCTTCGAGGCTTCAAGTCATAACATCAAGCTCAGCTTTAGTTAATCAGTACTTGAAATGCCTTCTTCCACTGTGATTAGTAATTCTTTATACTCACAGAGCATTACGTTTTACAATATGCTTTCACATGTCTTTGTGAGGTAGGCGTACAATAGTTTGTCATCTGTTCTAAAGATAGTAGAACCAAATTCTGAGAAGTTAAAAAATTTGTTTAAAGGAATAAGCTGTATTGGACAGAGTAAGGGTCAGGGCCCTAATTTTTTACTTCAAGCCTTGATCTTTCCATTAAACGATAGCTGCCCAGGTTGTAGTGTTTTTTGGCTACAGTAGCAGTGCAGGACACCTGCAACTTAGATATTATGGATCAGAAGAGATGTTCTTCATATTTCTCACTCATCAGCAAAAACCTTTTTAGGCCGTGGTACTCATGACCAGACAATGTGTATTCCCCCAAGATTCTGTTCAGTAGAAACGTTTGAAAATTTAAAGACATTCCATTTTTATCAGATGAAATCTTTGAAGAAATAGCATCGTGGTAGAATATAACCTTTGGAATAACAGACCTCAGTTTGAATCCTGCTTCAGGAACTAACTGGCTATTTAATCTGTTGCTGTTTAATGTAAGCTTCTTCATTTGTAAATCTGAAATATTCGTATTTAATACATAGTGCCTAGTACATATTAGGTGCCTAATTAGTGTTTGACAAAACAATATGTAAATACTCTTAAACTAATGAAGTATGTATGTTTTCTGGGAAAGGAGGTAAAATGAAGACAGTGATAACACCATGAAGGGCCCGGAACATACTAGCTGTTCCAAACCCTGGTGATTGTCAGTGCCTTATGTGATCTTATGATGTGAACTAGGTACTCAGAGAATGGGGAAAACAGAAAGCCATATTTTTTTCAATTCTAGAGTTTGGAAGAAGACCTAGCAATTATTTAATTTAGTTCTTTCATTTTACAGATAAACTTTATTACTAATGTTGGCAAGGGGCAACTAAACAAAATATTAGGGGTCCCAAGAAAGTTGGTAGAAGAGGTGTTAGAATTGCCATTCTACAGATGAGAAAAGGGCACTTTGAGGAGTGAGACAATCAGCCCAGGTCTCATCTAATGAGCACAGTGTGGTTCTTAAGCTCAGCTCTTTGGCTGTAAGACCTCATGTTCTTTCTTGTGTCATTGATTTTTTTAAGTCAAGAAACTTACCCTTGTCAGTTACTTTTACCCTTGCCAATAGTTCTTTCTATTCCTGAATAATGGTTGTCATGCATCTATTGTTACCTGTTGTTTTGCCTTTTTCTCTGTACTTCTATAATATCTCTGATAATATCTACCTCTAGATAAAATAGAAAGAGGAAAAAATACAGTCTACTTTGTGTAAGTGCCTGGAGCAGGCTCAGGGAGTCTGTACGACAATGAATGTTTTCTGAGGGCAGTGGTTGGAATATATGCACATTTTTCTCTTTTATTGATGAGTGCCCACTGATTTACCACTTCAGATTTCCTCAGAGTGTCCCAAAATACTAGTAACTACTAACAGGAAAGCAGGTGGCACTGCATATCGGAAATGCTGGTAATGCCCACATGGTGCTTAGTAACTACGAATTACAGCCTGCAATGACTTGGGAAGCAGGTGCCAGGAAACAGCCACATTTGAATCCATGCAGAGCTGTTCATCCATGAGCTCATTTTCAACACTGCAGTAATTCTTGAACTGAAAGCCACAGCCCTGATGCCAACAGAGGTAGATGCTTTTGTTTTTCTTGCTTTCTTAGCATAGTGCTTTGATTGCATGCAAATGAGACTCTTAAAGAAAAATTAGCAAAAGTTTCTTTAAGAGAACAGCCCTGAAGAGCCAAGCTGAAAAATTCAGTGGCAGAATGGTAAGAATATAAATGTTTCAAGTGAAAAAAAAGAAGATGGAGTTTCTGACTCTAAGATAAGCTATATGTGCTGATTGCAAACCTCTGTGTGGTTGAATATTCTCATCTTACTTAAAATAATAACTGCTATACAAGTCTATGATATGGATAAAATGTGCAAATGAAAATTAGAAAAATTTTGTAAAACATTAAGCAGTTTTTTAAGAACTCAGAGCATGTTATCTGTCTTGCTTCACTTATCCCCAGAAATCCTCTTACCCCCATATTACAGATGCTAGAATCAAACCCAATATTCCACAGCAAGTTATGCCAAAGTCAGGAGAATATTGCAAGTTTCTTGACCCTGGGAGCTATGTGGTGAAATAAAGAAGACATGTTTTATATGTTTTTGGTGCAGTTTTCCTGCTGCTAGTCATTAGCTGATTATTGAAAATGTATACCACACACCATTTCCCCTTACTTCATTACAGGTTAGATACACTTGGCATGGATTTGAGGTTGGAGAAAGATTAAAGACCACAACATAACTACACAAGTCATAGTCAGGGCTTTTTAAAGTTATAGATAAAGAATTATTAAGAAAATAAAGACATATGCCCCAGAGAGGTTGTGATTGTCATCTAATTATTTAATCCTTAAATGCCTTCTTCAGAAGTTAATTAAACAATTGAGGAAAAAGAAGAATTGTTTTGATGTTGATCTGGAGGAGAAAAAAAAACCTCAATGTGAACATGAGATTAAAAAAACTTACCTATCCCTATCAAGTAGACAATTTCAATACCTTAATTCTTGTCATTACAAAAGGTACATTTAAATGACACAGTGGTTGCTAGTCCATCCCTACTCTCAGGAAGGGGGGCATGGGAAGGGGATATGGTACCCTCTTCTGCCCTTATGGTCAGGGGCTGGCCTTGTACCTTGAGTAAGCCCTTGGTGCTCTCCTGTTGAAGACAAACAAGTCAGAGAACATCAGCATCAGACAGCATCAGACAACATCAGTCATGGAATAAGGCAAAAACAAGATTCCCCAACAATCACATCTGAACACAGACAAAATATGAACATTTTCCAAGCCACAGAACTGCAAATATCCCCTTCTCCTGGATAATGTGAGTGACGGCTACATCTTTACCAGTTACAGGTTCAGCCTAGATCTAGTCCTTCGTCTTTCTCGGTAAGACTTACTGAGGCATCAAATTAAAAATTTTCTCTTATTTCCTGAGAAGATCCAATCCAAAGACAGTCCTAGTTCCTTAGATTCCCCCCACCCCAAATTACCAAGCACAAGTCAAATCCTATAATAGGTTCTTTCTAACACCCTCCGGCTGGAAAGCTCTGCCATTCCACCTGGTCTTTGTTCTCTCTTTTCAAATAGTAAACCCAACTTGTGCCCCTGGTGATGTTTAGCTAGGAGACATTAACATCAGGACGAGGTTAGACAGAAGACATACTGACAACATTTTACATCTTGATCTAGATAGTAGTTACATTAGTGTTCATGTAATAATTCATTAAAGCATACATTTATGTTTTCCATACTTTCTTTACATGTGTGTAATATTTCTTAATGAAAATTATGTTTTAAAAATGTGCATTGGATACAGAAATATATTCTTAGCCCAGGAATAAAATATTCCCTTTAGACAAGTTATTGGCTGAGATCATACACAGATATCAATAATTGAATTATTTTTAATCCTAGAAACACAAGTCCCCTATTTAGACATTAATAGTGTGAGGGAGAAAAAAGATGAGAAATAGACCAATATTCCAAAATGGTAGTGATAGTTCATATTGATAAAGACATTCTTGTCTTTGTCTTCCCTTGTCAAATGTACTTGAATCAAGACTACCAAATTAATTAAAATTAGTGGGTCAAAGAATGTGGGTACACATTTGTTTATATCAGTCAGGAAGACACCAAGAAATTTTCACATTGGGTCTCTGCTTGGTGGAACAGACGAAGTCCCACTTAACCTGTTTGGCTTCCTAATAATCATGGGCTTAGCTTAACAAGGCATCAGTGGTGGGTTAGCTGTCTTTTGAAGACTAAAATAGATCACCCCTTGCAGGTTGCCTCACCTTGTGATGAGGGGCTGGGCCAGGTGATTTCCGAGCCCCTCTGGCTCTGAATCTGATCTACCATGAGCCATGCCACCTCTCAGCATGGCTTGTGAACAGCTATCAACTGTTCCTATCCCCCCTGCAAGGGCACAGCATCACTACAACAGGGAGCTGCTCCCAGCACTTTCATCAACGTGTTCCATGCGGACTGCTGAGGATGTCTTCCCTCTATTCAAACTGTCTTCCAGGGTCCAAAAAGATGTTCTTTCCATAAGGAATAGCAAGAGAATATTTGAAGTGAACAAATGTACTTGTCCGTAGTTTAGAGAGCTTCGTGGTTTCCACAAGAACCTACCAGTTAGAACACTCACGGGTTTATCACTTCAGGTACTTGCTAGCTGGACGGAGAATTAAGCAATGAGAAGGTGCCCAGCATTCAGTTGGGTGCACTGCTGACCATGTGGGGGCATTGCTCTGCCTCTCTAGAACACAGACGGTCCCAGCGTGGTTTGAGAGGTCACATCACATCTCTGGATGCAAGGCTACAAGGCAAACTGTGTAGAAGGAAGAGACATATTAATGTGGTAAAAAATGACAGCTATTTCCAAATTTTACTTGCTGGATTGATCATCACTAATGATAACAATATTTAACTATTTCCTGCGGTGTGGGGGCCTGAATGGGTAGATGGATAACTTTCAACCAAAGACTTGTGCTCCCCTTTCAAAATACAGATATTTTGCTGAAAAATTGCTGCTTCATGAGGGACTACTGCATTTGCCAACTCATCTTGCATCGGTGAACTCAGGCAATTGAGTCCCAGGCAATGGAGCATGGACAGAGTGATTCACCTACGTCCAGCACCAGCCCACAAAAGCATCCCCATGGGCCCTCCACTCTGGCTTTGACCCCATCTGCCTGCTGCGTGTTAACAGAGCTGACTTCTCTGTGTTCTTAGAAGCCCCATATTAAAGTCAGAGTCTCCTTCAGGTGGGGGGTCCCTGAAAGCCTGCCTGTCATAGAGTCTCCCTGGCCAGTCTCCCTACTCATTAGGAACACCCGTTTTGGACTTTATGTGAGTGAAAAATGAAACTCCTGCTATGTGAAGCCCCTGTAATTTTAGAGTTTTCCAGTTTCCATTGCTGGTGTCCCTTTCTTAGCTGCTAGTGTGGAGAAAATTCCACAATCTCTGAAAGAGGACCACTGACTACCAGTTAACTGTTGTCAAGATTTGAAAGTAGGAGGGAAAGGAGATGGAGCAGGAAAGAACAAGATCTAAGGTGAGTCTGCCAAGAGATCTGGCTACATGAGCACAAGAACACGCTCTTTAATGTCGTAAATGTGTACACAGCAGCTACTAGCAATCAGGTGCTGTGCTGAGGGCCTTTGTTTCTCTTGCAAATGTAACCCATTCAACCCCACAACAGCCCTGTAGGTACCAACCCTCAAATAACCGAAACATTGGAGGTGAAGCAACTGACTCAGTGCCCCAGCCAGCAAGTCACACACTCAGGATTTGAGCCTGCCTGCCTGGCCCCAGACCTCCCTCTCTGGCTTTTATGCATTGCTATTTCAGCGCAGTGGGCTAATGTGGGAGACTCTGGCAAGCAGGTGAGGAATTATCTGTAAGGTAGGCAAAGGCTTGTCATCAGGCTGAGGTATACAAACATCCAAAGTCCTGAGGGAGGTCAGAAAGGGAGTTTTCCAATACTCCAGACTCTATAGGTCATTAGCATTAGGCACTGAGGTAGATGCGTATCTGATTTGCCTCCTTTGGAAAGGCTAATCAGAAACTCAAAAGAATGTAACCATTTGTGCAACACCTGTCTGTGACCTGGAAGCTCCCTCCCAGCTTGGAGTCTTTCTGCCTTTGCTTCAAGTTGTCTCGCCTTTCCAGACTAAACCAATGTATATCTTACATATATTGATTGATGTCTCATGTCTCTCTAAAATGTATAAAACCAAGCTGTGCCCCGACCATCTTGGACACACGTTGTCAGGACCTCCTGAGGCTATGTCACGGCTGCATCCTCAACCTTGGCAAAATAAACTTCCTAAATTAACTGAGACCTGTCTCTGACCTTCTGGGTTCACAGGCCCATGTTACATGTTAGGAAAATAAGCCTAAGAAGGACCACTTACCTTGCCCGAGATTGCACTAGACTGATCTGGTGGAGACAGGTTTTGAACTCCCATCTCTCCTCCAAAATCCTCCATTTGACACCTTCCCAACTGTCTTTGTTTTTTGGAGGGGCTGTAAATTACTGTTAACTCATTTGCCCAAAGTAGAGAATTAAAGAGAAACATAAACCAAATCTACCAAAAGACACTTATTTTTCATTTTTCAGATACTATTATGTGGAACCACCTCACTGCCAGAGAGTGTAACTTATTCAAAATTTCTAAATAAAGCATTTCCACTGTGAATCACTGCTACGTATGAAATGCAACCAAGGGACATCTTGCTCTTTAAGACTAACATCAAATTATCTCTATTCTGAAATCTAACAGGAAAAAAAGTTTTTTTTCTAACAGCTTGCTATCCAAAAAGTTTCTGTAGGTGTTTACACAGGAGACCTGTAGTAAGCTATCACACAGTTTAACTCAGATGAGATGAAATCACCCACAAAGCAGCCTTTGAGGGTTTGTTTAGGTTTGCTTTGGATTAATCAGTACTTGTATGTTAAAGAAATTCTCCATGACGAAAGGCCCCAAAGTGGTCTAAAGCTGTCATCCATTTTTGACAGCCACTTATTTTTGCCTCCTTCCCTTTGCAAAGTTTTCATGGATATCCAGAGAGCTTTTTCAGTGTTTCTGTTCATCTCTTCAGCTGAGGCTGTAGTGCTTGATGCTGAGCTCATGGTGACAATTAATGATCATAAGGATACTGAGAGGGACCAGGAAGAGGCACCAGGCAAGGACTCTTGGCCAAGTGTCTGTGCAGGAACAAACTCATTGGAAATAATTGTCAAATATATGGAAGTCATCCCAGAGGAGGAAAAGTGGCTATAAATGAGAACTGACAGAGTATATGGATTTAAACATTGGCTTCAGTAACCTTAGTGTGTTAATTCTGGTGTTAAATTCGTACACCCAGGATTTTACTATTAATTACAGGTGATATTTAATTGGGATTGAAAACCTCAAATACTCCCTTAGTCACCCACTGTTGGTTCAAGATTCTAAGGCAGAAATTCTTTACTATTAGCCAAGACTTTAGTCCCAAATTGCAATATGTCTTCCTGGTGACCAAGACTAGATTAAATACAATAATGGCAATGTGTCTTTTGTCTAGGACACAGATTGTCCAATTCCCAAACCCACATGTTGTGAAATGCTGTTCAAAATGATCACGCACACACACACGAGTCCCTTTCTCAACTAAGTTTGAAAAGTATGTGATATGACTTGGCTGTGCCCCACCCAAATCTCAGCTTGAATTGTAGCTCCCATAATCCACAAGTATCATGGGACCTGGTGGGAAGTAACTGAATCATGGGGATAGGTTTTTCCCAGGCTGTTCTCATGATGGTGAATAAGTCTCATGAGATCTGATAATTTTATAAAGGGCAGTTCCCCTCTCCTCCACACACTCTTTTGCCTGCCACCATGTAAGACGTGACTTTGCTCCTCTTTTGCCTTCTGCTGTGATAGTGAGGCCTCCCCAGCTATGTGGAGCTGTGAGTCCATTAAACATCTTTTTCTTTATAAATTACACACTGTTGGGTATGTCTTTATTAGCAGCATGCAAACAGACTAATACAGTAAATTGGCACCACAAAGGGTGGGGCACTGCTGTAAAGATACCTGAAAATGTGGAAGTGAATTTGGAATTGGGTGACAGACAGAGGTTGGAACAGTTTGGAGGGTGCAGAAGAAGACAGGAAAATGTGAGAAAATTTGAAACTTCCTAGAAACTTGTTGAACGGCTTTGACAAAAATGTTGATAGTGATATGGATAATAAAGTCCGGGCTGAGGTTGTTTCAGATGGAGATAAGGAACTTGTTGGGAACTGGAGTAAGGTCACTCTTGCTATGCAAAGAGACTGGTGGCATTTTGTCCCTATCTTAGAGATCTGTGGAACTTTGAACTTGAGAGAGATGATTTAGGGTATCTGGCAGAAGAAATTTTTAAGTGGCAAAACGTTCAAGAGGAAGCAGAGCATAAAAGTTTGGAAAACTTGCAGCCTGATGATGCAATAGAAAAGAAAAACCCGTTTTCTGAGGAGAAATTAAAGCTGGCTGCAGAAATTTGCATAAATAATGAGAAGCCAAATGTTCATCACCAAGAAAATGGGAAAAATGTCTCCAGGGCACATCAGAGACCTTCACGGCAGCCCCTCCAATCACAGGTGTGGAGGCCTAGGAAGGAAAAATGGTTTCCTGAGCCAGGTCTAGGGCCCTCTTGCTGTGTGCAGCCTAGGGACTTGGTGCCCTGTGTCTCAGTCTGTCTAGCTGTGGCTAAAAGGGGCCAAGGTACAGCTCAGGCTGTGGTTTCAGAGGGTGTAAGCCCCAAGCCTTGGCAGCTTCCACGTGGTGTTGAGCCTGCAGGTACACAAAATTCAAAAACTGAGGTTTGGGTACCTCCACCTAGATTTCAGATGATGTATGGAAACACCTGGATATATAAGCAGAAGTTTGCTGCAGGGGTGGGGCCCTCATGGAGGACCTCTGCTAGGGCAGTGTGGAAGGGGAATGTGGGGTCGAAGCCCCCACAGAGAGTCCCCACTGAGGCACTGCCTAGTGGAGCTGTGAGAAGGGGGCCACCGTCCTTCAGACCTCAGAATGGTAGATCAACCAACAGCTTGCACTGTGCACCTGGAAAAGCCACACTCGATGCCAGCCCATGAAAGCAGTGGGGAGGGAGGCTGTATCCTGCAAAGCCACAGAGGTAGAGCTGCCCAAGACTGTGAGAGCCCACTTATTGCATCAGTGTGACCTGGATATGAGACATGGAGTCAAGGGAGCTCATTTTGGAATTCTAAGGTTTAATGACTGCCATATTGGATTTTGGACTTGTGTGGGGCCTGTAGCCCCTTTGTTTTGGCCAATTTCTCCCATTTGGAATGGGCATATTTACCTAATGCCTGTACCCCCATTGTGTCTAGGAAGTAACTAACTTGCTTTAGATTTTATAGGCTCATAGGTGGAAGGGACTTCCTTGTCTCAGATGAAACTCCGGACTGTGGACTTTTGAATTAATGTTGAAATGAGTTAAGACTTTAGGGGACTGTTAGGAGGGCATGATCAACTTTGAAATGTGAGGACATGAGATTTAAGAGGGACCAAGGGAAGAATGATATAGTTTGGCTCTGTTTCCAGCCAAATCTCATCTTGAATTGTAGCTCCTATAATCCCCACTTTTCATGGAAGGGACCCAGTGGGAGGTAATTAAATCATGGGGGCAGGTTTTTCTCATGCTGTTCTCGTGATAGTGAATAAGTCTCACATGATCTGATGGTTTTATAAAGGCCGGTTCCCCTGCACACACTCTCTTGCCTGCCACCATGTAAGAGGTGCCTTTGCTCCTCCTTTGCCTTCTGCCATGATTGTGAAGCCTCCCCAGCCACGTGGAATTGTGAGTCCAATCAACCTCTTTTTTCTTTATAAATTACCCAGTCTTAGCTATGTTTTTATTGGCAGTGTGAGAAAGGCTTATACAGTAGGGAAGAGGTAGAAGAGGAGACAGAGAGGAACTTGGTCTACTTGCCTATACAAATGTTTAAATTCATGATAAGATGATAGAGACTTCCTGCAGATCTTGGAAGGCCCATATTCTACCTGAGTAACCACTAATCTGCCCTCTGCCTTCTTTAGAAAGATATGAATTTTCCAACCTTTGAGTTACTTTATCCCATTAGAAATGGGCCAGTGACTCTCTCATCATAAAACACACCTGTAGTCCCACATGTGTTGGGGTGTTTGGTTTTGGTGTTATCTCCCCATGGGCTGGTGATGATCTTCACTCTGCTGCCATTGCTCTGCAGCCTACTGTCTAGCACTGGATGATCCACAGATTAATGAAGGTTTTTCTGAAGATATGGTCTTCAATTGCCACACTCACATTTGCTTACATGCCTGCAGCAAAACTAAAAGCCCTTTAGTGAGCCAGTTTATCCCTGGTAAAACTTTAGTAACTTTTCCAGTTGCTGGGTTCCTTATTTGTATTCTTCCAGGTCCAGGAATTATGTCAAAAACTGTCTTGGAGTAACGCTTTAAATTGTGTCTGTGGGAGTATAATATTCAAGTGTAATGAGGTTAGTTGCTCAAGTGAGTTTCCTTGAGCTGATGGTATCTGCTTGTCCTGAATTTGCTGTCTGAAATATTCACCAAAAGGAAAATGTTTAAATGTTTAAAGAAATTTGAATTTCTGGGTAAGTAGACACTTGAAAAAAGTCATCATGATTGCCTCCTGCTGTTGGTTCCAGCACGTGCTAAGCACTCATTGCTATGTGGAACGCGTAAAAGCCCTAAGGACCCATAAAAATTGCCCCCTCTTCTGCTACTTTCAACTGCACAGTCCCCTGACAATCTTTAGGTTTCTAGGGCCCAGCGGTTTGTTTCTGACCAACTTTGGGTTTTTTGACTGCATGGGTCCTGTCCAGAACAATGAGCCAGAACAGTGACCCAGAGCCTAAGACTGTGACTCGAACTTGCTCCTGCTCCACAGCATCAGGACAAAGTGTGCTGTGGGGGTTCAGACTCACCATGCATCCCCTGGCTCCCAGGGTGCCTATGTCGTGAGTAGACATATGTGCAGGCACATCTGTTTGTTTTGGGTAAGTCATTGCCTTACTGTTGGGCAGCCAGCCAGAATGCTCACAGCTTTATACAGAAGAGACTTGAACCCAAAATTATTTCTTTGATGGAACCACAGAATAATTTATCCTTTACAGTTACGTTTGTTAACCCCCAAAATTTGAGACAGGTCTCAGTTAATTTAGAAAGTTTATTTTACCAAGGTTGAGGACATATACCCTTGACACAGGTTCAGGAGGTCCTGATGACATGTGCCCAAGGTGGTCAGAGCACAGTTTGGTTTTATACATTTTAGGGACATATGAGAAATCAATCAATATATGTAAAATGAGCATTAGTTCGGTCCAAAAAGGTGGGACAACTTGAGGTGAAGGCAGGACAAATTGAAGCAGGCAGGGGACTTCCAGATCACAGGTAGGTGAGAGACAATTCTTCTGAGTTTCTGATGAGCTTTTCCAAAGGATGCAATCAGATATCTATTTATCTCAGTGAGCAGAGGAGTGACTTTGAATAGGATGAGAGACAGTTTGCCCTAAGCAGTTCCAAGCTTGACTTGTCCTCTTAGGTTAGTGATTTCAGGGGCTCCAAATATTTTCCTCTCACACATCTATACTCACAAACATAAACATACTGAGGCCCTTAATAATTTATTGCTTTCGTACATTTTCTAATTGGCTTAGTCACTGAGCTTGCAGGCAGAAGACAGCACAATGCAATCACTGAGGCCAGTGCTGGTGCTGTCGCACAGATTTTCATTTCACCGTCCTCACAAATGTGAAAGAGCTACATCAGTCAATTTTCAGAATTACTTTAGTTTTTAAAGAAGACAAGAATTAAATAATGTGTGAGGAAACTCCTTGCCAGCCATTTTAATTTTTAGAGAAACTAGGAATGTGTACTAGGGAGGAACGTCTGCATCCATGGTGCAGCCCTGCAGGTCTCACCGTACATGTGCCCGTTGCCCTGCAGTTTTGCAATTCCCTTCATTCAAGAGGTGGAGGCCCCTTCCCTACCCTGAAGTTCAGCTTGAACATAAGACTCATGGTGGCCAGAAGAATGTTAACAGACCTGGAGCAAGCAGAGGCCTGAGGAAGCCCCTGTGGATTTGTGTTGCCTTTCTTGCTTCTCTGCGATCCCTTCTTCTAGTGACAGACCTCAGGCAGTGTGGAGTCTTTTCATTGTTGTTTTAAACATATTTCCACCTGGGTGTATGGCTTATGCCTGTAATCCCAGCGTTTTGGGAGGCCAAGGCAGGCAGACTGATTGAGCTCAGGAGTTTGAGACCAGCCTGGGCAATAGGGCAAGACCTCCTCTCTACTAAAAATACAGAAAAATAGCCAGGCACGGTGGCACATGCCTGTGATCCCAACTACTCTGGAGGCTGAGTTGGGAGAGTCCATGGAGCCAGGGGTGGTGGGGGGGTAGAGGTTTCAGTGAGCTGAGATCAAGCCACTGCACTCCAGCCTGGGTGACAGAGCCAGACCCTGTCTCAAACAAACAAAATTATTTCCATTGTAACTCTAATGTTAATAGGAAAATAGTATGAGGGAAACAGACAAGGAGGGAAGATGTAAAAGGTATTGTGTATATTCTACATAAATATCCCAGAAACAGTTTGTGATTTCCATCAACAAGCCCTAAGACAACACTCCCTTCCTAAATCTGCAGTGGACCTCCTTTGTCTAACACCACAGGTGCCCTCCTCCCTTCACTTGCCTTTCAAGCTACTCTCACTGAGAGCAGAAATGCCATCTTCCCTAAGTTCTCTTCTACTTGCCATGGCTCAGCCTCTCTTTGTGACTCCTGCCAAGGACCTCCGGGGCACTTCTCAGGGTGCTGTTGACAGCTGCATGCTAAGGGCAGCTCACCTGCCTGCCAGAGTCACCTTGGGGAGCTCAGAGCCACAGGAACTTTCTGGGGCTTACTTGTCAGTCTCAGCCCAAGCACTCTTCCCTCTTGGTCTTGCACAGCACTCATTCTGCTGCCCCGCACAGGCGAATGCCCAGAATGGAACAGAACATAGTTTATTTGCCCTGCCCTCACTGCATTATACTTTAGTGACACAGCTAAGATGACAAATGTATTTTCAGGGAGGATTTATGAAAACCAGGCATTAGTTTGGTGTTATTCTATTACTACGTAGGAGAATTGGATGGAGTATCCTTTTTTAACGAAATTGTTTACTGTCAAAGAGAAACAACACCAGACACATGTTAAAGGTAGCAAGACAGATTTTATTTAGACTACTGCAAAAGGGGAAAGAGACTCCAGGAAACACCGAGCTCAACCCCAGCTAAGATGAAGGTAACTGGGGTTTCTAAATGGACAACAGAGAGGAACCAATACGGGGCCATGAGGAAGTGAGAAAGGGGGAACAAAAAAAGGGGTTGGGGTACAATGGGGAACCAAAAGAGAGGGCTGTGTGGAATAGAAAATGATGGAGGGAGTGAACGGAAGATTATTAAAAACATTTATGGTTGTGGGTTGGGACTGAGTACATTTTGCAGTTTCGCAGCGTTGGATTTGTTGAGTGGACTCATTATGGCGGGGTCGCTTAGGGGACACAGCCGAGAACAGTTCTGGAAGCATGGCTGAGGTATGGTCGAATCTCTCAGCAGTGTTTAGGCAAGGCCTTGGCTCTTCAAGGAAGTTCAGAGTTCATATTACAAATACCAGAGTATATGGATGCAGGTTGTATTAGTTTTCTACTGTTTCTGTAATAAATTACCACGTACTTTGTCACTTAAAGGAACACAAACGTATTATCTGAGAGCTCTGGAGGTCAGAAGTCCAAAAGGGTCCACAGGACTGCATTCCTTCTGAGGCTCTGGGAAGAATCTCCCAGTGGGCCTCTTCCAGCTTCTAGAGACTGCCCAAATTTCCTGGCTCACAGCCTCTCCTCCATCATCAAAGCCACTACCATGGTATCCTTTCTCTTCTCTGACCTCCGCTTTTATCCTGACATCTCCTTCTGACTCTGACCCTCCTGCCATCCTCTTGTGAGGACTCATGTGATGATGTTGAGGCCACCCAACAACCCAGGGTGATCTCCCATCTCAAGGTTCTTAATCACATCTGCAAGTCTCTTTTGCCATATGAGGTGACATATTCTTAAGCTCCAGGGAATAGGATGTGGGCATCTTTGAGGGGCTATTATCCTGCCTACAATAATGATTAACAAAAAAAGCAAGTGGTGACTTCTGAAGTGTAGTTATACGTAGACAAGATCTTAACCACAGCGTGTCAGGATTCTTTATCCTTACCTCAAATATCTATGATTGAGAAGGAGGGTGTTCTAAGTTGTTCATTTGGCAGTCTTTCTAGCTCCTACAATAGAAAGAATTCTGAAGAGTGTACCTGAAGCTACTGCACAGGTATGCCTCTCTCTACAAAGAACATTCTGTGGAAGGATTTGCAGACCTCAGAGAAGCTTATGGTTTTTATGATTCATCCTATGATGAATCATCTCAGGATAATTGTCCTCTAGTCTATTTTGGATTCTTTATGTTTTTATATTGTTAAAGTACATGTATCAGCTATCTATTCACCCAATAATGCTGCAAAATAGACTACCTCAAAACCCAGTGGCTTAAAACAATTATAATCTAAGATTGCACTCTACTGTCTGTTCAGCTGGTAATGGGCTCACTCAGGTGTCTGTGGTCAGCCTCAGATTGGGTGGAAGCTCTGCGATCCTGCTGGGATCACTACTTGGTTGGGAGTCAGCTGTCTGCAGACTTGTCTGCTATGATCTTGGCTAAGACAGCTGGCTGTGCTCCATGTGGTGCTCACATGCACATGCCTCTCCCATCCCTTGATTAAGTTAGTCTGGGCATGTTCTCAGGATTGCAGAGAAGCAAGAGAGGCAACACAAACCTACGAGAGCTTCCTCAGGCCTCTGCTTGATCCAAGTCTGCTAACGTCCTTCTGGCCACCATGAGTCTTATGACCAAGCTGAGCTTCAGGGTAGGGAAGGGGCCTTCAACTCTTAAATGAGAGGAATTGCAAAACCACAGGGCAATGGGCACAGGTACAGTGAGACCTGCAGGACTGCACCATGGATGCAGACGTTCCTCCACAGTACACATTCTTAGTTTCTCTAGAAATTAAAATGGCTGGCAAGGAGTTTCCTCATGCATTATTTAACTCTTATCTTCTCTAGTAGGGAGAATAATTCTCATTGATTGACGTGGCTCCTTCACAGTGCATGGATGCAAGTTTCTCACCATGGAGCCCAAGGGAACCCTACAGCACGAGAGATGGAGTTTTAAGAACAAAAGTAAGTGCTCATCTGCACAACTGGAATATCAATTGATTACTTTAGAAAATCTTCCTATAGACTTTCTTGGAAAACAATGTAGTTGGTGAGTAGTGGAGTTCAAGGACTCCAAGCTACCACACAGGTAAAGTTCTCTCCTAAATACCACTGTGGAGATTGCCAGAAATGTGCTGCCTATACCCTTAGCTGCTTTCAAACACACTTGCTAGCTTAGGAATCTCAAGGTTTCAGAATCGAGGGAAAGAAGATAGCTGAAAATAAAGGGAGAAAGCAAAGAAACTACCAACTATATCAGAAACTTTTCCACATATGGTCCTTGTCAATCCCTATAGAACCATGTGGGGAAAGTCCAATCATCTGAACGGTACTGATGAAGAGTTATTAAGTTTCATCAGTCCGTTTAACAAGTAAGTGACAGGGCCAGGCTTTAGCCCGAGACCATCGGCTTTAAAACCATTGTCTTTTCCAAAACCTTGCATTAATTCATAATCAGAGCCTGCTATATGTGGTCAGAAATTACAGCCAATGCATCCATGTGGCTACTTCTCCATGGTCTGTCAATGTCTAGATTGCCCAGAAAAAATTAGCTCAAAGCCAATAAACTTCCTTCTAAAGTACAAAATAAATTATTACATTGTAATGATTTCTAAAAATACACCTTTTATAGGTAATTTATTAATTAGGTTCCTGTTTAATTAATAACCAGTTCTTAGTCGTTGGTTTTGGAAACTTCCTAGTCCTTTTGATTCAGAGGGGACTGCAGTGTTTCTTACATGTGACACCATTAAGCTCCCGCTAAATCACACAGGCTGCGTGTCACTCAACCACCCACAGTAAATACGCCAAGCCATCGCCCTTTTCCCAATAGTGCCTTCATTTATTGGAAAAGCCATGGGCAAAACAATTAGGTTTGTTGATGTAGGTCCTTAGGCTCCAGAAACCTCATCTGTCCTGTCAGAACAAGTTCAGGTAACGTATGACTGCCAACTGCCTATATAAATCACATTTATTGAAGATTAACATGCACACAATGCCTTTAAAGTTTTATAGAGAGAATTACAAACATGTGACTGCAGTTTGACACCAATGTTTTCCTCCACCTGGGTTAAAATGTCACCATTTGAAGTGTTAAGATTAAGAACACCAGGTTCCTGTGAAGAAGGAACAATTGTGCTACTTTATCATTTTGACCAGCTTCCCATAATTTTCCTAAGGAGTCTTTGTGTGTGGACCAAAGATTTGGCTTGCTTCGGTGCCCACTGGGTAACCATGAGATAATGTTTCCACACGAGGAGCTTCTTGGACTGCCCCTCATAGGGCCCAAAGCAACCTCAGGCAGGTGTGTGGGATCTCCACTCTCCAGTGGCCCTGGCCCTGCTGAGGGCAGGTGCCTCCGGAGCCCTGACTTCCGCACAATCCTGGTGTTTTCTGTTCCGGGGAAAATGACTCAGCAGCTTCTTTTGTACCAGGAAGTCTCTTTTCCCTTTTTTTTTTTTTTTTTCTGATGAACTTCAAAGGTGCCTTGGGGTAATTACGTGAAAGAGAATAGAAAGCTAGTGAAAGTTCAGAAAAAGTGATGGGAGTGATTCAAAGTGCTAAGTAAATAATAAAACAAAAAAAGTTAAAGGAAATTATTAAAAGGAAGTGTTTTCTCATTATTATTGTAATACATTTTTATAAAGGGGAAAATGATCAGTTTTTCCATGAGTTTGTGAAAATTAACAAGAAGAATCAGGCTTAAATTAAAGCAGAGATATTTTGGTCAGCTGGAGAAAGGAATGCTGATATTTTCACCATTAAGATGAGTTACAATGATGTTTCTCTCTGTTGTGAGCAATGCAGACATAAAATACAGAAAATGTAGCCACCATTCATATTTATTAATAAAAATTTAATAAATATTTCATCTCTTTTCAACTTTTTTAAACACTAAAAAAGGCATTTTGTTGAGTTATGTTGTTCTTTTTGGACAAGGTCCTCTGAGTCAGAGTTTTGCAGGACGTTCATTGCTGTTCTGTGTGTGACACATGGGTGAGAAGGAGTTTTGCTGGACATTCATTGCTGTTCTCTGTGTGTGACACACGGGTGAGTGGGAGTTTTACAGGACATACATTGGTGTTCTCTGTGTGACACACAGGTGAGAAGGAGTTTTACAGGATGTTCATTGGTGTTCTCTGTGTGACACATGGGTGAGAAGGAGTTTTGCTGGACATTCATTGCTGTTCTCTGTGTGTGACACACGGGTGAGTGGGAGTTTTACAGGACATACATTGGTGTTCTGTGTGTGACACACGGGTGAGAAGGAGTTTTACAGGACGTTCATTGGTGTTCTCTGTGTGTGACACAGGGGTGAGTGGCATTTTTGCAGGATGTTCATTGCTGTTCTCTGTGTGTGACACACAGGTGAGCGGGAGTTTTGCAGGACGTTCATTGCTGTTCTTTGTGTGACACACAGATGAGCGGGAGTTTTGCAGGACATTCATTGGTGTTCTCTGTGTGTGACACGCACGGGTGAGCGGGAGTTTTACAGGACGTTCTTTGGTGTTCTGTGTGTGACACAGGGGTGAGTGGCATTTTTGCAGGATGTTCATTGCTGTTCTCTGTGTGTGACACACAGGTGAGCGGGAGTTTTGCAGGACGTTCATTGCTGTTCTCTGTGTGTGACACACAGGTGAGCGGGAGTTTTGCAGGACGTTCATTGCTGTTCTTTGTGTGACACACAGGTGAGCGGGAGTTTTGCAGGACGTTCATTGCTGTTCTCCGTGTGTGACACATGGGTGAGCGGGAGTTTTGCAGGACGTTCATTGCTGTTCTTTGTGTGACACACAGGTGAGCGGGAGTTTTGCAGGACGTTCATTGCTGTTCTCTGTGTGTGACACACGGGTGAGCGGGAGTTTTGCAGGACGTTCATTGCTGTTCTGTGTGTGACCAGGGGTGAGTGGCATTTTTGCAGGACGTTCATTGCTGTTCTCTGTGTGTGACACACGGGTGAGCGGAAGTTTTGCAGGACGTTCATTGCTGTTCTTTGTGTGACACACAGGTGAGCGGGAGTTTTGCAGGACGTTCATTGCTGTTCTCCGTGTGTGACACATGGGTGAGCGGGAGTTTTGCAGGACGTTCATTGCTGTCCTGTGCGTGACACAGGGGTGAGCGGGAGTTTTGCAGCACGTTCATTGGTGTTCTCTGCGTGACACACGGGTGAGCGGGAGTTTTACAGGACGTTCATTGGTGTTCTGTGTGTGACCAGGGGTGAGTGGCATTTTTGCAGGACGTTCATTGCTGTTCTCTGTGTGTGACACACGGGTGAGCGGAAGTTTTGCAGGACGTTCATTGCTGTTCTTTGTGTGACACACAGGTGAGCGGGAGTTTTGCAGGACGTTCATTGCTGTTCTCTGTGTGTGACATGCACGGGTGAGCGGGAGTTTTGCAGCCGTTCATTGGTGTTCTCTGCGTGACTCACGGGTGAGCGGGAGTTTTGCAGGATGTTCAGTGGTGTTGTGTATGTGACACAGGGGTGAGCGGGAGTTTTGCAGGACGTTCATTGCTGTTCTGTGTGTGACACACGGGTGAGCGGGAGTTTTGCAGGACATTCATTGGTGTTCTGTGTGTGACACACGGGTGAGCGGGAGTTTTACAGGATGTACACTGGTGTTCTGTGTGTGACACACGGGTGAGAAGGAGTTTTACAGGACGTTCATTGGTGTTCTCTGTGTGTGACACAGGGGTGAGTGGCATTTTTGCAAGATGTTCATTGCTGTTCTCTGTGTGTGACACACGGGTGAGCGGGAGTTTTGCAGGACGTTCATTGCTGTTCTTTGTGTGACACACAGGTGAGCGGGAGTTTTGCAGGACGGTCATTGGTGTTCTCTGTGTGTGACACGCACGGGTGAGCGGGAGTTTTGCAGCACGTTCATTGGTGTTCTGTGTGTGACACACAGGTGAGCGGGAGTTTTACAGGACGTTCATTGGTTTTCAGTGTGACACATGGGTGAGCGGGAGCTTTGCAGGACATTCGTTGCTGTTCTGTGTGTGACACACGGGTGAGCGGGAGCTTTGGAGGATGTTCATTGGTGTTCTGTTCGTGACACTGGTGAGCAGGAGTTTTGCAGGACGTTCATTGGTGTTCTGTGTGTGACACACGGGTAAGCGGGAGTTTTCAGGATGTTCATTGCTGTTCTTTGTGTGACACACGGGTGAGCAGGAATTCTGCTCTGTAATAACCTTAAGAGGTTATGTTGCAAACAAAATTAAATGGATTTCTTTAGTGTAGAAAATCTTCCTTCTTCAAAACACCAATATGAGATTTTAATCACAAAGAGGACATTTTAAGAAGAAGTTTCCCAAACTTATCTGCAGGCAGGACCCATTTTCTGGGTCCTCAATATCTCCCACAACAGAGTCCTGCAGACCACTTGGGAAAACATCCCTCTGCCTGCAGTCTGAGGTTTTAGCATGAGACCCCTTAAGAGCTTTAAATAACACTTTTATTTAAGACCCAATAATTCTACCCCTGTTTAATTTGGCGCCCAGTTATTTTGTCACTCTTCGAATTAAGTATCTTTGGTATACCCTGGTTCCTCTAATTTCCAGCTTCAACCTCGCCTGGCCCCCAAGGCCCAAGCTGACCTTGCTCTGTCACCTTCAGCTGCTATTACTCTCCACAACCTGCCCTGGGGCCTCTGTCTACTTTGTCAGATTTACTCTACAAGAAACACTAACTTCTGCACCTAGCAAAGCAGGCATTCAGCAAATTTCAGAGCACATAGTGTGAAAAACAATAGAAAAAGAATTTATATATAGCGACTGCACCTTGAGAAAATGCCTTAACCAAATCCAAGAACTCTCTGTAGTTAGTTGTGAAAACCCTGAAGCAAGAACCAAGTATTACAGAGGAGACTGCACAGGGCAAGGCCCATGGCACACTCCAGGGAATTTCTGTTTCTTAGAAGAAATGACATCCAAACAAAAACAATGCCCTCACCCATCCTGGGAGGGGCAGTTAGAGAACCCAGCACACAGAAGGAACTCCTGTCTGATGCTCGTTTCTACCTCATGTCATCTTGGTGTGTTTTGTATACCACAGCAGTCTGTGTCTCTCTCACTGAAGGCACTTTCTGATAGTCTCAACACAGCCCTTTATTCTCCTTATAAAGCCTCCAAGCTAAAGAAACGACTTGCAGGGTGCTCTACACAGCACCTGGGCTGCCGTAGACAGCTGCTATAGTTAAAACTGTCTTGCAGAATGAATCAAATAAGCTCAGCGGATCTTCAGTGATCAGTGGATTGTCTTAACCAGGCTTAATTGTGTCAGCTTATGTTTCATGTTCTATCATTCTCAAAATGCAGTCACATAATTCTGTCTGAAATCACAGGGATCTAATATTCTCGATAACCTAAGAAGGCAAGTGCTGCAGATGAGCAATTTCCACCTGGAATTTCAAAATATTGAACAATTAATAGATTTCTAATATTACTTTTGTGGATCTCAAATATCCTGGAAACTCAGGTGCGAAGTCCCTCTTTAGTAGGTGTCCTATTCTTCACAAACTGACTCACAGAAGCAGCCCTCAGCCTCCTCCCACAGTGGCCTCACAAGCTCTTCGCCTCACTGTTGGTGGTGCAGCTCTCCTTTACCAGGCTTGCAGTGGGTTCATGCTGTTTCTTTGTGCTCCTCCCCCACTGTCTTCCTCTTTCCCCTGGTTCGATCCAGAGATGTAAAGTTCATGTAACTTGAAGGTCTGCGT
This sequence comes from Homo sapiens, assembly GCF_000001405.40. Classification (NCBI taxonomy): domain Eukaryota; kingdom Metazoa; phylum Chordata; class Mammalia; order Primates; family Hominidae; genus Homo; species Homo sapiens. The sequence continues at coordinate 65,222 of NC_000002.12, read as the reverse complement.
AGGACAGTTGATTGTTGAGAGGCTTGCCACCCTTACAAGAGCAGGTGAGCCACACAGAGCTGAGCAAATACCAGCACATCAGAGTCTGGTCAGAAAGCTGCATTGGGATTTTTGCTTTAAGAAAGCTTTTCTGTAAATTTCTTTAGCAAAGGAGTGTGTTTTTCCTGAGTATTAGAGAGTTATAAGATACAACAACTCTCAAACCTGCCAGTGATTTCTTTGCAAGTCATAAAAATAGAGCCAAACAGACCTGAGGTCCTACATAGGTCTACCTCCTCAATTTAAAAATGGGGAAATTGAGCCCAGTAAAAGTTAACTAACCTACACAAAGCCACACAGCTGGTTAGAACTGGCAGTATAACTAGAGTGGCCATACAGATGATCATCCAAACTAGGATACTTTTGAGAGTGAAGGCCAGGCATGGTGGCTCACGCCTGCAATCCCAACACTTTGGGAGGCCTAGACAGGCTGATCACCGGATGTCAGGAGTTTGAGACCAGCCTGGCCAAAGTGGTGAAACCCATTTTGAAAATACAAAAATTAACCGGACGTGGTGGTGAACGCCTGTAATCCCAGCTACTCGGGATGCTGAAGCACGAGAATTGCTTGAACCCAGGAGGCAGAGGTTTCAGTGAGCTGAGATCACACCACTGCACTCCAGCCTGGGAGACAGAGTGAGACTCTGTCTCAAAAAAAAAAAAAAATACTCACTTCAGGATAACAGACATAAACTGGGACTGTCCCAGGAAAACAAGGATATGTCATCCTCCTAACTCTAATCAGACCTTCTGCATCTTAGAGTCAGCCTACCTTAACACCAATTAGTAGAAATAGTTATAAGTACTTTTGTACAATGATGGGTATTAAAAATGAAAATGGCTTTTGATGGAAAAATAATTTTTATTACAGTTCACAGCTGACAAAATATTTCAGTGTTTATGCAATTTACTGTAGTAAGTCTAGAATCCATTCTTCATTTGCAAACTAATATTTTGCATTAACATAACTAGAACAAAACAACGCAATTAAATAAAGGTCAATTTTCAAATCCCTCAGCTTAAATTTAAAAAGGCAAAGAACTCATCCATCAAGAATTAGAATTGAATAATTTTGAAAGAAACTTTTAATTTAGCTTTCACATTAGATTCACAGATTTGCCATTATCTGTATGTGGAAGGAGATGTCAAGTTCACAAATAAAAATATAAACACTATAATTAAATTTTTGATTATGGAATGAAACTAAAACATGAAAACATATTGTTATGATCAAAATCTGGGTAATGCATTTTAATACATTTCATTTAAAGAAGTAGCTGAAAAGCAGAGATGTTAATAATTTACCAAGAAAATACAAATATAAATCAATTGACAAACTTCTCTGGGTTACCTAATGTCAGGTACTCTGCTAGTTGTTGGGAATTCAAATATGGAAGAGTAAAGGTTCTGGTTTTGTGGGACTTGTATATAATGTGGTGGGAAAAATATTGCATAAAGCTTTAAAAACAATACACCTGATAGTACCACACAGGCTATCAGTTTCCTGTGAGTGGGGCTGCTGGACAACTTTCAGATGGAAAGAAAGAGTAGGCAAGGTGGAGAAGGGGTGAAGTAGAGCTGCAGGGGTGTGTGGATGGAAGCAGGCATCACGGAGGATGGGGTTAACACAGCTTTGAAACTTCGATGTGAAAGGGCTTAGGCTAAACAAAGAAATGGTTTTGGCACCACGAGGCCCTGTGTATTTCCACCCTTAGAACTTTCTGTATACATAGGTATCATGGGCAGTATTTTTTTACTCATCCTGGGAGGGGCAGTTAGAGAACCCAGCACACAGAAGGAATTCCTGTCTGATGGTGATTTCTACCTCATGTCATCTTGGTGTGTTTTGTATACCACAGCAGCCTGTGTCTCTCACTGAGGGCGTTTTCTGATAGTCTCAACACAGCGCTTTATTCTCCTTATAAAGCCTCCAAGCTAAAGAAACAACTTGCAGTGTGCTCTACACAGCACCTGGGCAGCTGTAGACACCTGCTATAGTTAAAACTGTCTTGCAGAATGAATCGAATAAGCTCAGCTTATTCGATTCATTATAATTTCTCATTATAAATGTGTCACATTTATAATGAGAAAAAAAGCTAATCTTTAAAATTAATCACAAGATATACACATAATTTTTAGTCTCTTCTACTGGGTAGATATTAAACCATTTCTCCCAAATTGGTTTCGTCTTTTTTTTTTAACAGTATTTGTGAAATATTTAAAGAAACTCCATATCAAAGCTTACTTAATAGGGTCAGCCTCTGGCACTGATGGTCTTCAGACTATGGAAAGGCATTTGGAGTAATTTTTATCTGATATTTCTGGCCATTAGGATAGAAGCCAGGACTGGCCACAGTGGTTCATGGCTGTAATCTCAGCCCTTTGGGAGGCTGAGGTGGGAGGACCACTTGAGGCCAGGAGTTTGAGACCTGCCTGGGCAACATAGTGAGATGCTGTCTCTATGGAAAACAGAATGGAAGCCATTAGGTTTATTTATTTATTTATTTTTAGTTAGTATGTAATAATTGTACATGTTTATGAGATACAGAGTGATTTTTTCATTGCAACCTCTGCCTCCTGGGTTCAAACAATTGTCCTGCCTCAGCCTCCTGAGTAGCTAGGATTTCAGGCACCTGCCAAGCCCTGCTAATTTTTGTATTTTTAGTAGAGATGGGGTTTTGCCATTTTGACCAGGCTGGTCTCAAACTCCTGACCTCAGGTGATCCACCCACCTCAGCCTCCCAAAGTGCTGGGATTATAGGCATGAGCCACCATGCCTGGCCCAGAGTGGTATTTTGATATATGTGTATGCACAATGATCAAATCAGGGTAATTGGTACCTCACACATTTATTTATTTATTTATTTATTTATTTATTTATTTATTTATTTATTGGTTGATTGATTGATTGAGACAGAGTCTGGCTTTGTTGCCCAGGCTGGAGTGCAGTGGCATGATCTCGGCTCACTGCAACCTCCACCTCCTGGGCACAAGCGATCCTCCCATCTCAGCCTCCTGAGTATCTGGGACTACAGGTGCTTGCCACCACACCCAGCTAATTTTTGTATTTTTTGTAGAGATTGGATTTTGCCATGTTGTCCAGGCTGGACTCTAACTACTGAGCTCAAGCAATCCACCCGCCTCAGCCCTCCAAAATGCTGGGATTACAGGCATGAGCCACGTCATCTGGCAATTTATCATTTCTTGGTACTGAGAACACTCAAAATTCTCTTTTCTAGCGTTTGAATATATACAATAAATTATGGTTAACTATAGTCACTCTGCAATGCTATAGAACATTAGAGTTTATTCCTCCTATCTAGCTGTAATTTTATATCTGTTAATCAACCTCTCTCTAACCTCCCCCACTACCTGTCTCGGCCCCTAATAACCACAGTTCTACTGTCTACTTCTATAGGATCAGCTTTTTTAGCTACCAATATGAGTGAGATCATGTGGTGTTTCTAGAATTCCCTCTTTGTCTTTCACTTTTGACTGTTTGACTATAATGTGCCTCAGAAAGGACTTTTTTAGATTAAATCTATGTGGGTGTCTTGAGCTTACTGTATCTGAATGTCCCTATCACTATGGACCCTGTGGAACTAGCATAATTTCCAATTATTTCATTAGATAATTTTATTTCTTGTCCCATCTCTTTTCCTTCTGGAACTCTCATAATGCAAAAACATTTTTACTTAATGGCATCCCATGTGTCACATAGGCTTACTTCATTCTTTTTTCTTTATTTTTCTCTGACTTCTGTATTTTAATATACCTGTCTTCAGTCGCCCAGGCTGGAGTGCAGTGGTGCGATCTCGGCTCACTGCAAGCTCTGCCTCCCAGGTTCACACCATTCTCCTGCCTCAGCCTCCCAAGTAGCTGGGACTACTGGCGCCCACCACCACGCCCAGCTAATTTTTTGTATTTTTAGTAGAGAAGGGGTTTCACCATGCTAGCCAGGACGGTCTCAATCTCCTGACCTCATGATCTGCCCGTCTCGGCCTCCCAAAGTGCTGGGATTACAGGCATGAGCCACCACGCTCGGCCTCAGAAATTATTTTTTTGCCTTGATCTACTCTATTGTTGAAGCCCTCAACTGCATCTTTTCTTTATTCATTGAATTCTTCAGTCCCAAAATTTCTGGGTTTTTGATGATATTGACCTCTGTTGAATTTCTTATTCAGATTATAAATTGTTTTCCTGATTTTATTTTCCTGAATTTGTTTTCCTGAATTGTCTGTCTTTGCCTTCCTGCATCTCACTGAGTTCCCTTAAGATCATTATTTTGAAATATTTTTCAGGCATTTCATGGCTTTCCTTTACTTTGTGGTCTGTTGCTAGATAACTATTGTGTTCTTTTGAAGATGTCACGTTTCTTTGCTTTTCCATGTTTCCTGCATCCCTATGTTGATTTCTGTGCATCTGATGGAAGAGTTGCTTTTTCCAATCTTAAGAAGTATATTTCGTACGGAAAGACATTTTCCTGTAGATGTATCCTTTGGAGTCAGTTGATTATGGTGCTTTGGCTTTGGTTCTGGGTGGACACAGTCATGTAGTCTGTGTATGATTTATTTTGATGTAATCAACATCAGCAGTGTCTGTGAGTGTCTCAGTGGCTTAAGTTGTGGTTGTTTTTGGAGGCTATGGCATGGCTTTGCTGGGGACAGGGATTCCAGGCAGGCTGGTCTTTGAGCTCTTGGGCATCATGTATGGATGCATGATGGCTCCACCACTAGAAGGGACAGAGTCACTGGTAGGGGTGGTGGCAGGCCACAGGCAGCCAGTCCTTGGGTCCTTCCATGGTGCAAGTGAGCACGTGGCAGTCCTGCACTGGAGGAGCAAGGGCACCAGCAGGGGCAGCACAAGCCCTGAGCAGGTGGCTCCCAGGCCATGGGGAACATGCATGGTGGCTCCCTCTGTCCTGGGGTCAGCCTCCCTGCTGTGCTGAACCACCTGTTCCTTGAGATGCAGGGCAATGTGTGAGCTTGGGTGCCGAGGTCACAGCTGCGGTGCTAGATCCAGCTGCTGTGGTGACATTGCAGCCCTTCAGGTAGATGTTGGAAGGTTATCACCTGGGCCCCAGGGATAAGGAATTGCAGGAACTATTGGTTCCATGGTGATATGGTTTGGCTGAGTTGCCACCCATACAAATCTCACCTTGAATTGTAATAATCCCCACATGTTAAGGGCAGGGTCAAGTGGAGATAATTGAATCAGGGGGGCAGTTTCCCCATACTGTTCTTGTGGTAGTTTTACAGAATCTTTGGGGTGTTGCTTTTTCACACCTGAAATATTTCCTCGTTCATGGTCCCATTTCATCTTTGGGGTCCCTTTTAGGGTCTTCCAATGGTACTGCTATTATTCCAATTGGATAAGGCTCCTTCTCTTCCCTGGCCCTATATGAGATATAAAGCTCATCCTCAAAATTCTCTGCCACTTACAGGGTGTCCTGCTTTTCAGCAGTGGTGAGGGTTTGATTCAAAAGGAACCTGACATCTTTCTAGGAGAGCTCAAATACTTGGGTTATGTTCTGGAAAGCCTCTATATACATGTCAGGGCTGTCTGAAAACTTGCCAAAATCCCTTTTAATTTGCCTTAAGTCCTGTAAAGAAAAGAAGACCTGGACTTTAATGGGGCCATATTCACCAGGCATCTGTTGTAGGGGCAGGAGTGAGAGTGGGACCTGCCTAATCTGAGGATTCCTAGGTGGAAGTGAGTTTGCAAGAGAACTTAGATAGAGAGGAATGGAGGGAGTCAATTCACTGGCTGGAGGTACCTCTGGGGTTTGCTTCCCTATTTCCCTGGAATTTCCCCTTGTGACCTCTCCTGAGATGGTTGCTAAGAGGGTTGAATCAATCCTGCAACAGAGGCAAATGTCTGGATTATCCTGAAAGGCAAAGAAGGCCTGCACATATGGGACCTCAGACTACTGGCCCTTGTGTTTACAGAAAAGGCCCAGCTACAGTATGGTATGGAAATTAATGCTTCCTTCCTGAAGCCATGCTTCTTTTGTGTGCCTCAAGGTGCTTGGCATTACTCTGGCAACCAAGAAAATGACAAGAACATTTTTGCCACAAATTCACGTACAGGTACCAAGGCACACTTTGCTTCATTTGTGCTGCTCTTAAACTTTCATTTTATACTTTTGATGACTAAGCCAAATGCTCTTTCTACCCAATAATATATCTGGTTTGCAGCAACATCCATAACATTTAACATTGTATGTGAAGAAGAGATATGAACCTTGACAGCTGTGAAAGAAAGAAAGAACAATAGGAAAGACTGGAGATCCTAGTGCCAACACCCTAACAGGCAGTCAGGGTTTAGAGTTAGTCCAGGGGCCTTTGGATAACACCAAGGGGTAGCCTCAGCCAGATACCCTTAGTTGTTCAGGACCTCCTTCCAGTCCCACATGATGGCTAGACCTCCGTGAAGGGAAACCAGGTTGGAACAAAGTCAACATTCCCAACACCTGGGGGTGATGGGGGATTGACAGTTTCTTCCCCAGCAAGCCTGTCCTCCATGTCTTAAGTCTGGCAGCCACGCTAGTCACTTTTAACTGGCTGAGAGAGGCTTGGTATTTTTCTTTCATTTTGACTATTGTGGAGTTGCAGACTCCAAAATAAGGACAGAAAGAGCAGATCCACTTGTTCTCATCCTTCCACAGATCCTGGACCAGCCCCCAAAATGTTACAGGATCTCTGGGGTGTTGGTTTTTCTGGCCAGAAACCTCTGTGGCTAGTGGTGCCTTTGCCTGAATTCTTGTCCAGCATCCAGGAAGAATGAGGTATGAAGACAAGTGGAGGGTGAGTGAGACAAAGAGAAGCTTTATTGAGTGTGAGAACAGCTCAGAGGAGACCCACAGGTGGCAGCTCCTCTCTGCAGCCAGGTTGTGTCCAGCTCTCAGCAGAGGAGGCCCTGAAGTTGGTGGCTCCTCTATGCAGGCAGGCCATCCCATCGAGTGTTCAGCTCTCAGCAGAAAGGAAGCCCTGAAGAGGGTAGCTCCTCCCTGCAGCTGGTCATCCCATCATCTCTCCATTTTCTCCTCTGTTCTGGCTGAGCCTGGGGCTTTTATAGGTCTCAGAGGGAAGGAAGTGCATGCTGATTGGTTCATTGCAGCCGTGAGTAGGCCCAGAGAAGGCACCACAAGTTCCCACTGGTCTGCAGGACTGACAGCCTAGACCTCAGCCTTCAGGCCCTGGCTGGCCTGAAGGTGGGGCCCTGCCATGGACCTTCCCACTTCTGCGCAGGATCCTGTTTGCCTCCTGCCACCTTCCATGGTACCTGGGGTGCTCACACCAAGGGGTGCCTGCAGGCCAGCACTAAGCCACCCTCAGGCCCCCAGCCTCAGCTTCTCCCACTGTGCTTGTCAGCACCCAAAGTTCACAAAGGGCCAAGGTGGCAGGGCCCAAGCTTGCACACATCCAGCCAGGCTCTAACAGTGCCTGAGCTCAGCTCCAACACTGCTCCCAGATTGGAGCCTGCACCTGTAGCAGGGAGAGGCCAGGCAGTGGGAGCAGATACCCCTGAGCCTGTGGGGACAGGGGTTCTTCTCATTCCCGAGGGTGTAGACTACAGACTCCCAGGTCCTGTGCCTGGGAGGGTGGCTGCAGCTTCACCCAGGGAGCTCCCTCCCACCAGCTTGCAAGGGGTGGAGCTCCTGCTGGCTCCATGGAGCATGAAGCCCTGGCAGTGCCTCTGAGATTGGAGCAGGCACTAAGAGCGGGGAGAAGCCAGGCAGTGGGAGCAGGCATTTCTGAGCCTGTAGGGGACAGGGGACCCTCCCAGGCCAAGAGTACACATAGGCCCGGGCCTATAGCCCAGACTTTGGCAGCTGCAGCTGTGCAAGGGTAGGGTGCAGGGAGGGCTGCTGCCTCCTCCTGGCTTCCACAGGCTCTGTGGAGCATGCAGCCCCTGTGGTGCCCCCTCATAGCCTGGGGTGGGGGCTCCAGGTCCTCTCTGGGCCCAGGCCCACACCTGGGGAAGGGTGACATTGCCATGAGCTCCTCCCATTGCCCTGGCACTCAGGGACAGACCATGGTGGAGCAGATAATGGGCCCCAGGCCTGCCATCAGGTGTGTCAGGCTCACCAGTCACCCCTACATGGGGCAGATCCTGGGGATGTGGCCCAGGGCAGCCCTGCACAGAGCCTCCTCCTAAGGCCCAGGGACCAAGTATCCTTAGCGGGCTGGGCACAACTGCTGCATTCCTGACTGGTCCAAAAGTGGGCACTTCTCCCACTTCCCACCACAGCCCCTGAAGCCCAGCCCCAGCTCCACCTCCCCAGGCTGGCCCCAGCATTCCATGTACAAGCACTGTACCTTCCCAGGCCCAGCTCTGCCTCGAGACCCCTCTCTGACTGACTGTACTACTCCCCAACCAGCTGGAAACCCAGCCCTGCCCCATTGCAGCAGCCCCCAGAGCAGTGGGCTGTGGGGGTGGGATCCATCTGCCACCTCCCCATGCCCTTCCTGCAGCGGTGGGTGTGATGGCAGCTGCTGCACCAGACAGCCTGCTGCCGCCATCAGTAGTGAATAAGTCTCACAAGATCTGATGGTTTTATAAATGGGAGTTCCCCTGCACAAGCCCTCTTGCCTGCCACCATGTAAGACGTGACTTTGCTCCTTGTTCGCCTTCTTCCAGGATTGTGAGGCTTCCCCAGCCATGTGGAGCTGTAAGCTAATGAAACTGCTTTCCTTTATAAACTACCCAGTCTTGGGTATGTCTTTATTAGCAGCATGAAAACAAACTCATACACCTGGGCATGATGCACTCTGGTGGTGGCTGAGCTCTCAAAATTTGCCATGTTGCAGTAGCCTGGGTCCCAGGAATTGGGGTCAACCCAGCATGAATTTCCTCTCTGGAATAATGCAGTTGCAAGGACTCTAGGCAGCTCCTCATACTGGACTCAGGGCCTGTGAATGCTGTAGGGCACTCCTGCAGCCAGGATTGCAAATGTCTGTGGTATGAATGGACTGCTGGAGATCTCTTGTTCACCTTTTTCCTACCGTGAGTATTCCCTCTTGGCTTTCAACCAAAGCCAAGAACCAGATGGCTGCTTTGCTTCCATTCTATGCCACCGTCCTGAGTCTCCATGCCTCAGAGTGTCTTCGTCACTCCCTTACTGAATTCCAGTGTTCTCCCTTAGACATTCTGTTCAGTGTGTGGTTATCTGTTTCTTCTCTGTGGAAGAGTGAGTGCTGGGTTCCTCTAGTCAGTCATCTTGATGACATCCTCAGTAGTGGTTTTATTTTAATATAGCTTTATACTCAGCAGTGAGAGCTCATCTGTCCAGTATTACTCATGATTTGGTTTCTAATCTCTACTCATTACTACTTCTAAAGTGCACTGAACAAGACAATTATGTGTTCCCACAGTGGATGATGTTTACTTTCGTAGTATGTGAGAGGCTTTATAATAATAGTTACACTTGAGCATATTTTTTTACATGCTTGAACTGCCCATATCAGCACCAGTGTCAACTTCACCTGGATTGGGAGGGAAACTTACTAAATATGCATGGGCATTTTATATTCAAAGTTTATTCTTCTTAAAAAATAGAAAAAGAATAAATATAAAAGACAAGAATACCCTCTGGAAATTTGATGTTTCACCTGTAAAAGATTTCCCTAAAGTCTTTACCCAGAGTTGTTTTGACCAAATGATGATGATAAGATTGAATACTATAGAAAATAACCTATATGTGGTGGTCCATTTTCAATTATAAGTGACTTAATGTAGGTTTAAACAGACTACAAAGGAATAAAGAAGCAGAATGTACTAAGTCACCACCCCCTTCTTGCTTTCCCTTTCAACCAGTGGCCAGGCACCTATCAGTCAGGGCCCACTTAACCACCCCCTCCCACCCCACCAAAAAATTTAGTTTAGGCAAGCTTGCAGCATCGGTAATTGTACTCTTTCTTAGCAGTTAGGTGCAGCCACTAGGACCATAGGTCAAATGTTTAAAAAGTCCTGAGACAGTCACAATGCATTATGGGCGGCAATAAAATGCAGCAGAAAGACCCTAAAAAACACACTTGAAGCCTTAACACAACTACCAATAGGCAGTGTCCAGGAAGATTGTAACCCCCATATACTCAGCCAATGAGGAACTGGGGGAGGGACTTGCACACTAGGGAATAAATTGCTTGTTAAAACTGTTCAGGGTGTGCCTCTGCATGCCAAACACTTGATCTCGTGAAACCGCCATTAAAGTCTCGCTTCTGCTGTTCTCCCTGTCCCTGAGTCCATTCTTTGAGTTTGGACGGGCAAGCGTGTTTCTTGCAGATGCCATTGTGATTTTTTCCTGTGGGCTTGCTGTAACATAAACTAGTGAGGTTTCAGTGGTTGGATTTCACCTATTTTGATAGATTTTTTTTCTTAATTGATTTAATTACTACATTTAGAAAACAACTTGGTTTACTCTTATGCTGCAAAATGTAGTTTAATCTTAATTTTAGTGGCATATTTTCTACAGTCAATTATATCTTATCTTAACAAAAGCCAAATCTCAGTATCCTCTTTTCATTTTAAATACCCTCCTTTGAATTTTTTCTTATGGGGTCTGTTAAGACTAACCCAGACGGTGTGTGTGGAGATGAGAAAGAGGACTATTTATGGTTTGTTTTATTTTGTTCATAGACAAACTGAACTCTATTGCACTATTTTCTCTCTGGAATTAATAGTCCTCTTTCAGCATCTAAATATTATCCGCTTCCACCTCCAGAAGTACTTTAACCAATCAGCCATCTCCTCTTCCATATGCACATTCAGTACGGGTTCTTTCCTTTTGTTTACAATATGTGCAGCTCTCACCAACCAAAGTAGCTTCTGTCTTGTGGCCACCTTTTCAGGTTATTTTGCATACATATTTTTCCTCCCTCAAATCCTTGGAAAATGACCTTACTCTTATATGTTTCAGTACTTCACCACCTATCCTCTAATTAACTCAGCATAAACCAGCTTCTATACCTGTCGCTCAACTGAAACCACACCATGGGATATTCACCATGGTAGAGCCTCCAGAGATGAGCTACTCATCCTCATGTCTCTGTAATGGTTGTCATGTTTGATCACCTTTTCTCCTTCTTGGATGCCACCTCAGCTGAATTCTCCTGAGCCTTCCCCTAGCATGGGGCTGCTGTAGTGTAGACAGATAGTTGTCTCTAAGCCATTTTTTATGATCGTTTACCTTTCCCCTACTGACTTAAATGCTCCCTATATTATATATAATTTGAGGCTATTTTTTAACTGACTTTTTGTCTATCTCTGCAACACTATCATACTTTGTTACTATAATTTTATAACAAATCTTAGATAGCTGTTTTGCAAAAAAAGTTTCCTTCTTGTTTTCATTTTTTTTTCAAAATTTTCTTAACTATTTTTGGACATTTATTACTTTTAAAAAATTTTAATAATATATTTAATTTAAATCAGTATATATGAAATACCATTTCTTCAATATAAAATGTAACACACAACATCTTAACTCAGACTCTCCACATTTCAAAGGCTTAATAGCAACATGTGGTCAACGGTTACCATATTACACAATGCATTGCACCTTTACTCTTGCAAATAATTTTTTGAAATTTTTGTCAAGTTCTATGAAGAAAAAAGTTGGAATTTTGTTTCTTGAACTCCTGGTCTCAAGCGATCCTCCTGCCTCAGTCTCCCAAAGTGCTCAGATTAAGATATGAGCCATTGCACCCAGCCTAGGGTTTTGTCTCTAATTGCATTGAGTTCCTCTTTAAAAAAAATTTAAGACGATTCACATCATTACAATGTTGATTCTGACTATCCTTGAATGTGGCACATCTATTTATTTATCTCTTCATTTATATCTGTCAAAATATTTTATAATATTCTATAAGCATGTCTTGTGTCTTTTTGAGATGTATTACCAGATTCCATATGGATTTTCTTAGTATTATGTCTTGATTATTTTTCCTGGTACATTTTTAAATTGATTATTGCTAGTGTTTATGAATATTCTTTATCTTTGCATGTGTTCTTTGTCCAACAATCTTGTTGAAATGTCTTGTTAGTTCTAATACTATGTCCAGTCTCTTGGAGGTTTGAAATAGTCAATTACATTGCCTGTTATAAGGGGAATTTTGCCTCTTTGTTTCCCCCAGTCTTTATACTCTGTAGTTATTTTTTTCTCTATTTACTGGCTAGAAAGCCCAGTACATTTGACTAACATGGACAATAATGTGTATCCTTATGTTGTTACTATCTTTATAGAATGCTTTAAAAATCCACCACTAAGTATGGTGCTGAAGGTAAGGATAGAGCCCCTTTAACAATTTTAGGAATTTCTCTCCTGTTCCTAGTTTTCTATCAGTTGACAAATTTGAAAGTATGGAGTCGAACACTTGGCACCTAATATGGACTCAGTAATGTTTCTTTAATGAATAAATGAGAAAAAACTCAATGTGTGCTTGCCTGTCATTTTTCCCTGTACTTACACAGTTTTAATATTTATTCTTATAATATATACCAATAATTCTTAAACATTTTATTCTCAACACCTCTTTAACACTCTTAAAAGTTATTGAAGGTCTTAATAAGCTTTGGTTTAATGGCTTATATCTATTAATATCTACTATATTAAAATATAAGTTGATCAATACTTTTTAATTTTTTTTTTACTTTTTTTAAGAGATGCGGGTCTTGCTATATTGCTCAGGCTGGTCTCAAACTTCTGGCCTCAAATAATTCACCTGCCTTAGCCTCTGTATTCATCTATTCTCACATTGCTATAAAGAAATACCTGAGACTAGGTAATTTCTAAAGAAAAGAAGTTTGATTGGCTCAAGTTCTGCAGACTATGCATGAAGCATGGCAGCATTTGCTTCTGGGGAGGGCTCAGGGAGCTTTTACTGATGGCAGAGGACAAAGTGGGAGCAGGTATCTTACATGGCAGTAGCAGGACCGAGAAAGAGAGTGGGGGAAGTGCCCCACACTTTTAAGCAACCAGATCTCGTGAGAACTTCCTCACTATACAGTACCAAGTGGGGACGGCGCTAAACCATTCATGAGAACTCCGCCCTCATGATCCAGTCACTTCCCACCAGGCCCCACCTCCAACACTGGGGATTACAATTTTACATGAGATTTGATGGGGACACAGATCCAAACCATATCGGCCTCCCAAAGTGCTAGGACCACAGGCATGAGCTGCCAAATCTGGCCTGATAAATGTTTTGAATGCACACATTATTAGCTCTAAATATTCTGGCATTTCAGCAGTCACTAGGTTCTTGATAACTCCACTATATACTCATAAGAAATGGAGAAAGAAAAGACAATTCAATTCTTAGTCTTGTAACCATGGTAACAACTTAAGCCAATTTACCATTGCATAAGTTGTTATAGGTAGCACAGAGCCAAAACTGCAAGTCATGTATCCCGGGCATGTGCAATGAAAAAGATTTAACCTAACTCTTTACACCACTAGCCCGGCAGGCCAGCTGCATTGGCATCACCTGGGACTACTTAGAAATGCCATAAAAGCTTTACCCACCCCAAGATCAGGGAGACAGATCTGAGTGTTGCCTTCTGTCTCCTTGCCAGTCAACTCACAGTAAAGCTTTATCTTTTCTCAAAAGCCAGAGCCATAGTATTTATATCAGTCTGTTTTTGCATCACTATAAAGAAACACCCGAGGCTGAGTAATTATAAAGAAAAGAGGTCTAATTGGCTCATGGTTCTGCATTCCATACAAGCATGGCACCAACATCTTCTCTGCTTGTGGTGAGGGCAAGAAGTTTACAATCATGGTGGAAGGTGAAACAGGAGCAGGCTTGTCACATGGTGAAGGCAGGAGCAAGAGAGAGAGGGGAGGGATGTCCCAGATTTTTAAACAACCAGATCTCCATGAACTGACTGAGCAAGAACTCATTCATCACCAAGAGGACAGGGCTAACCATTCATAAGGGATCTACCCCTACTGTCAAATCCCTCCCACCAGGCCCCACCTCCAAAGTTGGCAAGCACATTTCAACATGAGATTTGGAATTGACAAACATCCAAACTATGTTAGCACTAGTTCTATGGACTTTGGGCATGAAGCCTGTTGCTTGGTATCAATGAAAGTAATTTTGACCTCATAGACCTCCCAAAAAGATATCAGGAGCCCCCACATTCCCTGGACTGTATGCTGAGGACTGCTTCTATATTCATGCTATTTTTAAAATTTCATACACATCACAATCACTTCCCACTCTGAAAAACACTCTGGAAGCATGACTGTAAATGGATGCATAATACTCCACCCACAGGTAAGTCATACATCCTCCAGCCTTCCTCCTGTACTTGCATGTAGGTTGACCTCCCCCATTTGACTGCAATGAATATCTTCATGCGGTGCACACATCTCTTATCTGTTCCTTAGAATACATTCCTGGGAGTAGAGTTCCTAGATTATTGAGTCCTTAAGCATTTTTTCCTGCTCTGACCAAGTCTTTTGAAGTGATTCTAGAAAGGAAATGGACACAAAGATGACACTATCAGTTGAGCAACAAGAACAACTTATTTAGATAATTCTCATCAATATTATATTTATCAGTTCCATTTTTCTAGTAAATTATTTGCTTAATACATGAAATATCATGAATATAAATATAATTAGTTTTGTCTAATAGCAGTAAGTCTTAAATACAATGTTATAGTAGTTTTACTTTTTTTTTAAATTTAGGTTCAGTGAGTACATGTGCAGGTTTGTTACATGGGTAGATTGTGGGTCACTGATGCTTGGTGTACAAATGATCCCATCACTAGGATAGTGAGCATAGTACCCACAGATAGCCTTCCAACCTATGCCCTCTCCTCACCCTCCCACGATCAAGCAGTCCCCAGTATCTATTGTTCCGTTCTCTGTGTCTATATGTACTCAATGTTTAGCTCCCACTTATATGTGGGATCTGGTTTTCTCTTCCTGAATTAGTTTGCTTAGGATAATGGCCTCTAGCTAAATGCATGTTGCTGCAAAGGACATGATTTCACTCTTTTTTAATGGCTGCATAGTATTCTATGGTGTATATGTAGCACATTTTCTTTACCCAGTCCACCACTGATGGGCATCTTCATTGATTCCATGTCTTTGTTATTATGAATAGTGCTGCAATGACTACATGCATGCATATGTCTTTTTGTTAGAATGATTTATTTTCTTTTGGGTCCATACCCAATAGTGGGATTTTTGGGTGGAATGATAGTTCTAAGCTCTTGAGAAATCTCCACACCGCTTTCCACAGTGGCTGTACTAATTTACATTCTCATCAGCAGTGTATAAGTGTTCCCTTTTCTGTGTAGCCCTGCCAGCATCTGTTATCTTTTGACTTTTAAGTAATAGCCTTTCTTACTGGTGTGAGATGATACTTCATGGTGGTTTTGATTTGCATTTCTCTAATGATTAGTGATGGTAAACTTTTTATATATATTTGTTGGCCACTTGTATGTCCTCTTTTGAGAAGTGTCTGTTCATGTCCTTTGCCTATTTTTTAATAGGGTTTTTGGGTTTTGCTTGCTGATTTGTTCAAATTCCTTGTAGATTCCAGATATTAAGACTTCGTTGGATTTTCTTCCAGTTAGTAGGCTATTTACTCTGTTGATAGTTGCTTTTACTGTGCAGAAGCACTTTAGTTTAATTATGTCCCACTTGTCAATTTCTGCTTTTGTTTCAATTGCTTTTGGGGACTTATACATTCTTTGCCAAGGCCAGCGTTCAAAATTGTGTTTGCTTTATAAGCAATCTCATTAACTTTAATAAATACTCTATCAGGTGGGTCTAATGAGCTCCCATTTACAGATGAGTGATCACAGTCAGTGAGAGGTGGAATGTTCCAGCCTCTCCAGGAGGTAGAATTGAGCAGGGAGCTAAGCCTAGGTCTTTTAGGTTAACATTTATTTAGTGCTCACTATGAAGCAATGAATGTTCTAAGCTATAAAAACAGCGATTTTTTTGGGAGGGGGCTAAAATTTCACTTTTTATTCTGTTACAAGAATCAAAAGAAAAAGAGTATAAATCTATGTTAATGCGTATCCAATATATAAAGATCTAATTTGTGACACCAATAAGATAAGTGGGAGCAGGGAGGAGCTGTAAGGAGGTAGAATTTCTGTATGTGATTAAAGTTATCAGCTTAAAATATGTTTATTTGATTTTAAGTTCTGGGGTACATGTTCAGGATGTGCAGATTTATTATATAGGTAAACATATGTCATGGTGGTTTGCTGCACCTATCATCCCATCACCTAAGTATTAAGCCTAGCATGCATTAGCTATTTTTCCTGATGCTCTCTCTCCCCCTCTGTCTCCCCACCTCCCACCAGGCCCCAGTGTGTGTTGTTGCCCTCCCTGTGTCCATGTGTTCTCATTGTTCGTCTCCCGCTTATAAGTGAGAACATGTGGTGTTTGGTTTTCTGTTCCTGTGTTAGTTTGCTGAAGATAATGGCTTCCAGCTCCATCCATGTCCCTGCAAAGTACATGATCTCATTATTTTTTATGGATGCATAGTATTCCATGGTGTATATGTATCACATTTTCTTTGTCCAGTCTATAATGGGCCTTTGGGTTGATTCTACATCTTTGCCATTGTGAGTAGTGCTGCAGTGAACATATGTGTGCATGTATCTTCATAAGACAATAATTTGTATTTCTTTGGGTGTATACTCAGTAATGGTATTGCTGGGTCAAATGATATTTCTGGTTCTAGGTCTTTGAGTAATTGTCACACTGTCTTCCACAGTAGTTGAACTAATTTACATTCCCATCAATGTGTGAAAACGTTCCTATTTGTCTGCAGCCTCTCTAGCATCTGTTGTTTCTTGACTTTTTATAACAGCCATTCTGACTTGCGTGAGATGGTATTTCATTGGCTTTGATTTGCATCTCTCTAATGATCTATGATGTTGAGCTTTTTTCATATGTTTGTTGGCCACATAAATGTCTTCCTTTGAGAAGTGTCTGTTCATGTCCTTTGTCCGCTTTTTAATGGGATTGTCTTTTCTTGTAAATTTAAAACAGAAATTTTTACAGGTGACAAAACAACCTGGAACGTTTGTTACCTGTCCAAAGGTAAATTGTGGACCCAGGGTCAAATTCCAGAGGTCCTGTACTTTGCAGTTCTCTGTCTTAGAAGTGCTGCTGTTGCCCATGAAGTAGTGCAAATTAGGAAAAGAAGACACTTTGGGCTACACAATTAAAAAGGTTTTTTCCTCTGACTTAGGGAACAGGCTTGCCAAGCAGAGAGCAGGCTGGACTTTAGACCTCAAGGCCCCATCCTCCCGCATCCTGTAGGAAACCATCTGTGGCAACCCAGGAGCTCCCCCTTTCTCCATCTCTGTCCCTCTCTTTCACTCCCCACCCCCGCATCCTTCCTTCTCTTCTCCCACTCTCTACTTTATTGGCCTAGACTCCTTTTCCTATGAGTCTTACATGTTCCAACGAGGCTGTCTGGGCGGTCTGGCTTTCAGGAGGCGATTTATTGTTGTGCTACTATCCCTATGAAATTTTGCTTCGCTGGGGCTCAAGGAGATTAAAGACCCCCAAGGCCCACTCAGCACCACCCTGCTGCGGTCCTCTTCCTCGTTGGTGAGGTGTTCGTGCCCACTTTGGGGGCCCATCTGCACCTGTCGCCCTCCCTGCCTTCCGGGCTGCTGCTGCTCGGAGCGTTCAACCACAAGGCTGAAAGCACAGCCTGTTACGGAGTTGTCTTCACAACGCGATAACGTGAACATTTCACATGTCTGAGAGATAACTTTAGTATTTTGTCCAAATTTTTGAAATAATGGAGTTTGGGAAGTATTTTATCTTAGACTCTTAGCATTCCTAGGCTGATCCACTGCCTGGTGAACTCGTGGTTTCCCCGTTGCCTCGGTTACCGTAAAAATAGCAATGATTCTGGACACTTGGCTGGGCTTCTTCCAAATCCACTGAGCCGCGCCTGGGGCCCCAGCCTGCCCCACTGAGAGTCCTAGCTCGGTCCTCGGGCCCGGCCACGCCCGCTGCCGGCCAGCGACCGAGTCGGACCCAATCCGAGGCCCTGCGTTCTTGCCACCCAACACGTAGGCTGATCCTGGCGTGCGCTGCGTGTTCTTTCCTCTTATGTCCTATTCCTTTCTGTTAATAAGAATATGAGCTCAGGTAGACAAAATTAAACAGTCAAGTTTCCAAACACGATGAGGTCACTTTAAGAATTCAAAGGATGTGAGGCACCTGCCCGGGGGAGGTGGGGGGACGTCCCCTCTGCTCCCCCTCCCCGGAAATGCCTGCGTCCAGCAGTGACCTCGGGGATCTGGGGCTGAGCGAGTGGGGGTTCAGAGCCTGCTCGCCCCAGCGTCCTCCAGGCGGTTGGCAGCGCCGCCGGAAGGTGAGGGGGGGCGGGGACGGCACCGGGCAGGAGGTGAGGGCCGGGACCCCGGACGCGAGGTGAGGGCGGGCGCTGGCACCCGGAGAGCGGCCAGGGAGGCGGGCCCGGGCGGGAGTGAGGAGGCGGGGACGGGCGGGGACGAGCGGGGATGCGGGGACGCGGCCAGGGCCGGGGCACCGGGCGGGGGCGGGGGCGGTGCCAGTCGGTGTGGGCGATGAGGTCGGGAGGGGCGGGAACTGGGGAGTTTCGCCAATCGGTGCAGACTCCGGTTCTCCCCAACCCCGGGCCTGGGCAGCTGGGCACTGGGGCGCCGTTCCCCACCCGGCGCGGACTTCGGAACCGGCCCTGGGACTGACTGGCTCTACCACTCGAGCGCGTCTCCGCTGGACCCGGAACCCCGGTCGGTCCATTCCCCGCGAAGATGCGCGCCCTGGCGGCCCTGAGCGCGCCCCCGAACGAGCGGCTCCTTCCCCGGGACCCCGCGGCTACCCGGGACCCCGACGCCGCGCGGCCGGCGCGCAGGAGCGCAGTGGAGAGGCTGGCGGCGGATCGCGCCAAGTATGTGCGGGGTCGGCCGGGGACTGGCCGGGGCGTCGCTTCCGAGGGCAGCGGCCCGGGGGCGATCAAGTGCCCGGGGAACGACCCTGGGCCCCCGGCCCGCGCCCCGGCCCCGGTGGCGCGCAGGGCTATTGCGCGGAAGCCGTTGAGACCGGACTCGCTGATCATCTACCGGCAGAAATGCGAATTCGTGCGAGGATCGGGCGCCGACGGCCCCAGGGCAAGCCTGGTGAAGAAGCTCTTCCAGGGGCCGGGTAAGGACAAGGCGCCGGTGCCCCGGACGGGAGACGAGGGCAAGGCCGGGAACCCGGAGACGGTCCCGACCACTCCTGGCCCCGCGGCGGACCCCGCAATCCCCGAGACCCCAGCCCCAGCCGCGCGGTCCGCGGCGCCCTCCAGTGTCCCGGCCGCGCCCCCTGGGCCAGAGCCGCGGGTGGTGAGGCGTCGGGGGCTGCAGCGCTCACAGTCGGACCTCAGCTCCCGCTATTCCGCTGCCTTGGCCGAGTCTGACACCTTCTTCCAGTACTGCGGCCTGGACCCCGAGGTGGTGGAGGCCCTGGGGAGGGAGAACTTCACCGCGGGGTCGGACTGTGTGACCCTCAAGGTGCGCAGCGTGAGCGTCGCCACCTCCGGCAGCGGCTTCTCCCGGCACAGCGGCGGCGACGACGAGGGGCTGCAGGAGGAGGAGCTGATAGAGCAGGTGCCCAGCACCACTTCGGTCATCGAGAGGAACGCCCGCATCATCAAGTGGCTGTACACCTGTAAGAAGGCCAAGGAGACCCCCAGCCAGGAGCAGAGCCGGACCCGAGGTGTGTGCCCAGAAGGCTGGGGGCGGGGCTGGCCGTGTGCGGGGCTGTGAATCTTGGTGAGTGTGACCGAGCTGGGCGATGGCCAGTTACAGCTGCTTAGAATTGAGTGCGATTTTGAGCTACAGTGTGAAAGGGACCCAAGAGACTGACGCAGAGGCTTGTGAGTTGAGCCCCCGCTGCTGAAGAGCAGAAGGTACCAATCCAGGCACCTGCTGGTCCAGGCCCTTAGGAGTCTGCTGCGTCTGGCTGCCTGGAAAGGCAATTCTGCAAATTAATATGTCCCATTTGGCTTATTATTGTGAAAACAGGAGAAATCCAAAATGCTGCCAGAAAGCAGTTTTACACCCCTAGTATTCTTTCCTGAGCTGAAAACAGCTTGAGAGCCCTAGTTCCTGAGTTCATTGACCTGTGCTGTGGGCGGTCCTGATGTTTGATTGGAGCTGACCAGTCCACCTGCAGCCCTAGGTAGGCGCTGCTGTGTTACTGGAACAGAAAGGAAGACTCCCTGCACTTTCCTGGAGGCCTGTGCTGAAGTGGTGAGAACTTCTCCACAGGATCTTGTAGCACTTTGGCATTCACTTAGCAACAAAGATCTTTATTTGGCTAAATTTTATTTAAATTGTTTTGAGAGCTTCAGGTTTTTAAACTGGGGAAATTGGACTAGATTGTAACTAGAGTCTATAGTTTATTTGCCTCTGATGACACTACAGGAAGTAACCTCCCTTTGGACAACCAGTAGTGCCGGATTGACCTCGAGCTCTTTTTGCTTTTCACTGGGGAACTGAGGAGTGCTGGTCTTCACTGTTACCTGCTCTTCCCTATGGGCGTCTTGGAAAGTAGTGAAGAGAAAGAACCTTTTCAGGGCTGTCTTTGAGAACGAACAATTTAAACTTTGCGACATCTTTTTTTTCCTCTTACCCTTCAATGACAACTTGCTATAAGTAAATTTTAAAAATCATGAGATGAAATTATTTTCTGCCATTGTGATAAACTAAGTGAAGATGCATGGCAGCCTGTAGAGTTTGGGGGAGGCTGCCCAAGAGATGTTTGCACAGGGCTCACCTATGTTTGACAGCTAAAAATATCTCCAATAATTTCTCTGGCTATGACTTTAGTACAGACATGAAAATTAATGAGAAGAAGATAATTCATTCTTTTTCTTGAACTCAGAAGGCTCAGGACTTAAGTTCTTCCTTATAATTTATAGAAGATTTGTGTTTTCCACTAGCCTAAGTTCCCAACAAATATATATAGGCAAAGTTCTAAAAAGCAAACAAACATTAATTTGTAGTTTTCACAAATTGTCTTTTGGATCTGAGATGAATGAATGCTGGCAAGGGTATTTCCATGATGGCACCATGTGTAGGGCAGGAGCTTTGGAGAGTGGCCAGGTCCGTGGAGGGACAGTGTCTGGTGGATAGAGCACTAAACCAGAATTAAGGGCCTGTCTTATGTTAGCAAATGATTCCTGCACTATAGACCAGGCGTCCTTTGTCCATAAAAAGAAGGGAGATAGGCGGATGGTTTTCAACCTCTACATTTTCTAGTCTGTGTAGTAATAATCTGTGTTGCATGACTGAAACCCAGAAATGGAAAACAAACAAAAAAAAGTTGTCTATTGAAGTACGTGAGAAGTAAATTTATGAATAAGCTCCCTCCAGGTAGCCATAGCATGTGCAGGCAGTAGGTAGACTTGGTGGTATAAATAGTGGGGAGGTAATAATGTGGCATACAAATGAAACCAAAGTAAAACCTGACAACATAAAAATAAAAGCAGCCTGCTCTGATCCCTCCAGACCCAGGCTGGTTCCCATCTCGAATTAGCCAATGTCAAAAGAGTGACCTGAATGAGAATTTAGTTGACTTCATAGACTAAATCCTAAAGACCTTTTAGGCTTGGACCTATGAAAAATATAAGAAGTTTAGTTAGCTTGTGAGAACTTTCACTTTTATGACAAAGAGAAATAGTTGAAGGAAGAGGGAAAGTGAGAGCAGGTTTGGGAAGGCACTAAGGATGGAGGCAGGAAAAAGGCTCATGGGCTTCTTCCTCCCCTCATGTCTCCCTCCACCTGAATCCCGTTTGTTCCAGACTGGAGACAATGGCAACTGTCTTCTGAGAAGTTTCACATTATTTCTCAGAGCAGGGGTACAGTCCCACAGAAGCTACCCCAGTTTTTATATGGAATTGGCAGTCACCAGCACTATAAAGATTTTCTTTACTAATGTACTTCCCTAGACCCAAAACAGCACAGGCCTCTTTGAAACTGCAATGCAGAGACTTACTGCCCGGCTACCAGGGGTGGGGTGTATGAGGAGAACAGAGTTGCCTGGGCTTTCTCCAGATCACCGGAACAGTGTCTGCTCATGACCTTAGCCCCTTCACAGCTCCCCACCTCCCAGCACTGGTGTTCCCACTGGAGGAGACCAGCAGGGAAAGCCACGACAGAGTGTGAACACCTGGTCAGTGGGGCGGTCCTCTGACTTCCTGCAGAAGTCCCTTGTTCTGAGACCAGTTCTGCAACTTCTGGAAGATGTGGAAGCAGGAATTTAAGCTGTGCTTTTTCTGCTGAAATTTATAAGGATTCATTTTAGGATTTCTTGAAAGATTCAGAAAACTTGAGACGAACAAAGGTAGGTTTTCTAAGTGAAAGAGAAAACAAATATATTTGGAGGTTTTTGTCCTCTTGGTAGATAGAGATTTACAACTTATAATAAAAGTGTCTCAATTATAATAGAACTAAATACGTTTATAAGTTTCTTGCCCCATGGGGTAAAGATAATTGCTTTTCAAAACTGAGACTATCACAACTGGGCAATGACTCGTATAATCCGCACACAAGTCCTCTGGGGAACCCATGAGCAGTAGTTGGTTGTACATGGGTAATTTTGGTATTCTGTTTCCCAGAGCTTAGTTTATGAAAATATCTCTTTTATCTGCTGTGATGTAGTCATCTTCCTGTCTTTCAATTCATCAAACTAGGGACTTGTCAAAATTTAGATCTTTCTGGTTTTCTGTTTTGCGTAGAATATATAAGTTGCTGCTTTTAATACTGGCATAAATAACTTGTCCTTTGGGAAATTAGGCATAAAACATTGCTTAATTTCAAGGCAAAAATGTTCGGACAATTCCACAGCTATCTTCACATTTATCCTTGACACAAAGAAAAAAGAAATACCTGTAGAAGCGCATCGAAAGCTCCTGGAACAGAGTTGTGTCTCATATTTGCAAAGATGCAGAAAAAATAAACCCGGGACATCCAGCTTTCTTTTCCTTTCTTCTTTGACTATTCTGAGAAGCTATGCGACTAGGAGCACATTTTAGGTAAACACGTGGCTTGAGTAGCCATAAGGCCACTCTTCCCTGTCGTGTGACCCGCGCCTGGGCCTTTAAGAGATATTGGTGTTTGAAAAGGGAGGAATCTGTTTGCCCTCAGATATTTAGTTCAACTGCCTGCATTGCTTCCTATTTTGTTGTCCAACTCTGTAGTAGTTAGCACTGGCCTTACCAACATGTAAAGAAATTTTCTTTACTGCCCCATGAGTAGTTGGAGGCAAAGAGAAATTTTTAAAGCGCAGAAAAAGGCCTGCAGGGAGATGGAATTTGTTCTGCCAGAGAAACGAGATGATAGCTGTATTTAATAAAGTTACTGACCTCTTGTCAAAATTTAAAACGCAAAAGAAGATGTTTCAAAATGCAGAGAATGTCAGAAAACAAAAACTACAGGGACCAGACCAGTATAATGTTTAGTTTTCATTATACTAACTTTTGTCTAGACTGGAGTTGATTCACTATTTTTTCTTTAACTCCTCAGGAAGCAAACCTTCCCGATGATGAAGACTTCTTGAAGGATTTCATGGGTGATTTGGGATCCCAGGACCATTTGGCTAGTGTGCCTAGGTGACCACATGATTGCTGTTTTACCAGGAATGCAGCATCCCATTGACAAAACAAGTGCTCTGAGAAGGTTTAAAATACTACAGAGAATATGGGAACACAGACCTTGAAATTTAGCTGAGTTGTAACAGCTGAAACTCCAAGAGGTGTCTTCCTTGTTTGAGGTGAAACTAGTGTTGCTTCCAGAGGGCAGCTGGAAACCGTAAAGCTGTTTGGAAATCTTTTTGACTGACTTGCTGACAAAGAGGTACTGTGATGCATTTTAACAATATCTAAGTTGATTTTTTTTTAAATCAAGGAAAATAAAAACCAAGCATGAATGCTATGGTATGTGCCCCTTTTGACCATCCTGGGCTGATTAACATCATTTAAATCAAAGTAATCATAAAAAGGCATATTCTACTTCAATTATGTGGTCAAATAAGAGTAAACACACACACTCACACATGCTGACCCCAATTGCCAGAGCATTACTGCACTATAAATTACGGTTAATTCCCAAATTATACTACTGTTTATCTTATTTAACAAGTCAGAAAGCACTTTTAAAATAACTTGAGGGCTACAAGGTCATTCTATTAATGTCATTCTCCATTCGGGTTGTAGGCATGTGGAAGTACCCATTAAAAGATAAGTTAGAGTTTAAATACTGATAAACAAAACCTTTTATTGCAACTGGACAGTTTCTGGAGAGTTAGCGGAAGAATCTTGGAGTTTCCTTTGGTCAGATGAATACAACATTTCACTTTTGCAGCACTATTTAGAATGTACTCCATGGTTCTCTTGTTCCCAACTTCCAAAAAGAACAGAAAACTTTGGTTTACACAGAACACGGGCATCTGAGGCAGGACCTCTTCCCTGCCCTTTGATCTGACTCACACCTCCACATATGACGTAATCAACCCAAATTTGACACCAATTCACTCTTTTCTGCAAAGGGCATATTTTGAAACAAGGGACAGCCTGAGGGCGGCTATAATGAGAATGTTCATGGGGGTTACTGGGTCCCTAATTCTGAACTTGCTTATGACACCCAGAGTGAATAGATTCAGATTCAGAACCTTCTGAGAAATAACCCAAAGAAAATTTGTTACCCAGCCAATTCTTCGAAAGCTTAATATCAAAATATATCTTTTCAAGAAGAAAATCGTTAGAGAGAAGAATGTGGAGGGGAGAGAAATGGGTTTCTCATTGATATGATATTTTGTTAACCATTTCATTTTGAATTATTCAAGTTTTGGTTAATATTGTATTCTTTTTTCGTAACTATTTTACCGTGAGAGTAGGTCATTGGGTTACTTAGATATTTATTTTTACACAGTTATTAGTCTTCAGATAGTTTTATTTTACTTCATATGATTTTAGTTTTTGTCAGTATAATTTTAAATCATGTTTTTCTTGGTCATCTCTTTGTGTATATTGTGTAATTGGATTTTCATTGACTGCAAGTGGAGTGTTTGCCACTCAATTCAGTACTCAGTACTATGGTGACTTGTTTTCAAATAAGTCTCAGATACACATTTAGGGAGCCTTTGCTGGCCGAATATAGACTCTGTCAGGACAGCAGGTCCCCTGATCTAAGAATTTTCCCCAATGGTTGCTCTAAAAATGCTGCTATTTTGCTGTTCACTGTATTGCACTTAGTTAAAAAGAAGATAATGTGAAAGATGAGAGCAGTTTTTTAAAGGATCTTTTCATATACCCAATTCCCTTATTTTCAGATGTCCCATCAATTTTAGATATGAAAGCTTTAAGTAAAAGTGTGTATGCCTTTCTACTGTCAGAACAGGATGGATGCAGCCTGGGTCAGATTTATTTAAGATAAAAATCATGCAGACTCATCATTCATATCATAGGTGAAAAATGTAAAAACCAAATGGTTTCCACTAAAGCCACCAAGATCTTTTAGAAATGTTTGCACCTTTGGTGGTGGCACAGGAAAAGAGAAGAATTCAGCTGGAGTGAATTCTAGAAGTAGATATCAGAAACGGGGCATGAAGAACAGGGGAACTGGGTGGCATCAGACTCCTAAAGAAGTGAGTTAATTTTCCTTCCCTTCCATTCAGATTCATGCCACAGCTCCATATCTTGAGTATGTGTAAGAGGTGAGTTCCTTCTTCAGCCAGGGGCGGTGGCTCATGCCTTTAATCCCAATGCTTTGGGAGGCCAAGGTGGGAGGATCACTTGTGCCTTGGGGTTCAAGGTTGCAGTGAACCATGATTGCACCACTGCACTCCAGCCTGAGTGACAGAGCAAGACCCTGTCTCTAAAAATATATATAAAAAGTAAAACTAAAGAACTTCTTGCCTAAACCTGAATTACCGCAATTTGCTGAGTGACTTTGAGAAAAATCAGACTGTTTAGTTCAGTCGGGATGAAAAGCTTGCGATTGCTTCCCACAAGAATGGGCAATAGTGACGGCTGCAAGGTACTTTTATTTGTTCATGAAAGAACGACAATTTTTCAAAATGTAATTAAACATAATAGAATGTTTTAAACTACTGGGCACTGAAACTGGAAGAAAAAGGAGGCTTTATTGAACATTCCCCTTTTTCAGTTGGTTCAAAGTTCAGCACTGTGGTTATCATTGGTGATGCCAGAAAACATTAGTAGACTTAGACAATTGCTATGGCAGTTTCTAAACAGAGCTTTTTCTATACACTATTTGCAACTGGAGTGCAATATTGTATATTCTGTGTTAAAGAAATAAAGTATTTTTATCATTTATTAATACTGATTTATGAGTTTGAGTAATGCGGCAAAAATTTGAAATGAGAGTCTGCTCATTACAGTTCCTTGTCTTCTGTTTTTCTCCCTTTCTTCTTGAGTGTTCTCTCATCAGCTTATCAGTAGAAATGAGGGGAAGGCATTCCAAGGCTTGTCCTAGGTAAGTTGCATGGCACCTGAAATCATCGACTTTCCTCAAGATGAAATGCAGTCAAAGCAATTTTGAATATTCTGAACTTTGCTTCCCTTCAATTGTTTTTAATTGTTTCATCAGTCTTTTGCTTAAAATATTTTTCTTCATGTTTTATTAACATTGTCATTGGAAAATGAATGGGCACAAAGATACAAACAAAAGCACAGTTTGTAATCTTTCTCATTAGCAAATTAAGTGAAGGCAGACTCTTCTCATGGTGAGTTTGCTCTCAGTGTGCGCCATGCACCCTGAGGGTGTGGTGGCTTGGGCAGCCGGTGAGTCATGGAAGCCTGATCATCCTTCTCGCTGCCCTGGCTGAGCCAGACTCTGCCGTCTTGCTCAGTCTTGCAGTGGCCTATGCCTAACCCTAGGTAAGAATCCAAAGATAGGCTTGCTTTCTTCTTCTTTTTTTTTTTTTTTTTCTGAGTCGGAGTCTCACTCTGTCGCTCAGGCAGGAGAGCAATGGAGCAACCTCGGCTCACTGCAACCTCTGTCTCCCGGGTTCAAGTGATTTTCCTGCCTCAGCTTCTTGAGTAGCTGGGATTACAGGTGCCCACTACTATGCCCAATTAATTTTTGTATTTTTAGTAGAGACGGGGTTTCGCCATGATGGCCAGGCTGATCTCGAACTCCTGGCCTCAAGTGATCTGCCCACCTCGGCCTCCCAAAGTGCAGGGATTACAGGTGTGAGCCACTGTGCCCGGCCAAGATGGGCTTTCTTGAGGAGAGGAAATACATCACTTCTTTATTTCTGTGAAGAATATGGACAGATACTCAGCCTGCTGTAGAAACTCTCTTATTGTACCTGTTCAGAAACAGTCCAAGCATTGGGTGATGTGGCTTATGTTGCGGAGTTCAACAGCAGCTGCCTTTTCCCTTCAGGTAAACTTGGGGGCTTACACAATGCTTGGGTGGTTACACTTTGCACGTTCACTGATGAATCAAATAGATTTATATGGTATTTAAATGTTCCAGGTTACAAATACTAAGCACGAAGGAAATTGAGTGTCTCAACCAGAACCTTATAATATTGGTCTTGGAAGTGGCACGGAGCAGCTGACGGGAGGCAGCACAGAAATTCCAGAACATGTGCTCCTGTCCGGCAATGGCCACCTGATTTTCTCTGCTACAATGCTTCAAACTCTATGGTTGATTGTCATCTGTTGTTGTTGTTGTTGTTGTTGTTGTTGTTTTGAGATGGAGTTTCACTCTTGTTGCCCAGGCTGGAGTGCAATTGTGCGATCTCAGCTCACCACAACCTCTGCCTCCCAGGTTAAAGCCATTCTCCTGTCTCAGCCTCCCGAGTAGCTGGGATTACAGACATGTGCCACCACGCACGGCTAATTCTGTATTTTTAGTAGAGACGGGGTTTCTCCACATGGGTCAGGCTGGTCTCAAACTCCCAACCTCAGGTGATCCACCCGCCTCCGTCTCAAAGTGCTGAGATTACAGGCATGAGCCACTGTGCCCGGCCGATTGTCATCTTTATATTATCTCATTAAAAATTATCATTAAAGTTGAAATGTGATCTGAAGGGGAGACTGTATTAAATCACTAATAACTATTAACTTTAGGTCAAAATAAAATATTAATTTCCTTAGAAAGTGAGAATCTGAACCCCAGGATCAGAGTGGAAAGACCTGGATCCTGGCTTCAGTATACCCTGTTGATTACTCAATGTTGAGCTTAAGGAGGACTCTTAATTACAAATGCGAGAACAGAAAATTACAGAATTGTCTAAACCTAAATCTACTGTCCGCCTTGTGGTATCAAAACAACTGTGCTATTTATTCAATAGTAGCTTGAATCAAGGCTGTCACTGATGACAACACACAGAGTTCACTCACATGCATATATCAAGGAGCCAAATACTGCACAAGGCACTGGGGGTTCACCAAGCTCCCTGCCATTGGTTGATGACTTACATTCTAGCAGGGGGGCAGATACTGAGTGAGGAAATAATACATAGATAATACATAGAGGGATGATAGATGACAAAAATCAAGAAAGGGAGGGAGGAGGGAAAGCAAAGTGAGGAAATGTCGTGAGCAGTACCATGAGCCTGATTTATGAATTTATGTGAGTCTGTTAGTTCATGGTTTCTATTTGATGGCCCATCTATCTGGACCATAAATGAAACCCAAAGTCCAAATCATATAAAGAGAGTCAAGCAACAGAGAAGGATAACATGAAAATTGTAAATGGCATTTTTTTCACTGAGAGGTTAACTTTAGTCTCTGGAGTTCTTTCACCCTGAAGCTTAAAGCATTGAAATCTAAACTGAATAAAAAGAGAACAGTCCACAAATGAATCTGCAGCCTGTATCCTTTATCAGATCATATGGTCATTGGTAAGAGACTGCATTCCTTCCTTCGGCTTTTAGAAGGAGTCCACTTCTCCAACTTAGGAAGAGAATAAGAGGAGTCAACATTGCAAATAAATGGTGACTCTCATAGGCCAGAGCAGGCCAGCTGGGACGTGGAGGGGTGTGTTTTCCCTAAGTGGGCTCTGAGAGCTGTCTCTCAGACACACCCTTGGAGGCAAACAGCAGGCTCAGGCTGGGCAGATGTTATCAGGACCCGAGGACCTTGTTTTCTCAACCTGCTTGGCAAGTCATTTCCACAGTTCAGAAAGGGGGAGTGTCTGCCAAGTGCCCCGCAGTGCTCTCATGCCATTTCCCTTCCAGGTGCCTGAGGTGCTAAGGAGAGACCAATGTAGGCATCTGGGAAGGTAGGCAGGTACGACTCAGCCAGGACCAGACTGTTATGGCCAACAGTGATGTTAGAAATCATGATATTCAATGCTCATCTCCTAGGAGGAACCTAGGCCCAAAGCTCACACAGCTGCCCAGTGTGCCAAGGCCCAGAAGGGGACCCCTGCCTCTGTGCAGTGTCCATTTAGGGGAGCCCTGCCTTGGGTAGGGAACATTAGCAGGGTGACCAGCTTTCCCTATTTGCCCAACAATTTCTAGTTTTAACACTGAGTCCTGGGAAAACTTTCCTTCCCTAGCTAGCTGGGAAGGCTGCACATTCCTAGAGGAAGGCTTGACCAACAGACATCTGGATGACCTGTTCTTGACTTCACTTTAGCTCCCACTTCTTGAGGAAGCTAATGACAAAACTACTGTGAGCACTTGAGCATCTTAAGTGCTTGGTCTGGCAGTTTTATTCTTGCTCTAAATTAGGGCAGCTTAGAACATTGTCTCCTTGGTGGGGAAGACCATGTGGTCAGGATTGAGGACAGTTAGAAGTTTCTCTGACATGGGCCAGGAACAGTGGCTCATGCCTGTAATCCCAGCACTTTGGGAGGCTGAGGCGGGTGGATCACTGAGGTCAGGGGCTAGAGACCAGCCTAGCCAATATGGTGAAACCCCATCTCTACTAAAAATACAAAAATTAGCCAGACGTTGTGGTGGACACCTATAATCCCAGCTACTAGGGAGGCTGAGGCAGGAGAATCACTTGAATCCGGGAGGCGGAGGTTGCAGTGAGCCGAGATCATACATTGTACTCCAGCCTGGGTGACAAGAGCAAAACTCCATCTCAAAAACAAAAACAAAAAGTTTCTCTGACATGAAGTAAGTGGATGGAGCCAACCTTCAGTTGTGCACCTGGGAGAACCTCCCTGAAAGAACCCTGAGAAGAAACTTGTCACACTCCGGAATGGCAGAGGAGAGTGGCCCACGCCTTCAGGGAGCCAGCACACCCCAGGCATCTTTAGTAACAGGAACTGTACAAGTGCTTTCTGTTGGTTGTTCCTTGTAACCCCATGACCATCTGCAAGGATCATTTTATGTATGAGGGAGCAAAGGTGTGGAGAAATCCACTACCTGCCTAGGTCAAAGAACTAGTAAGTAGAAGAGTAAGAATTTGAACCTAAATCTGCCTGGCTCCAAAGTCTGCTCTATTCGCTCTCTGTGCTGGTTTATGAGAACAATTCAATGCCAACCAGAATGCTTAAGATGTCATAACTTCTCAAGGGAATAACTGATTCAGCAGATCAATACCCAAATGCATGGATTCTGATACAAAATGCCACTCCAGAATTACCTGAAGATCCCACGTTACCATCCACTGAATGACACGGTGACACGGAGGTACCTTGATGATAAGAATGCAGCCCCAACATCACACACATACACATTTTAAAGCAGCATGCCGATTTTCATATTGCAGGACAGGCCATCATGGTTCAGTTTATGTTTATAATTTTATGTAAGATGATATGTGTTTTAAGAATAGCAATAAAGAGAAAATCTGAGGGAAAGCAAACTATTCCAGAGAGCTCAGGGCAGTGCTGACTAGGTCCACACTGCGGCAACCTGTTGAACTGGCTGATGGCCCATTTGCTGGGGCACAAGTTCCACTACAGAGTTGTAAATTTCAAGTACAACCCCCTCTTGTATATCATGGAATCCTAAGTCTGGATTCGAAGTCCAAGACCTTCTAGCTCACCTCAGAGAAGTCTAGCAGAACTATGATTATTTCAGTGGTGGCTAATATCGATTTTAGGTAAATGGGAAATGACCACAGTTGTAAAAAGAACAGGAAATCCTTTAAGTTTACTTTGAAGTACCGGAAAGTTCAGCACAGCTTAAGTTCTTTGGGTTTCTTTCCAGCAACAGTGGAAGAAAAGGCCAAGACATGCACATTCCAAATATCTACTTGCAGATTCTTGCATGTGTTCCAAGTCTACACAAATATTATCCTTTTACAGGTGAGAAGAGAAACTGAGCCAACTGTCAACAATTTGACCGTGCAGGCAGAGGCAGGAAGGAAGCGTTACTCACCTTTTCCCGGTGGCTTTGGGTTGACTGAGCAATTCTAGCTTGAAGGTAACAGGAAGTTGTTGCCTCCCTGCCTGCATTACTCAGCATTACACACCTAATGCTAACCCCTATCACAGGGTACATCGACGTTGTCACTATGGCCAGCGTTCCTGGTGTAGTGTCAGGAACGCTGTCAGAGAGTTACAGGTCCTTCTCCAAGGAAGAACATTTTCTAGCAAATATGCATTTACAACAGAGATTAAACTTGGAACTCTGAAAAGGAGTGTCAGTATCTGTGTACAAAGTACTGTGGGTACACACTGAAGTCGAGGCTCATAGAAGCCAAACATTTTAGGATCATGGAATTACCACAGCAGGTCAGAGTAATGCGCTGAGGGGCTGTTGACCTGGAGCACATTAAACGCCACTCAGTTTTCTCATCTGTTAGAAGGTGGCCATGAAGACTGGAGGATAGAGACGTATTTAAAAGCACTGAGCACAAAGGAGGCACCCAATCCATGGTAGTAATTATTATTCTAACCCTATTAGCCCCCTAAGGATTCAATGTATACCATTCACTAGTTTGTTTAAATAATTTGTGAACCGGTTTATATTTTCAACTTACCATATGTTTTAGTCAGGGTTCTCCAGAGGGTCAGAACCAATAGAATATTTATGTATATATCTATATCTATATATCTAGAGTGAGAGAGGGAGAGAGAGATACATGTGAAGGGATTGTTTAGGGTAATTGGCGCACTTGGTTGGAGAGGCTAAGGAGTCCCACAACAGGTCATCTGCAAGCTGGGGAACCAGGGAAGACGGTAGCATGGCTCAGTTCAAGTCCAAATGCCTCAGATCCAGGGAAGCAGATGGTGTAACTCTCAGTCCAAGGCTGAAGGCCAAAAAGGCTGGGTGGAGGTTAGGGGGCAGGGGTCGGGAGCACTAGTGCAAGTCCTGGAATCCAAAAGCCAGAGACCTTGGAGCTCTGACATCCAAGGGCAGGAAAAGAAAGGCGCCCCAACTCCAGAAGAGAGAATCAGAATTTGTCCTTCATCTGCCTTTTTGTCCCATCCAGCCTCCCCGGCCTCCATAGAGAGCCTTAGATGTTAATTTATAGCAAAGTAAAATGGACTACTACAGGTCATTTCCAGTAGATGTTCAATAAATGGTGGATGAAGACTTCATCTTAACTTCATTTCCTCCACATCTCTGTCCCACCCTCATCCCCATGTTTACTTAACTGAAGGCGAAGGAGGAACAGTTAGAACAAACATGCAAAGTAGGGCTTTCTTCTTCTAGTTTTATCAGGGAATAATTGACAAATAAAAATTGTGTTTATCCAAGGTTTACAATGTAATTACTTCATATATGCATACATAGTAAAATAATTACCACAATCAAGTTAATTAACACATCACCTCACACAGTTAACTATTGTGTGTGTGTGTGAGAGAGAGAGAGAGAGATGCAGATGCATAAGATCTACTGTCTTAGCAAATTTCAAGTAAACAGTACAGTATTATTAACTACAGTCGCCATGCTGTACCTTAGATCCCCGGAACGTATTCATCTTAAAACTGAAACCTTGTATCTTTGGACCAGCATCTCATTTCCCGCCCGCCTCCCACTCAGCCCCTGGTAACCAGCATTCTACTCTTTGTTTTTATGAGTCTGACTTTTCTAGATTCCACATACAAGTGAGATCATGCAGTATTTGTCTTTCTGTGTCTGGTTTATTTTACCTAACATAATGTTCTCCAAATTCATCCATGTTGCCATAAGTGACAAGATTTCCTTCTTCTTTTCAGGCTGAGTAGTATTTCACTGTGTTATATATATATATATATACACACACACATACACACACACACACTACATTTTCTTTATCAGTTCATTCATTGATGGACATGGGTAGATTCCATATCTTGGTTATTGCAAGTAATACTGCAATGAACGTGGGAGTGCAGCTCTTTCTTTGGGATCCCGATTTCATTTTTCTGTGGATAAACACCCAGAAATGAGATGGCTCTTCATTACACTCTGTGAAAGGCCCTGAAAAGCCGCCACAACCCTAAGTGAAGTCACTGGATTAGCGAAAATAAGCTCTATCTCTCCACCCAACGTCTTCTTCCCATGCTCTTAGCACTCCTGGTCCGAGTGCCAAGGGTTTTCTGTAACTCCAGCTTTTTGCATGCTCTATTAGCATTAGAAAAGAATTTATATTTAATCAGGAAAGCCACGCTCAGGTTGTTGCAAATCACCCACTTTGAACAGGCCTGTAACGAGCCTAGACTAGATCCAAGTAATTAATAAGAGGCAGGTAAAATAATTAAGCAATAAACACAATTGGCAGTGGTCCTCCAGAGGACTATGACTTTACTGAGGAGGATGTGTGAAGGTTGAAAACCAAGTAACAAAGGGCCTGAAGACATCAAGGAGTTCAAGTGACCCTGTTATTCCTTCATCTACTGTTCTCCAGCCAAGACCGTGGGGTTAGTGCCTCCTACTTCCATGGAGATGGCCAACTGCGTCCTCCCACTTCCACGGAGATGGCCAACTGCGTCCTCCCACTTCCACAGAGATGGCCAACTGCGTCCTCCCACTTCCACGGAGATGGCCGACTGTATACAAGCAGGCTCTGTGTGGGGGTGGGATTTCAAGGACTCTCAGCACTTTTTGTATATTTGCTATTTTGCTGAGTTGGATACAGCCAATAAGGTCTCCATTTGACTTGTATAGGGCTGAGGCACTCTGATATTCACAAATACAAGTATAGTACTGGGTATAATGGACCCGATGGCCATTCTGATTTGGTTAAATTCCTGTTGGTAGATGGTTGTACATAACAGAGCAACCACCTGCTCTGGTTTGCCCATGACTGTCCCAGCAACTTGGGATGGCTGGTCACCCAGAGGAACACAGCCCTTCTTAGAGCACAGGGTGCCCCGGCCTCACTATGTTGGCAGGTGCCAACCTTTGATCCCTACAGCTGTCATTCTTGAGATGGCATCTTCTTTGCAGTCTCACCTTTCCTGGCACCAGACCCAGCAGAAGGCAAGGAAACAGGAAGCAGCCCATGGCTCCTTTTGAGTCTGAGGCCCCAGAGCCTGCATCTGGAGCCTTCTAACTGCAGAGGTTGTTCCCAGGGGTCTGCAGAAGGGATGGCATCTCTCCCCATGGTCGATGTCATGGGCCCCACCAACATAGTCTACAAGGTCTCACCAGCAGGTCTTTAGGCCTAACTCTAAATTCAGGAAGCTCCCTACAGACAACACAGGTTCCTGAATGTTGGTCTTCTAATCTAGCTTCAAAATCTTTTACTTACATATGGCATGCACATATGTAATTACATATGGGGTGCACATTATTTACTTGGGAAATGGTTTCACAAGAGAATGCCTGACTGAAATTTACTCATGGAGTAAATCTTTGCACTCTTTCCTCTGAAAAATATTAACATGAGGCCATTTATCAGTTGTTTGTGATCATCTAAGAAAAGTGGTGAAGACAGAGGCCTAGACCTGTTCTGACTTGGGGTTGCACAAACCTGCAGGATGAGTAGCCTCTGATTTGTACCCCCTGGTGGGTGAAGTAAACGTGCACCTGAGCACATAAGACCTCTTATGCTCATTGCATTACCTCCATGTAGCAGGTCTTATGCTCATTGCATTATCTCCATGTAGCATCACATACATCTTTAAAGCACTGTGCTCATGGAGACAGTGGTTGGGGGAGGGGACCCCCTGAACCTTCTGTGTGATCGTCTGTGAAGTGCACACATAAGTTTCAAAGGAGATCCTTTCTTGTCTATGGTGGAACATAGCAGTCTTGTAAAAAAGCCAACAGGAGGGTCTCCTTCCCCATTTCCCAGTCACCTGTCCTGACTGACTGAAGAGTTCCCCAAGCACGCAGAGTGAGAAGACTGAAGACGACCCTGGAGATCACCTAATTCAGCCCAGCCATGACATACTGACATAATAGAAATGTGAACTTTTTCCCATCAGATGTCCTCAAGGTGAGGCAGGGCCAGATTTCTCCTTCCAAAAGCACAGCTCAGGGGTCATGCACAACTCCCAAATCCTCCTCTGCCGGGTCTTCCCAACCAGCTTCACCACCACAGGCTCCCTGTGTGGTTTGAGGCACAGG
The DNA here is from genome assembly GCF_000001405.40 of Homo sapiens. Lineage (NCBI taxonomy): Eukaryota > Metazoa > Chordata > Mammalia > Primates > Hominidae > Homo > Homo sapiens. Next base: position 29,707 of record NC_000002.12, on the reverse strand, counting down.
GAATCTGGCTGCTTTGGGAGGAAATGAGGTTTATAACTACATGCAAGTGCTGTAAACTCAAGGGATAGGGCCTGTGCCATTACACTGGGAGTGCCCTCATCTTAGCATAAAAGAGTCAGCTTCAGACACTTCTGGCTGGCAAAGCCCTCCTCTTATCCTAATTCATAGGTCACTGTAATGTTTCCCCCAACTCAGTCCCTAGTCCAGGCAGAACTGGCATTCTGTAAACACCTCCCCACACATTCCTGAAGGAAAAAGGACATTATGCAACCTGGCCCTAAGCCATCTTGTGTGGCTTTGGGTTAACAGCTATTCTCAAGGCAACTGATCGGCCATTTTTTCAGGGCTTCTTGGGTCCTGGCCACAGAACTCTTCCTATCTCTTTTGTGCCTGCAGTCACCTGGTTTTTCTCACTTCTCCCTCCCCCAACTCCATGTTTCTATCCTTCTTTTCATTCTGCTTTGGTTTGTCATAGATTTAATTTGTATCTGCTCATCCAGACTATTACTTTGCATTACTTCATAGGAGACACATTCTTGCCTGTGCACTCTTCGAGAATATCCGACAGAGAGAGAGAAAGAAAGGATAGCAACCAACACTGGCTCTCCCAGCTTTGTAACCCCACTTCGCCACAGCATTGCATTCACCCACCAGGAGTGGTCAGTGCTGCAGCTTCCTTCTCCTCACAGTGAGGGCCCTCAATGCCACCCCAAAATATGCTGCTTTGATGTATTGATGATTTTGAGCGGAAGGCACTTGAGAAACAGCAGATGCCAGAAGGCCTCTCTGGCTTCCCTCCGTATACCTAAAATTAGGGTGTAGATTCCTTTGAGAAAGAGGCCCCCACCCTTTACCAGAAAGAGGAGACCATTTTCATCACCAGAGATGGGGAGACCGTGCTGAGATGCATCTGTACAGACAACCCTCCTAAAATGACCCACTTCCTCTACTAGCTTCCTCATGAGTTTTCTGATCACTTTACCACGATTTGCCCCAGCCCAAACGCCTTTTTCTTTTTGTCTTGTGACATGTCTGCAATTCATCATTCTTTGTTAAAATGGCATATAAGCTCTCCACCCTATCCACTTCTTTGAGTCTTCATTTCTTCCTTAAGAATACCTCTCTGTACATATGAAAATATTAACATCAAACACAATGTGCTTGCTTTTCTTCTGTTAATCTTCTTTATGTCAGTTTAATCCTCAGATCCAGCCACAGAATCTAAGAGGGTAGAGGAAACCTCTTTCCTCCCCCAACACCCCTGAGACTTACCCACAAACAGTTTTCTAGAGCCATGAGCACTTCACCAAGAGCATTTGCAGTGAACAACAAAATATCTCATGGTTGCAGTTGTCATTTAATTCCTCTGGCTTCAGTCAATTGAGGCATCCCCTACTCACTGTGTCTTTAGGAGAGTTCCACACCAAGCCATGGGGTATCTCGTGCTTCATTCTCTTCCCTTCACCTTCCTTCCCAGCTCTCTGTTCTTGCACCCCTTCCATCTTGTGTGCTGCCTTCCACACAAGCTTCTGGTTCTGCAGCAAGAAGAATGCCATAGGTCACCACCCCCATTAATTCTGTCTGTCCTTTATGATGCCCATTAAAATGAAACTTTCTACTGCCCAGTAAATGAAGCTTTCTATTACCCAATGAATTGTGCCTGGCAGCACAATTCACTGCTTCACAATTGATCATTCTTTTTACCCTCAAAGCATCCTTGAAATGATTGACTCAACCATGAGAGAAACACTGTAAATATTCTCAGATACAAAGTCACAGTACCAGCTTGACAGAACACCTGCAGATGCAAATAACTGAAAATCCAGCTCAATGTGACTTTAAATACAAGGCAATTTATTGACTCAGGTGGGTAGTTCAGAAGGGAGCCAGGCTTCAGGGTGAATCTGAGCAGAGAAGCTCATGAATGCTACCCAGGAATCAGTCTCTTCCTAATTTTCTGCTCTGCCTTCAGTGAAGTCAGAATCATTCTGAGTCTGGCAAAATCTCCAGGAACAATTTCTGAGGCTGTATTCTTCATCAAAGGGGGAACATGAACAAGCACACTCTTGTTCCTAACAACCTAGCACAACTTGTATTTGACTCTAATTGGAACAACTCAGGCCCTTGCCTGTCCCGAAGTCCATTAGGGGGCCAAGGGAGTGCTGTGTGGCACCTGGCATGAGCCTCAGTTATGCACCCACCTTGGAACCAATAACTGTGACACAGGATGAGACAGAGCTGGTTAGGTTAAGTCAACCAGCACCCACCCCATGTTTCAAACCATGTGACTAAATAATTCAGGGCTCTGTTAGGCAGAAGAAAGGTGGATGCTTCTTGAATAGCACCCAACACTCAACTACAATTTAATTTGACAGGAACCCAGAGGCCTTGCCCATAGAAATCTCTCACAGTTGCTTGGAGAGAGAGCACTCAATACAAAAATCTTATGGCAGCAATCTTGTGGCCTCAAGCGTGCCACGGACTTGGTGTGGAGGGTGGGGTAAGGCTCAGTGTCTTTTGAAGATGAAGCAGAAGAATAGATTGTACTGACTTAGCAGAGTGGAAAATGTTTAATCCCAAGAGATGCCTACAAAGGCAGCTGAGCCAAACCACAGACTCCTAGAAGGGCTTGGGTTAGGGTTCTCAAGTGTCTAGATAAGCAGAGGAGATCGTGAGGCAGACACAGAGGGTCGGCTCAAAGCACATTGGGAAGAGTGTGATCCCAAGTCCCCCTCATTCCACACTGGCAGTCAAATACTCTTCCCTGACATCAGAAAAAGAAACAATTTATTTTCTTCAGACATTGAAAAAGGACTTTTCTAAGTTCCAGGACATTGGGTAATGCTGCTTATGCAAAGAGAGTGTTTAGTGAAAGCCAATTTACTGAGCGGGGAGATCCACAGACTCTTTCTCCCTCTTGGCTCCCAGAATGCTGGGGTCAGGCTTGCAGTCTTAGGAGATTGGCGAACCTTTTTGGAGAGGATCTGCAGATACCAACACTTTCAGGGTTTCTTCAGGTCCAGGAGTGCCAGGCTCCCGTGGACTCTTCCTTTGGGGAAGCAAAGGAAGACTCCATCTGTGCATACAGAATGCATTAATTATATTTTCTTATTTTCTATTTTCTTGATGCTCTAGCATCTGGGGTTTACTGGAAAAAGATTGCCTTTCCCAGGGCCAGCCAATTAAACTACCAATTCAGAAACCATACTCCTAACCACCTACTTTATCTGGCTCTGATACTGTAGGAGAAAATACCTGCCTTCCCTAATCACCCCAGGGCCAGGTACTAGGCAACTAGAGATGGCCCTTATGGCCCAGAGCCTGCTGAAGTTATTCACACTGGCCAGCCTAAGCCTGCCTGCCCTGCCTGGCCTTGCTGTCCCACAGAGACCACAGCAGAGGCTACTGCCCATGCCTTCCCCTCTCTCCTTCTGCCTCTGCCTGGGGCTTCCCTTTGCCTCCTATTTCTAGGGATTCGTGAGTATGAACGGGACAGTCACTTCCATGTCTGCCGGTCCTAACATCTCTGATTAAAACAAATTCTGAGTACATTTTAAAACATAAGGCTTCCAGTGGAATTTTTAAAACCCTTATATGGAGAATTTTAAACATATATGTAAATAAACGATGACTATAACAAACTCCTATATATCTATAACCCTTCAGAACAACCAGAAGAACATGGCCACTTCTGTTCCATCTATATTCCCAAATAAAATTCATACATTGTGATTAGCTGATGTGTTTTTAAGCCTATAGAATTTATACATTTCCCCTATATCTCTTATATATCATTTTCTTGTAATTTATTTGTTGAAGAAGCTGTATTGATTTTCCTGATTCATCTTCAGAGTTTAAAATGGAATTTCACAGAAAGAAAAGCATAAAAGCAGAAGGAATACAAATGTCAGAAAATAAATCAGTGGGATTTAAATGGTACAGCTGCTTTGGAAAACAGTTTGGCAGTTCCTCAAAAAGTAAGACAGAGAATTACTCTTTGACCCATCAATTCTACTGAAGCCTTCATACTGAAGAGAATTAAAAACATATGTCCGCACAAAAACTTATACACAGATGTCCGTAGCAGCATTATCCATAATAGCCAAAAAGTAGAAACAACCAAAACGTCCACCAACTGATGAGCGGATAAATAATATGAAGTATGTCCACACAATGGAATATTATTCAGCCTCAAAAAGGAATGGTTGTCAGAGGTTGGAGGAGGGAAAAATGGGAAATACAGCGTTTCTTTCTGGGGTGCTGCAAATGTGTTAAAATTAAATAGGGATGAAGTCTGTGCTACTTCCAGAAAGTGCTAAATTGTACACTTTACATGAGTAAAATGTAGTATGTGAATTTTATCTCAACTTAAAAATCAAGAACATTTTCCAGAAATAAAGTTTATGAATTTTCAGATTTAAAAGATCTAATGAGTTCCCCTCAACATGAATTTAAAGCACATTATTGTGAAATTTGATAACAACAGAGGTAAAGATCTGAAAAGTTTCCAGAGAGGTGAAAGAAAAAGATCACCTGCAAAGAATCAAGAACCAAAATGGCACTGAAGTTTTTCATTGAAATTCTAGATATAATAAGAAAACAAAATTTGGCCTTAACATCCTGAGAGAAATATATATATTTTAAACCCAACTAAACCGCCAACCCAGTGTGAGAATAGTGCTCAGGCATTTAGGGACATGCACAGCATCAAAGCTTTACCTTAGATCAGGAAGCTACAGTAAAGTGGCAACCTAAGAAATGGGAGAAATGAATTCCAGGAGCAGGTGATCCATGCAGGAGAGAGGAGCAGCATTGCTTCGCCGGGGTGAAGCAATTCAAGCTGGAGACACTGAGACAAACACAGGGGCGCCTGGCATTCTATGAGAGGCAGTACAGTGGTTCTCACAACTCAGTAAATGTGGCAATTACCTCTTATCTGGTTACAATGCATCTTCCCAGGCCTGCCAGCAGGGATTCTAAATCCTGATATGGCAAATGATATGGTAACACTTGTGGTTATAGACATGAGTGTTTGAATCACAGATCCAGCTCTAAACCCAAATCCCCTCAGTAATTAACTGTATACTGTCATTTAATTGCTTAATCTCTCCAGCACGCCACTTCCTCAGGCTGATTCATATGGGAATATAAATTCATTGGAGTGTTATAAAGGGTAGTTTGTACAATGCACTTGTGACTATGAAATGCTTAGCATGGCATCCAAAAAGTCCTCAATAAGTGGTGCAACAATACTTTTTTATACAGAGAACACACCCCACTCAGAAAAAAGTGTTCATAGGGGATTAAGAGAAGTAAGTACAGTTGGGTGAGCAGAGAGAGCCAGTGTGGCAAGGGCCTTTCTTAGGTGAGGCATCCACCACATTTGAAAGTGGGATGCAGGGCCAGAGCTGAACATTAACCAGGACTGGCAGGAATGAAGTAAACAGCTCACACCTGTTCCTTCATGGGTCTGTTCCTTTCATTTTCACTTTTGACTCTGATGCAAAATTAGAATTCTTCTCTGCTCAAATTTCACTATTCTTAATAAAGTACATAAGTAGGATCCAAAAACTTCAATTGTGTAAAATACATGCTTTTGTTAATGCAAGGCAAATGGGAAATATGTTGTACTTGGTCATCGCCATCACAATAACACAAATTCTAAAACATACACTGTTTACAACTGAACCACACCCTCAAATAATAAAAAAAAAAGGTCCCTCCCTAACCTCTCTCCTCAGCAAGAGAAGGAGTTTGGTTGCCCCAACCTGGGCAGGAGAGCAGGTGGAGAGTGGGAGCCCGCAGCTGCAGTGGCAAGAAGCATGAGGACTGATGGCTTTGACCAAATAACAGGGAATTGGGTTGAGTTGTTTGAATCATTTTCCAATAACTGAATTATGAAATAGATCAGACTCATTGAAGGAGCTGGGGAATGAGAGCCTACCCCTCAGTCTCCAGCCTCCCCAAACTACGTGTTTCTCCAGAGTAACCTTGAGCCTCTCCCAGCATGGATTGAAACCCATGGCTCTTCCAGATCTAAAATCTGAGGCTCTAAAATTTAAGTCACAGTTAGGCACTTCCACACCTGTGATGGTAACATGCTTACATACTCAGTCTATCATTGTTTAATATTTAATGAAAGACACACATTTTGTTTACTTATGCAGCAGCTTGCCTGTGTTCACTTGCGTTGTCTCAGGGTCAGCTCTTTATTTCCCAGAATCCTGTCCCATTACCTGGAGCCTATTGACTGGGGGAGAGATGTGGTCAAAAGTTAAAGGATGTTGGGCAAAGTCTTAGAAACACAGCTTTTCTGACAAAAGCAAGCAATGGGGAAAAGATTCCCTATTCAATAAATGGTGCTGGGATAGCTGGCTAGCCATGTGATGAAGATTGAAGCTGGACCTTTTTCTTAGACCATACACAAAAATCAACTCAGAATGGATTAAAGACCAAAACTAAAAGTTTTGGTGTAAAACCCAGAACTATAAAAACCCTGGAAGACAACCTAGGCAATACCATCCTGGACACAGGAACAGGCAAAGATTTCATGACAAAGACACCCAAAATAATCACAATGAAAGCAAAAATTGACAAGTGGGATCTAATTAAATTAAAGAGCTTCTGCATAGCAAAAGAAGCTATCAGCAAAGTAAACAGGCAACTTACAGAATGGGAGAAAATATTTACAAACTATGCATCTGATAAAGTTCTAATATCCAGCATCTATAAGGAACTTAAACAAATTTACAAGAGAAAACCCCATTAAAAAGTGGGCCAAGGACATGAAGAGACACTTCTTAAAAGAAGACAAACATGTGGCAAACAAGCATATGGAAAAAAGCTCTAGATCACTGATTACTAGAGAAATGCTCATCAAAACCACAGTGAGGCACCATCTCACACCAATCAGAATGGCTATTACTAAAAAGTCAAAAAATAACAGATGCTGGCAAAGTTACAGGGAAAAGTAAACATTTATACACTGTTGGTGGGAGTGTAAGTTAGTTCAACCATGGTGGAAAACAGTATGGTGATTCCTCAAAGAGCTAAAAGCAGAACTACCATTTGACCTAGCAATCCCATTACTGGGTATATACCCAGACAAATATAAATCATTCTACCATGAAGACACATGCATGCAAATGTTCACTGTAGCACTATTCACAATAGCAAAGACATAGAATCAACCCAAATGCCCATCAATCACAGGTTGGATAAAGAAAATGTGCTACATATACACCATGGAATACTATGCAGCCACAAAAAAGAACGAGATTATGCCTTTTGCATTAATATGGATAAAACCGAAGGGTATCATCCTTAGCAAACTAACACAGGAACAGAAAACCAAATAATACATGTTCTCACTTACAAGTGTGAGCTAAATGATAAGAACGTGTGAACTCAAAGAAGGAAACATCAGACACTGGGGTCTGCTTGAGGGGGGAGGGCGGGAGAAGGGAGAGAAACAGAAAAGATAACTATTGGGTACTGGGCTTAATACCTGGATGATGAAATAACATGTACAACAAACTCCTGTGGCACGTGTTTACCCGTATAACAAACCCACCCATGTACCCCCAAACCTAAAATAAAAGTTAACTAAAAAAGAAACACAGCTTTTAATTATTTTCCCTTAAGTACCATAAAGGTCATGGGCCATTTGCCACCTGAACAGTCAGTAACGCATGAGTGGAAAGAAACTGAACACCCAGGGACACCAGAGACCGTTCACTGTAGAGGAAGGAGGCAGGCATATGGCATAAGGTGAACTTCCTCCAGTCCCAAAGTGGTTCCCCTCTCCTCTTAAATGCAGGTCCCATGGAATTCAGACTAGGAAGTAAAGCAAATGAGAATGGCCCACAGCGGAGGAGTTCAAATGTGCAGAAAAGGATAGAGCAGCCCCAAAGAGGAAGGAAAGCTGGACAAGAAATGGATTTGTAGGGAAGACAATGTGCACCCATCAGAGCTCTGATTCCTTCACTTTCACTACCCTCCCCTGCCCACTAACATCGAAAAAGTATTGATGGCAAGTGTTGGGCTGTAAGACATTTCCTTGCTTTATTACCTGGATTTGGGGGTTTAAATTTCAGAGATAATTAAAACATCCCCCTTTAGTTAACTTTTAATTTCATAATTGTACCTTTTTAAACAGATTTGTGAACATGTAAAACAAAGAAAACAGCACGGGAGTAATTTATAATAAACAAGTATGTGTTCACCGGGTAAGTGACACTCACATGGCATATGGCATACGAGCCTCCTGAGAGTAGGATCGTGGAGCATCCAATGGTGATTGTCCTTAGAGCTGGTAGGGGCCCAGCCTCCCGCCGCCCATGCAGTGCTGTGTGTACAATCGATGTCTCCTTTAACTTCACAGAGATGCCACAAGGCAAATAGTATTGTCTTCATTCTCTGTGTAAGAAAACTAAGGCTGGGTGAGAGTATGCAGAGCTGGATCGTGGATTTGTGTTTGGCTCCTTCTGGTTTCAAAACCTGTGAATATTTTCCTGTCTCTAATGCTAATCTTAGCACTATATTTGGAATAAGCATATAAACATATAACCACAATCCACTCAGGTAGTATGCAATTAAATTGTAAGTAAATGTTCAACAAGATTATGCGTGATTGAATGAGCTATATATAAGAATAATAACTGGTGGAAGTGTTATTCATAGGATAAAGGAGAAATCATTTAAATGGCTAACGGTATAAGGAGGGTTAAATCAAGCATCCAGGTTTGGAAATAGCTGATTTACATATATAGTTTATGCCACGTAAAACGTTTATTATCTAATATTGGATGAAAAAACAGAAACAACATTTTATGTATAGTATAATCTAAAATTTCTACATTTCATTAAAAATGCAGGAATATAATTATCAAAATTTGAGTGATAAAATTGTGAATAATTTTTCTCTCTCTTATAACTCATTTTATATTTACCAAAGATCCTCCAAAGAGAATATACACTTTTGAAATTAGAAAAAACGTTATTTGTTAAAGAGATCCTAAATGACATAATATTTTACAGAAGTTAAGAGCTGAGATTGTGAGAATTTCCAGGGACTCCTGCCATCAGCCCACCTTGCATCATCGTTTACATGGAAATGTTGGGACTGAGGTGACCTCATGCCTCTCAATTCCCAGCCAGCCTTCTCTCCCTCTGGCTCTTAGCCAGCCTGTTAAACAGAAAATAATCAGTGAGACGAATAAACTACACCCTAGTGTTCTAACAAGTTACACATAATTGTTTGCTTACCAATTGTCTACCTTAGAACTTTCTTTTCCTCATAGAGTCAATATAACCATCTGTTTTAAATTTGGCTTTTGCCATTTTACAGTCCAAGATGCAGGACTTTGCATAGGGCACGGATGGATTTTCACAGTCAGCACGAGGATGGGAGGAGAACAGGGCAGATCCAGCTCCACTCAGTGAGAGTTCTGGCTGGAGTTACTTGGCCAGGCCTCACTCCCGAGAGAGGAGACCTTCCTCTGGACCAGCTACCAAGACAGCCCCTAATTGGAAAATGTTGTCTTCTAAGGTGAGATGCAGCCCCCACCAGAGAGGAAAACACCAGAGTGTTTCAAAAAGGAAAAACCAAGGGAAGCCGAGGAGCTTCTTGACAGGGGACACAGCAGAGTCCACCCAGCTGGGGTGAATCTCCGCAGTTCCCCAACAGGACGGCGGGTGGGAGCCCCAAGTTACTGGCCCCTGCAGCATGGGAGCAGCATGAGCCATCTGCAGTGGCATTGTCTCCTCCGGCAGCAGCTTCCATCCAGAAATCCATCTCAGAGCCTGTCCTCAGAGGAACCTGATGCCAGAGCTGTGCACTCAAAGTATTTGGACACAGGTATTTTGTGGAACTGAGCTTTTTCCAGGTCTTGCTGGAGGTGATTCTGTGTGAACTTGACGGAACTCTTTCTCATGGGCTTTTTTTCTAAGTGTGGGAGAGCATGGCCTGCATGACTGCTGGCTTCCAGCACGTGGCGTGCAAACCCATGCCGGGGTGTGTAATTCACTGTAGCCCTTGACAGAATAGCAGGGATAAAGGTCGTTTTTTAATCTTCTGTTTATTACTCTCAGCCAATTAACTTCTACCTACAGTAGAAGATATTTTGCCAACTATTTTTTTCAAAATGGAGAAATACCATGCTCTTAAAAAAGTCTTTTAGAGGCACAGACTTCCCAATTTCATTACACTGAAATCACTAAAAGATAGAAAAAAGTGACATTCACGTATCAAAGAAATTATCTTTTGGCAAAATACTCTGTTTTGGTTTGAAATGTTTGTGAATTTTCCTGCATGTGTCCAGATGCATAGGGAGTTTATTCATTCAATTAAATTAAAACTTTAGATAACATGGTAAATTCAAAAAGTAGTGAAGACACATTTTGTTTCTACCTCTTTAATTGAGAAAACTGGCTGATGCCTCCCGTGTGTGAGCACCGTGTAGCTGATGCAGGTAGAGAAACCGAGGTTTTCTTATTTGCTGCCGCTGGGCCTGGCACTGGAGTTTGGCTGCGGGAGGGCAGGGTGTCTGTTTTGATTACCACTCAGCAGCTGCCCCCATGCTGCAGGGGCCAGTGACTTGGGGCTCCCACCCGCCGTCCCGTTGGGGAACTGTGGAGATTCACCCCAGCTGGGTGGCCTCTGCTGTGTCCCCTATCAAGAAGCTCCTCGGCTTCCCTTGGTTTTTCCTTTTTAAAACTTTCTGGTGTTTTCCTTTCTAGTGGGTGCTGCATCTTTCCTTAGAAGACAACATTTTCCAATTAGGGTCTGTCTTGGTACCTGGTCCAGAGGAAGGTCTCCTCTCTCAGGAGTGAGACCCAGCCAAATACACACGGGTGTCTCTGCCCTCTAGTGGATCCTGGCAGGCACTGGGAGCAAATGTGACTATAAACAAAATTAAAGATTTTAAAAATACCCATTATCTTCAGAGGGGATTTAATTCTAACAGGAGGCTTTTTGTGTTTCTTTTTTAAATGGGCTGATGGGTAAAAATAATACAAGACTGGAGATGTTGGAAAAGAGCACACTGCCTTTTCGCATCTGTGATGACTGAGCCCTTCCTCAGCACTGCCACAGGGAGCACATTCACACATTCACACGTGTGCCACACAAATACCAGGGTTAGGTCAAAAAACCAAGTGTTACCTGGAGGAAGCCACAAAGGCTATGAGACCAAGCCTTCACCTGGAAGACACCTGAAAGTTCAGAAGCCGACATCCTGCAAGGTATCTTGGGGAATTCAGCTGTGACCCCGCACTGTATGGAAGGGTGGGCAGTGCAGCCAAGGCAGGTGAAAAGGATTGTCCACTGTTGAGCATCATCAGCCTAAAACCCACATGCAATGCTATTGCTGCAAAACCACTGACTGTTGCAGCCAGAAACCACCGAAACAGACTCCCTTTATGGTCCTCACTGTGCAACTGGTAACTTTTCAGAAGATGAAGACTAAATATATTAATCATAAATTCAAAGTATCAGAAGAAATACTAGGAGATTTTCTAACCTCTGCTACCATGACTTTTTTTTGCAAGATTCATGAATTATTGTAAATAAGCTTACAGAGGCCAAAGTGCTCCCCTGAAGTCATCCAGAAAGAGGCAGGCTGCTAATCCCCACATCTGAGACATCTGTGTTTTCTTAGAATAATAGAAAAATTAAAGATAAGGGAGAGAGAGAGGGACAGGAAGAGACAGAGAGACAGAGAGAATTGGAGCTAAGAGAAAACACTTTCACGTTTTGCCCCCCAAAATTCCCAGTGAACATTCCCATTGCCAGCGGGTGAAATCCAAGGCCCTGGCTCCAGGATCCTGCTCTTTCCTTTGGTGATTCCTATTCAAGTTTGGCATAGAAAGAATATGGAACTTGTCACACTTCTCTGGACAAGTCATTTTGCTTTTGACTCACAGGCTCCACTTTCCTAGACACCCCTTCGCCCAAAGGTTCAAGTAATTCAGCTTCACCCTTCAGAGAAGAGCTCAGGTGTCACTTCCTCTAAGGACCCTCCCCAGCCACCTCTCCAGCAGAAGGGCCCCCAACTTGCTCTTTGCACCTCTGTCCCTCAAAGTGCTGCCATCCTCTGTGGAGGGTGGGACCCCGGGAACTAGAGCCCCTCTCATGCTGGAGACACTCGGCACTCAGTAAGTGTGTGCTGAGTGGATACAAGTGCAGCGAGCTTGCACAGCCTTACAATGTGTACTCTCACGTCTGGCATAGAGCCCCATTTTCATTCTTTGTAAAATGAGTAAGTGGGGCTGGGTGACCCATACTCTCCTTTCAATTCAGAAGTCCACATTGAGCCTGACATCAAATAGCTTCCCAGCCAGCGCCAGGCCAAGATCCAGGCTGTTCAATGTGCCTGTGTGGGACCAGCTCTGCTGCCTGCTGCCCAGTGCCAGCCAGCAACCCCAGGCGCACAAAGGAGCACCTGCAGGCACCTGCAGGAGATCTTTGTTATTTAGTAGCTGTGACTGGGCTGGGAGGGAGTGTGTTCATTTCTAATTTTCCGGTGACTAGCATGAGACAGTTTGAAATGTGGTGATTTTTTTTCTCTTGGCCCCCCCAAAAAAAGGCCTTTTTACCTTCTGATCCTTGGCGCCACTGACATTAGCTATGGTCCTGATAGTTTAAGAAAACTTTATTCTCCAAAGGAACATTTTGGTAAATAGTGTAATTCTTTATTACAGCAAAACCATTGCTTAGGTGGGCAAAACTCGGGAGGATAGAAAAACACACTCTTGAAAACAGGTGGTGACGCCCTAAAATTCAGCAAACTGCAGGGAGACGTGTTGTTCTACCCCAGGTCAGAGTGTGTCAGTCATCACTCGATGCCACTCACAGACCACCAACTTCAGAATACCTAGGTGTAAAGGTCTGTACAAAAGTCATAACATAATAATCTAAATAATTTTACATTATTAATAATTATATTACACTATTATATAATGTAAATGCTATTAAAACATGTTTGTCTTCAAAGAATGGCCTTGGTTTCTGTGGGCAGCATCTCTTGATGGAAAGGTAATGCATTCCTGCTAAATCATGGACAAAACGGGCCTCCAGGAGCTCCAGGCTGCAGCAGCAGCTTCTCATCTACATCCTTCACTGCATGATGTTGTTGTTGACTTTGAAAGCTCCTTTCAGTCTAGTTTTATCAACAGAGCTAGTATTTCATGAGGAACTACTACATATCAGGTTCCAGAAAACTAAATGCCTTTTGTTTGTTATTATTCACTAAATACAAACAACAACTCTCTTCTCATTACTCACACACATAATTTAGCTGAGGGCGATTGAGTGACTTTCCCAGGGTCACACAGCTACTAAGAGTCGAGTCGTGTTTAGATTCATGTGGGAATACTGAACACAGAAATGAACCAGTGGAAATATCCTATGTTCCAAAAGCTGACTCAAGCCATTTGTTCTTATTTTAAGGAAAATCTTTATGCTAATGTTAAACTCCAAATACTTATGAATGGCAGAGATCTACAGATTTCATTCTAATGTAGGAGATGATGCTCACCAGCTGGTTACTGCTACCACCCCACAACCCTGAGCATACTGGACAAATGTCTAAGCCTCGTGGTTAGTGCGGACAATGCTGTTGGAGTCTGAAGTTGTCATGCAGTGACTCACTCAAGCTTAGGCAGATTTGGTGATATATGACACAGAGATGCAAAGAAATGCTGTAGCTGACACACACAGGCTGGCTCTGGGAGATGCAGAAGGAGCATGTCACCCAAAATAGAGCCAGATAGACATCCTTAAGGAAGGAGCAAAGGGGCTGCAACATAAAGAATGAAGAAAGGATTTATCATGAGAGATGGGGCAGGTAGTTCTCCAGAGGCAGAGGGAGAGCATGAGAATGTGGGGAAGGGAGGAGAGATTCTCGCACATCTGGGAAGCTGACAATCCATCAGCACGGCCAGAAGGAAAATAAGAAGGAGAGGAAATAATAGATGAGGCTGGATATAGAAGCAGGGTTCAAGTTGTGTCTATTGTGGTATATAGTTGTGATTCTACCCAGAAGGCAACAGGTAGCATTCTAAACAAAGATCTTTTAAAACAAGAGTTAGCAAGTATTTTCTGCAAAGGGCAAAATGTTAAATATTTTAAGTTTTCCAAGCCATGTGGTCTCTGTCTCAATGACTCAGCTCTTCCATTGTACTATGAAAGTAGCCAGAGATGTTATATAACACATCTATGTGGCTTTGTCCCAATACAACTTTACTTACAAATGCAGACTGTGTCAGACATGGCCCATGCATGGTAGTTTGCCACACCCTGTTTTAGAAAGCTCAGGTTTGTGATGTGATGAAGAATGCCTACAAGAGCTCTTGTTTTAAATGGTAGAGTGAACATACACTGGAATTCTATCCTGCTTGACCCAAGCTTTTGATAGCAAAAGGCAGAAAAGACAGATAGATGATAGGCAGGTAGCTAGATGATAGATAAAGAAAATACATAGCTGTTCCAGAAGACACAAAGGGATAACTTCATGAACCAAAAAGAAAGTAATATACTTTAGAAAGGAAGCAGGCCAGAAAACCCACAGTTGCAAAGAAAATGGAATTTCCAACTGCCTTTCGTAGCCCCTTCCTGGAAATAGTCTCAGCCCAGGGTGTTTCGACTTCTTCCTCTGTTTTTTTGTTTGTTATTTGTTGTTTGTGGGTTTTTTATTGTTGCTGTTTGCTTTTTTAAAAAAAATCCCTTTCCCTGCTTTTTTTTTTGTCACAGCAGCTTTTTACACTTCAAGCACTGCAAGTATTCTTTTAAAAAAAGTTATATCAACTTTTCAATTAAAATGCAACATGTCTGAAACTTGGTATCTAGAGAGGTGAGATGGACAAAGGAGCCCTTGTTACTGCACGTTTTCTTGCCCCAGCCTTCACCTTGCACACAGCAACAGACAATGCACAAAGCAACTTCCTTATGGACTGAAATTCTGAAATCTTTTTATGCCTGGCCTTTCCATCCTTCAACTTCCCCTCTCCCACACTGTGAATGATTTTTATTGGACATTTTTGTTTTAATCTCAGTAACAGGGGAACACAGGTAGCTCTAATATAGCTGTGACCCAGATGCTTCTGTTTCTAGCATGTATTTATTTTGCAGCAAACATTTACATCCAGGATTTTTCAGTCTTTTGAAAATAACTGGGCAATATCTCATCTGACATAGGACGTTTCTAGTGGTTGTGTTCTGAGAGAGAAAAACTAATCTGTTCTCTTTCCACTGCATTCCAGTAACAGTAAGATGACCTTGTGCATGAAAAATTTGTTTCCACACTTCAGAGTGGGTAATAAGCAGATTAGTAAAAACAATTCTGCTTCACTTCAATAACAACCTCCTCCAACTCATTTTTCTCAACAAACTTATTTTTCCAGCAGAAGAATCCCAGGCTTCTTAGAGAACCCAGTGATTTTAGCACCTTAAATCTGTGAAATCCTTAGCCGGGCGTGGTGGTTCACCCCTGTAATCCCATCATTCTTGGCGGCTGAGGCGGTTGGATCATAAGGTCAGGAGAACTAGACCATTCTGGCTAACATGGTGAAACCCCATCTCTACTAAAAAATACAGAAAAAGTAGCCAGGTGTGGTGCACCTGTAGTCCCAGCTACTCCGGAGGCTGAGGCAGGAGAATGGTGTGAACCCAGAAGGCAGAGGTTGCAGTGAGGCGAGATAACACCACGGCACTCCAGCCTGGGCAACAGAGCAAGACTCTGTCTCAAAAAAAAAAAAAACTCTGAAACCCCCATGTTTTCTTCTGCCGTATGCATAGTTCAAACACACAAAGATGAGGCAAAGCCAGATGTATTCCTGAAGGAACCCAAGATATTCCTCTTTCTGTCTCTGGAATGAAATGAATTCTCTAGACCATCATTTCTAACCTTCAAAAACCAAACCTGTTTGTGAGATCTCCTTTAACTACTACTGTAGACCCCAGTGTTTATTCATTAAATGTTTTAAATATTTGTTTTATTTGGAATCAATTGATATGTCATTTTAGTATTTGTATTAATATGAGAGAAATGTTTAAATGTGTCTATGCCATATATGCCTCTGGCTTATTCCCCAACTAATTGTTGCCTCAGGCTAAACTTTGGTTTCTGTCTTTAATTTTTGTCAGAACAAATAGAACTGATCTCAAAACATCTACTTTTATTGTAGGGACTTGTGCTACCATCTCCATTCCTCTCTCTTTTCTTGCAATCTGAGTGGAAGTTCTTTAATATGAATGTTTTAACCCACCTTCACTCTCCCATGTAATTTGTACCATAGTACAAATTTATGCTACAAATTACTATGGTAATTTATGGTACCATAAATTTGTAGCATAATTACCATAGTAATTTGTAGCATAAATGCTTTTTCACATGATGTATTCTGTCCTGGGATACTCCACATCCTGAGTAATTTTATTTAATTTGAATAGAGTTTGCTCTAACCATATGGCTGTAAAATTCTGCATATTTTGACAAATGCATTGTGGCAGATATCCCACTATTAAAGTATCATATGGAATGCTTCAAACCCCCACCCCATGGAGCCAATGGCTTCCCATCTGTGTAGTTTGCCTTCTCCAGTGTCTCATTAAATGAGGTCACACTGTGTGTATCCTCCTCAGACTGTCTTCTTCCACTTAGCAATGTGCATGCAAGATTCACTCATGTCTTTGTGTGAGTTGATAGCTTGTTCGTTTCTATGGCTAAATAGTGTTCCATTACATGAATGTACCACAATTTGGTTATGCATTTTGGGGAGCAGAACCTTCCTCTTCTAACTTTGTTCCAGGGTTGGAGACCTTCAAATTAACTGACAATAGATACATTAGTAGGAGAGACAATAATTGGCTTCTTGTTCCCCAAGTATCATTGTGGGACAAAATTCATCAGATGGCAGGATGCAGTTTACAAAGAGGTAAAAATAGCCCAGAAACAAGAAACAAGACTAGAATCTGATAACCCACAATGGCTGTAGTTTTCCTTTAAAAAAATTTTTTTTGAGACAGGATCTGGCTCTGTCGCCTAGGCTGGAGTGCAAAGGTGCAATCTCAGCTCACTGCAACCTCTACTTCCCGGGTGCAAACGATCCTCCCTCCTCAGCCTCCTGATTACCTGGGACTACAGGCACATGCCACCATGCCCATCTAATTTTTGTATTTTTGGTAGAGACGTGGTTTCACCATGTTGCCCAGGCTGATGTTGAACTCCTGGCCTCCCAAAGTGCTGTAATTATAGGCATGTGCAACCATGCCTGGCCATGTTATACTTTTCCATTGAAACATAAAAATTCTCTCTGTAGTAACCATCATTTTTGATCATAATCAAAGTAAGACTATTATTGTTTTAAAAATATTATTGTTAAAATATTATTGTTTTGTTAGATTTTGCTTGATTATGTAAATAATCAAGCAAGAAAAAAGATAAATGCTTCACTTCTGTTTACAAAAGTATAATCTACTAAGTTGTTGTAAGTTACAGTTAGAGTAACTTCCCTGCACAAGACTCTTAGGCTGTTTTCATGCACGATCAGCCCTGTCCTCCCTATTTTTCTACAGTAAGGTGTTTACACTGTATTTCTTTTCAATGAAGTTATCTGTCATCTTTGTACTGCCTCTTGGTGAAAATCTTTCTTCCAAGTTAAACAAGAACTGGGACATCAGCTCTCCCCACTAATAGCTCCGTTTCAGTTTGAATTTACAGAAGTGATGGGGCGTAACCGGTGCTCCGACTTTAATTGGTGCAGGAGGCGGCCAGTAGGGGACGCCAGCCGTCACACCGGGAGCAAGAGGGCCCTACACTGTGAGCAAGAGGATCCTGTACTGCCGCCAGCGGCCAGAAGGCGTGCGACGACTATACTGCAAGCAAGAGGGCCCGTCAGTGTCCCCAGCTGCCAGCGGGGGAGCCAGCTGCCACTACACTTGGAGCAAGAGGGCCTGGCACTGTCCCTAGCTGCCAGGAGGCGGGCGTGCTGCCACTACACTGTGAGCAAGAGGGCTCTGCAATGTCCCTAGCTGCCAGCAGGCGGCGTGCCGCCACTACACTGCGAGCAAGAGAGCCCTGCAATGCTCCGACGCCAGCAGAGGGCGCTGGACACCACTGTAAGCAAGATAGCCCTGCAGTTGCCCTAGTGGCCAGCAAGGGGCGCACTGGCAGAGCACCGTGGGCAAGCGGATCCTGTAGTGCCCGGTTGCAAGCAGGGGGTTCCCGAGCCCGGCTTTTCGGATTATTGAGGTTCCACCTGTCTCTGTGCCGCGCCCCCGGGGACGTCCGTCTCTGCGCCTGCACCCCGCCACCCCCACGCTCCGCGCCTGGCGGCTTGCGACTGTGCGCTTATGCAGCTGTGCACCTGCAGTACGACCCCCAACCCCTGCCCAGCGACCCTCTGTGCGCCTGCGCGGGCGCGGTGCGCCTGTGTGCGCCTGCGCGGGCGCGGTGCGCCTGTGTGCGCCTGCGCGGGCGCGGTGCGCCTGTGTGCGCCTGCGCGGGCGCGGTGCGCCTGTGTGCGCCTGCGCGGGCGCGGTGCGCCTGTGTGCGCCTGCGCGGGCGCGGTGCGCCTCTCTGCGCCTGCGCGGGCGCGGTGCGCCTCTCTGCGCCTGCGCGGGCGCGGTGCGCCTCTCTGCGCCTGCGCGGGCGCGGTGCGCCTCTCTGCGCCTGCGCGGGCGCGGTGCGCCTCTCTGCGCCTGCGCGGGCGCGGTGCGCCTCTCTGCGCCTGCGCGGGCGCGGTGCGCCTCTCTGCGCCTGCGCGGGCGCGGTGCGCCTCTCTGCGCCTGCGCGGGCGCGGTGCGCCTCTCTGCGCCTGCGCGGGCGCGGTGCGCCTCTCTGCGCCTGCGCGGGCGCGGTGCCTTTGCGACTAGGAGCTGCGTTCTCTTCACCACAGACCCGGGCGGGTGGGCCACGGGCACCGCGAAGGCGGAGCTGCGTTTTGCTGAGCACACACCCGGTGGACACCGTAAAGGCGAAGCAGCATTCTCCTCAGGACAGAGTTTGGGGGCACTGCCTCGCTTTGGGACCCCTCGGGGCCGCATCGACGGTGAATAAAATACTTCCTGTTTGCAGCACTGAATACTCAAAGTCAGACACGAGTTAGGCTTCGGCTTAGGGTTAGGGGTTAGGGGTTAGGGCTAGGGCTAGGGCTAGGGCTAGGGTTAGGGTTTTAGGGTTAGGGTTTGGGTCGGGGTCGGGGTCGGGTTCGGGGTGGGGGTCGGGGGTCGGGGGTCGGGGGTCGAGGGTGAGGGTGAGGGGTTAGGGTTGGGGTTGGGGTTGGGGTTGGGGTTCGGGGTTCGGGGTTCGGGGTTCGGGTTCGGGTTCGGGTTAGGGTCAGGGTCACGGTCAGGGTCAGGGTCAGGGTTAAGGGTTAGGGTTAAGGGTTAGGGGTTAGGGGTTAGGGGTTCGGGTTAGGGTAAAGGGTTAGGGTTACGGTTAGGGTTAGGGTTAGGGGTTAGGGTTAGGGGTTAGGGTTAGGGTTAGGGTTCGGGTAGGGTTAGGGTTAGGGGTTAGGGGTTAGGGTTAGGGTGTGTGTGGGTGTGGTGTGTGGGTGTGGTGTGTGTGGGTGTGGGTGTGGTGTGTGGTGTGTGGGTGTGGTGTGGGTGTGGTGTGTGGGTGTGGGTGTGGTGTGTGGGTGTGGTGTGTGTGGGTGTGGGTGTGGGTGTGTGTGGGTGTGGTGTGTGGGTGTGGTGTGTGGGATACG